>NC_000023.11:48785837-49085837 GCF_000001405.40 Homo sapiens | reverse complement strand
TTGTCACCCAGGCTGAAGTGCAATGGCCCCATCATGGCTCACAAGCAATCCTCCCACCTCAGCCTCCTGAGTAGCTGGGACTAGAGGCACACGCCATCACTCCCAGCTAACTTTTAAAATTATTTGTAGAGACAGGGTTTCACCATGTTTCCCAGGCTCTTCTCCAACTCCTGGGCTCAAGCAATCTGCTCACCTTCCGCCTCCCAAAGTGCTGGGATTACAGGCATGAGCCACTGCACCCAGCCTCCTGCTTCTTTTTATGCCTGGTAATCTTTGTTTGGATAACAGACATTGTCAACTTTACCTTTTTAGGAGCTGGGTCTTTTTTAATTCTTATCAATCTTTGTTATTCCTAAGGATCTTTTAGGGTCTTCTTTTATGATGTGTAAAGTGAGCCTGGAGCAATACTAAGTCTAGGGCTAGTTACTCCCCACAACTGAGACAAGACATTCCTGTGTACTCTATGCCCTGTGAATTATGAGTTTTCCAGTCTGGTTGGTGGGTGCAGGCACTATTTTCAGAAGCTCCATGTGAGTGTCAGGACCTGTTCCCTCCAATCCATTTGGATGGTTCTTTTCCTGGCCTTAGGTAGCTGCCTCATATGCATGTGTTGATAAGCACTCCGCTAAATACTGAAGGGGGACCCTCTGCAGATCTCTGTGATTCTCTGTGCTCCTCTCTGCTGACATTCTGTCCTTTTAACTCCAGCTGCCCTTGTCTCTCTGGACCACCTCAACTTAGGGAGTCCACCAGGCGCTGCCTCAGTTTCCCGTTCCAGTGCCATAGCATGGAAGCTCTCCAGGCAGTGTGCTGGGACAGTTGTAGTGCTCACGTTGTTTCCCATCTTTCAGGGATCACTGTCCTTTGGTGCCTGATGTCTAATGTCTTAAAAATCATTGTTTCAGCCGGGCGCGGTGGCTCACACCTGTAATCTCAGCACTTTAGGAGGCCGAGGCGGGCAGATTACCTGAGGTCAGGAGTTCAAGACCAGCCCGGCCTACATGGTGAAACCCCATCTCTACTAAAAATATAAAAATTAGCCAGGCATGATGGCAGGTGCCCGTAACCCCAGCTACTCAGGAGGCTGAGGCAGGAGAATCACTTGAACCTGGGAGGCAGAGGTTGCAGTGAGCAGAGATCTTGCCATTGTGAGATTGTGCCTGGGCAACAGAGTGAGACTCCGTCAAAAAAAAAAAAAATCATTGTTTCATGTATTTTGGTTTTTTTGTGGGGGGCAAAGTTGGTTGTTTCCTGTGAGAGGACAAAGTTGGTCCCTGTTATTCCACTTTGACTGAGAGTGCATGACACCTTTTTTCTTGTAGAGACAGGGACTTGCCCAGACTGGTCTCAAACTCCTAGCCTCAAGGAATCCTCCCACCTCAGCTTCCCAAAAGTGCTGAGATTACAGGCATGAGCCACCATGCCCAGCCCATGATAACTTTTGACAGTGCGACCAACAGAATTTGCCAATGAAAATGGAGGGGAATCAGCTGGGCATGGTGGCTCATGCCTGTAATCCCAGCACTTTGGAAGGTCAAGGCAGGTGGATCACCTGAGGTCAGGAGTTCGAGACCAGCCTGACCAAGATGGTGAAACCCCGTCTCTACTAAAAATACAAAAATTAGCTGAGTGTGGTGGTGGGCACCTGTAATCCCAGCTACTTGAGAGGCTGAGGCAGGCAAATCGTTTGAACCCAGAAGGCGGAGGTTGCAATGAGTTGAGACCACACCATTGCACTCCAGCCTGGGCGACAGAGCAAGGCTCTATCAAAAAAAAAAAAAAAAGAAAAAAGAAAAAGAAAATGGAGGGGAATTAAGCATGATATATCTGCTCTTTGACTCAAGTAACAAAATGTATTTTAATTTTTATTCTTTTTTTTTTTTTTTTTTTTTAGACAGAGTGTCGCTCTGTCACCCAGGCTGGAGTGCAGTGGTGCAATCTCAGCTCACTGCAACCTCCGCCTCCCGGGTTCAAGCGATTCTCCCGCCTCAGCCTCCTGAGTAGCTATGATTAGAGGTGTGCACCACCACACCCAGCTAATTTTTGTATTTTTAGTAGAGATGGGGTTTCACCGTGTTGGCCAGGCTGGTCTCAACTCCTGACCTCAAGTGATCCGCCCACCTCGCCCTCCCAAAGTGCTGGGATTACAGGCGTGAGCCACCACGCCTGGCCACAAACTGTATTGTGATGCCATTGGCTGAGATGAAGGAGACAGTGGGGGAGCATCTGAGCAAAGGAAATAGAACAAATCTGTTTGGATGGATAAGCAGTATGTGACACCCACATGAATGTCAAACAGGTCATTACAGTACGTTTGAGTCTGGTGTTCCAGAGAAAGGTCTAAGCTGAAGGCCTAGAGGATCTTCCAAATATTTGCAATAATTAAGGCTACAGGAGAAGAGGAAGTCACTTAGGAAGAGAGGATCAGACAGGATTATACCCAAGGATATTCTAATATTTGGAAGTTTGATACAAGTGGAGGAGTAGCCAGAGATGGAGAAAAAAAAAAAAAAAAAAAAAACGAGAGGCCGGGCGTGGTAGCTCAAGCCTGTAATCCCAGCACTTTGGGAGGCCGAGATGGGTGGATCACGAGGTCAGGAGTTCCAGACCAGCCTGGCCAATATGGTGAAACCTCATCTCTACTAAAAATACAAAAATTAGGCTGGGCGCGGTGGCTCACGCCTGTAATCCCAGCACTTTGGGAGGCCAAGGCGGGCGGATCACGAGGTCAGGAGTTCGAGACCAGCCTGACCAACATGGTGAAACCCCGTCTCTACTAAAAATACAAAAATTAGCCGGGCGTGGTGGTGCATGCCTATAATCCCAGCTACTTGGGAGCCTGAGGCAGGAGAATCGCTTGAACCCGGGAGGCGGAGGTTGCAGTTAACCGAGATCGCCCCACTGCACTCCAGCTTGGATGACAGAGCGAGACTCCGTCTCAAAAAAAAAAAAAAAAATTAGCTGGGCGTGGTGGTGCATGCCTGTAATCTCAGTTACTCAGGAGGCTAAGGCAGGAGAATCACTTGAACCCAGGAAGCAGAGGTTGCAGTGAGCCGAGATCGTGCCACTGCAGTCCAGCCTAGGTGACAGAGTGAGACTCCATCTTAAAAAAAAAGAAAGAAAGAAAAAGAAAAACCAAGAGAGTGAGAGGAAGAAATTGTGGGTTTCACTAGAAAGTCACAGGAGAGGGCAGAGAAGTGATTGCTGGTTTGGCAAGATTATTATTCATCAGTGGTCTGGTTAAGAGCAGTCCCAAAGACACAGGAGTGACAAACACCAAATTGAATTGAGTTGAATATGGTCTGGGACATGAGGAAGTGGAGTCTGAAGAAAGCCAGATGATTGGCCTTGTTGAGGAGCACAGTAATGGAATCATGCCAAGGGGAGTATATAGGGCCAAAATTCACAAGTAAATATATACATGGGAATTGACGACACAGTATCTGAAACAACCTAGGCAGCCATCAGTTGGGGAAGGGCTGAACAATGCTACATAATATCATGAACCAGTTAAAAAGGATGAGTTAAAAAGATGTTCTTATATATTAATATATGAAAAAACAGAAGCATCAAAACAATACTTCAAAAAAAGTAAAGGGGGGATTTCATCAATGTGAAACCCTGATTGTATTAAAAGTATGAGATTTCTCTGTATTTTTTCTTTAATATTCAGTCTTCATAGACTGTCAAAAATTGCCAATGCCGACTATATTGCAAGTCTTCGGGGCGGGGTATTGGGAAGTTTCCAATTAGCAATATCCACACCTTGGCTAAACCTCATTGGCTATGATACTGCCACTGCAAAAAGCATATTTCTTTTTTTTCAAGAATATTCTTTTTTTTTTTTTTTTTTTGGAGACAGGGTTTCCCTCTGTTGCCCAGGCTGGAGTGCAGTGGCGCGATCTTGGCTCACTGCAACCTCTGCCTTCTGGGTTCCAATGATTCTCCTGCCTCAGCCTCCCAAGTAGGGGACTTACAGGTGCCCGCCACCACGCCCGGCTAATTTTTTGTATTTTAGTAGAGAGGAGGTTTCACCGTGTTACCCAGGGTGGTCTCAAACCCCTGAGCTCAGGCAATCCACCTGCCTCGGCCTCCCAAATTGCTGGGATTACAGGCATGCACCACCATGCCCAGCCCTTTTTTTTTGAGACGGGAATTTCGCTCGTCTCCCAGGCTGGAGTGCAATGGCAGGATCTGGGCTTGCTGCAACCTCCGCCTCCTAGGTTTAAGTGGTTCTCCTGCCTCAGCCTCCCCAGTAGCTAGGATTACAGGCGCGTGTCACCACGCCCGGCTTTTTTTTTTTTTTTCGAGACAGAGTCTCACTCTATTACCCAGGCTGGAGTGCAGTGGTGCGATCTCTGCTCACTGCAACCTCCTCCTCCTGGCTTCAAGTGATTCTCCTGCCTCAGCCTCCCGAGTAGCTGGGACTACAGGCACGCACCACCATGCCTGGCTAACTTTTTGTATTTTTAGTAGAGAGGGGGTTTCACCATGCTGGCCAGGCTGATCTCGAACTCCTGACCTCATGATCTGCCTGCTTCGGCCTCCCAAAGTGCTGGGATTACAGGCGTGAGCCACCGCGCCCAGCCTATTTATTATTTCTTAATGTAAAGTTTAATTAAAAATCCTTCCAGCCGGGCGCAGTGGCTCACGCCTGTAATCCCAACACTTTGGGGGGCCGAGGCAGGCGGATCACCTGAGGTCAGGAGTTCAAGACCAGACTGATCAACAGGGAGAAACCCGGTCTCTACTAAAAATACAAAATTAGCTGGGCGTGGTGGCACATGCCTGTAATCCCAGCTACTTGGGAGGCTGGGGAGGCTGAGGCAGAAGAATCCCTTGAACCCGGGAGGCGGAGGTTGTGGTGAGCCAAGATCGCGCTAATTGCACTCCAGCCTGGGCAAAAAGAGCCAAACTCTGTTAATCAAAAAAAAAAAAAAAAAAAAAAATTCCTTCCAGTATGCATATAATTTGGGGCCTTTTTTTAAAAGCTTTATCATAGGTAGGACCTCTTTTTTTTTTTTTTTTTAACCCAAAGCATTCATACCTTTTACTATCAAAAAGCTATTTTGTATTTTGTAAAAATAAAAGCAGAGGCCGGGCGTGGTAGCTTAAGCCTGTAATCCCAGCACTTTGGGAGGCCGAGGTGGGTGGATAACCTGAGGTCAAGAGTTCGAGACCAGCCTGACCAACATGGTGAAACCCCGTCTCTACTAAAAATACAAAAATTAGATGGGCGTGGTGGCGCACGCCTGCAGTCCCAGCTACTCCGGAGGCTGAGGCAGGATAACCGTTTGAACCCGGGAGGCGGAGGTTGCAGTGAGCCGAGATCGCGCCACTGCACTCCAGCCTGGGAGACAGAGCGAGACTCTGTCTCAGAAAACAAAACTAAACAAAACACAAAAGACAAAACTCAGAGCTGGCGGGGTTGGGGGGACAGGGTGGGGAGAAAGAAAGCGAAATCTGTTCCTTGGCTTCCCGGAGCCAAGGAGGTTTCTCCACTTTCAAGGTCTCCAGGTCCGCCCCCGCCTGTAACCCCCAGCGCCGCCCCTCTGGAAGCCTGGGAGGACTGTGTGTTGCGAACCGGGGCGGCTACTCTCGGCCGCCGCGGAGGTCCGCGTCTTGTTAGCAGGGAAGGTTTACTCCCCCATTGTGGGTGACCAAGGGGCTGAGGGCTTGGCCGGTTTCGCTTTGCTGGGGGCAAGGCACGCTCTCTCTCCCCACCCTTCCGGGTTCCCTCAGACAGTCTCGGCCTTGAGGAACCCCCTTCGCCTCCGGTCCCCCAGCCAACCTTCCTCCGCTCCCCGCGCCCTCCCCGGAGAACCCCACTGTCACTCGCGATGCTCCGAAGACCCGGGAACTAGGCGAGGAAGGCGGTGGCCGCCTTTTTCCAGCTGGGGTGAGTCATTTCCTGCGACAGGCTCCCTCCCCCGGAAGTAGGGCCTGATGTAAACACCCGAGCCGGGCTCCAAGGCCCGGGAGGTCAGAAAACCGGGCCGCGGGCGGCACCGACAGCTGGGGCCCGGGTCAGGGACACGCGGAGGTCAGGCCGGTGAAGGCGGCAGGAAGCTGGAGCACGATCCCAGGGTTGGTTGGGTCTGGGGGAGGCTGGAAGTCTTTCGAGTAGGGGTCTAAGGCAGAGGTCTTGAGTGGGTGCTGGCGTTGGAAGGAGCATGCGGCTGGTCTTGGGAGAGGGGCGAGGCATCCCGGACAGAGTCTTGGAATGGAGGTGCAAAAAAGGGGTGTTGAAAGTTGGAGCTGTCCAGAGAATAACTCTAAGGCAGAGCTGTCCAAAGAAAGAGCATGAGGCATTCCAGTGGAGGGTGTAACTGAAAGAAAGGAAGGAGATTTGGACTCTTGGAGGATGGGGGAGGGAGTATGTCTGGCCAGAGTTATTGGGGAGTTGAGGATTTGAAGGGAAGTTGGGGGCTCTATGGCAGTAATCTTAGTAGGGGACTGCGCAGGCATCTTAGGGGTTGAGGTTCTCCTAGGTAGGAGTTTTGGGTGGTTTGTTTTGGGCAAGGGTCTTAGAAGGCAAGGGTGCCCTGGGGCGGGGTCTTGGATAGGGGTCTAGAGGGGGAATCTTAGGAGGATGGGGGGGGTTCCTGGGGTTGGGTCCAGGCCAGGTTATGTTGTAGTCAAGGACAGCAGAACACAAGGAAGGAGATGTCCCAGGGGTGGAAAATTTAGAGTGCTAGGGGGAATCCTAGGGTAGAGTCCCCAGGGCATAAGCCAATCTAAGGGAATGTCTAGGCTGGCCCTGAAGGGTAGTTACCAAGGCATGAGAAGGGGTCATCCCAAGGTAGGCATCCTGAAGGAGTTTGGGGAAGCCGGTTGAGGGGGAAAGGTGTGAGAGGACTCTGGGGTGGTCAAATAGGTTGGGGTACAGTTAGAAGGGTATGAGCAGAGGAGTTCCTGGGGATGGCAGACCAAGCATAGCAGTCCCAGGGCCAAGTCAGGGAGGTACAAGAAGTGCATCTCCTAGCCCACTTTTGTCTATTTATTGAGAGAGTCCGGTGCTAGGTCAGGTTTGAAGATGAGAAATGGGTTGGGAGTGGTTCCAGGCCATGTCTGGCATTGGGATCAAGATTGGCTGGCGGTGGGGAGGAGATATCACGGGGGCACCCCCTATCACATTACTTCCTGACAAGTCAGTGAGGGCCAGCATGTAAAGAGGAGGTGTGGGGTCCACGTCAGTGTGGGCCTGGAGCTTGCCAAACCTGAAAGAAGGAGGGTTCCTGGCCATGTTGTTTGGGATCTTGGGAGCTTAGAGCAGAGACCCTGGGACTCTCTGTTTTTATCTTTTTCTTCCCCCCGAGACGGAGTCTCGCTCTGTCACCCAGGCTGGAATGCAATGGCTCGATTTCGGCTCACTGCCATCTCAGCCTCTCGGGTTCAAGCAATTCTCCTGCCTCAGCCTCCTGAGTAGCTGGGATTATAGGTGCCCCCCACCACACCCGGCTAACTTTTGTATTTTTATTAGAGACGGGATTTCACCATGTTAGCCAGGCTGATCTCAAACTCCTGACCTCAGGTGATCCACCCGCCTTGGCCTCCCAAAGTGCTGGGATTACAGGCATAAGCCACCACGCCTGGCCTGTTTTTATCTTTTTTGCAGTCACTCCAGAGTCAGTAGTTAGCAGAGTAGGAGGAGGAAATCAGGTGAGGCAGAACTTGGAGGGGAGATTCCAGGACTCTTCTCATCTTTATCCCATTTGTATGCAGAGGAACAATCCTGCACCATGACTCAACAGCCACTTCGAGGAGTGACCAGCCTGCGTTTCAACCAAGACCAAAGTGAGAGAGGATTGGGCCTGTACCCTTGTGGGAGGAAGCGAGGAAAAGAGGGGTCAGAAGTGGGCCATGGGCCCCCAGCTTCCTACCTGGGCATTCTTTAAGGCAGTCTGGATTCCTTCCATCCCCCAGGCTGCTTTTGCTGCGCCATGGAGACAGGTGTGCGCATCTACAACGTGGAGCCCTTGATGGAGAAGGGGCATCTGGGTGAGCTGTTGGCAGGGGAGGGGCAATGGGCAGAAGAGCTGGGCTGGGCGTTGGCTCCCACCTCCACTGACACCCTGGTCCCTGTCCAGACCACGAGCAGGTGGGCAGCATGGGCTTGGTGGAGATGCTGCACCGCTCCAACCTTCTGGCCTTGGTGGGCGGTGGTAGTAGTCCCAAGTTCTCAGAGATCTCAGGTAAGTGCCCTCATCCTGCCCTTTGGCCCAGATTTCTCGGATTCCTGGCCTCCCACAGGCACCCCAAGGTACTGGCAGATGAAGACGTCAGAGTACTTCAGAGTCACACAGAGAGGAGGCCTACAGCTTGGAAGTCATGGATCTTATAGCTTGAGAAGCTTGGTGCTTTGTTTTCATTTTAAAAATTCTGATTGAGTGCCTCCTGTGTGCCATGCCCTAGAGCACTTACTGTGAGCCTGGAACTGCCCTAAGCACTTTACGTTTATTAACTCATTTAATCCTCACAGTAACTCTATGGGGTAGGAAGGATCATTATCCCCATCTTTACCGATGAGGAAACTGAGGCCCAGTGCAGTTAAGTGACTCATCCAAGGTCACACAAGCAATAGGTTTTAAAATCTTGGAGCCGTCTTCCCAATACCCCCTTGGCTTGAGCCTCAAGTGCCATCTTACTTTAAGGGTTTTTCTTGATGATCCCATCTGGACAAGGCAGGAGTTGCCCTAGGTGAGTCACAGAGCCCTAGGATTCCTCACGGAAATCTCCAGGGTGCATGGACTAGGACCCTGGAGGCAGAAATAGTTACCGAGGGGAAGTTACAGGCCTGAGTGTGAGTCCCTGTTTGGTTGCTGATGAGCTTTGAGGTCCTTGGCCAGACACTCAACCACTTTGAACCTCAGTTTCCTCATCTGTAGATGAGTGTAACAGTCTAGAACACTCCTCTCAGGGATCATATCCACAAGTGCTCGTGCTGTGCGAGGATCTCACTGGTTGTTTATTGAAAGGCTAAGCAAGTAGGTTGAGGTCCCTGGGAAGCAGGGGTGGATCCTGTGTCACCAGGGCTGCCCCTTACCCTAAACCTTGGCCCCGACAACCCACCCACCTGCCCAGCAGTGCTGATCTGGGACGATGCCCGGGAGGGCAAGGACTCCAAGGAGAAGCTGGTGCTGGAGTTCACCTTCACCAAGCCAGTGCTTTCTGTGCGCATGCGCCATGACAAGTGAGCCTGAGGAGGACCGGGGTGGGAGGTAGGAGGTCCCCACAGTAAGTGAGAGGGATAGTCCTCCCTGGGCATCCCGCCACCCCCTCACGGCCATCCTGTGTTGTGTGATACCCACAGGATCGTGATCGTGCTGAAGAACCGCATCTATGTGTACTCCTTCCCCGACAATCCCCGAAAGCTGTTTGAGTTTGATACCCGGGACAACCCCAAGGGTGAGAGGGCTCAGATACACAGGTGTAAGGGCATGAAACAGTGGATGGGGCAGAGGGGCAGAGATGAGGAAAGAAAGGAAGGGGCACTCACACACAGAGAAATGGGGAAAGAGGCAGGGAGATGCTCACACTCATAGCCTCTCCATCTTTCCAGCCCTCAGCCAGTTCTCCCCACCTCCGGACCTGCCCCACCCCTGGGTACCCCAGTGGCAGAGCAAAAACACCTCGTGAGGACATGGGTGGGTGTGTCAGGGATCCCTGAGCTTCTGGGGCTGTGATAGCAGCTTACTAGATTCCACAGCTGCAGAGCAAGGAATGGAATCTGCCTAGCTGGCGGGGCGTGCAGCTGAGCTGAGCCCCCTCAGGGTTCTTCGGGTTAAGCTTATCGTGGAGGGTTGAAGTCTGGTCCTCATCCAGCTCTGTCCATTCTGAGATGCTGCCTCCTCTTCAGCCGCCCACCCCACCCCCCATCTTCACACCCTAGGGCTCTGTGACCTCTGCCCCAGCCTGGAGAAGCAACTGCTAGTGTTCCCGGGACACAAGTGTGGGAGTCTGCAACTTGTGGTGAGCCGTCCAGTGGACAAGGGTGGGTAGGTTGGTGGACTGGCTTCCTTGTGGACTCTTGGCCCCTTCCCTCCATACCACCCCAACCTCAGACTCCTCCCTCCTACCCCAGGACCTGGCGAGCACAAAGCCTGGCACCTCGTCTGCTCCATTCACGATCAATGCACATCAGAGTGACATAGCCTGTGTGTCTCTAAACCAGCCAGGCACTGTAGTGGCCTCAGCCTCCCAGAAGGGTACCCTTATTCGCCTCTTTGACACACAATCCAAGGAGAAACTGGTGGAGCTGCGCCGAGGCACTGACCCTGCCACCCTCTACTGGTGAGCACAGGGTATGCATGGTGGGCTGGTGACCCCATACCACATGACATGTGGGCATCACTGCTGATCTGTCTTCTAGCATTAACTTCAGCCACGACTCCTCCTTCCTCTGCGCTTCCAGTGATAAGGGTACTGTCCATATCTTTGCTCTCAAGGATACCCGCCTCAACCGCCGCTCCGCGTGAGTACCCCCTCCCCACCCTACCGTGTCCCTGTCCCCCTGCCCATTTACCATACCTGGGCTTAGCCAGTGCTGCCTGCAGGCTGGCTCGCGTGGGCAAGGTGGGGCCTATGATTGGGCAGTACGTGGACTCTCAGTGGAGCCTGGCGAGCTTCACTGTGCCTGCTGAGTCAGCTTGCATCTGCGCCTTCGGTCGCAATACTTCCAAGAACGTCAACTCTGTCATTGGTGAGTGGGAACAGCCCCTTGGTTGGGGGTACTGCATGGGGCAAAGGCCTGCAGGTTGGACCTGAAAGGATTTTAGGGCCATGTGAGGCTCAGCTTCATCATCAGTAAGGGGGACAGCACTGGGCAAAGGCCTGGAGGCAGACCCTAGGTCCTGAGATGCCTGAGAGGACTGGAGCCTGTGGCTGTGGCAGCCTCTGACCTTTTACCACCCCCCCTCCCCCAGCCATCTGCGTAGATGGGACCTTCCACAAATATGTCTTCACTCCTGATGGAAACTGCAACAGAGAGGCTTTCGACGTGTACCTTGACATCTGTGATGATGATGACTTTTAAGGACCCTGGGGGCTGTGCTAGGGACCTGCAGTGGCAGAACTGCAGAGCTGAGCCTTGGCAGTGGGGCGTGCTTGGAAGCCACCAGCCAGCAAGCATTAATGGGGCTGGTGCCCACTTTCCACTCAGCAGAGCTATGTCTAAATAAAGAGCTCACTTCCCCCCAGCACTTCTTGATGACTGTGTGCCCCAAGGGCCAGGCCAGAGACCCAGGAAGGCAGCGACCCCTTGGGATCCCTAACCTGGAGGAAATTGCCAGGGACCCAGAGGGAGTGCCCTAATCCAACCTGGGGATTTTTTAAAAGCTTCCTAGGAAGAGATGATCTCCGATGTGATGAATACGAATAAAAGGCCCTTAATGGCATTTACGGCTTGACCTCAGGGGCGGGGCATGGAGTTTCCTGGAGAAATGTGACCCTCTTGGGCGCTGACAGGAAGGAGGTGGAATCCAACTCGGATCCTTGTGACAGTCCCTCCTTTCTTATCTGTCTGGCTACTTTGTGCTTGAGCCGCTGGCACCGCCCGGAGCAGCCCCTGCGGCGCCCCGCGCGGGGGTGGATGGCAGTTTTAAGGGTTGGGAGCATCTCGCTTCGTGGCAAAGGCTTGATTTCCCGGCAGCCTTTGCTGCTTTCCTGAGCGGCGTGTTAGTTGCTTTTCCGGTCACGTGCATCGCCGCCCCTGCGCAATCCACCTAGGAGGTTAGGAAAAAGCTGCCCAGCCCAGACTCCATTTCCCGGTGTGCCCCGCGGTGGCGAGGGGCGTAACGGTTGTTGTAGTCCGGCCCCCTCCTGGCTGGTCCAGCCACATTAACCGGCAGGATGTCGGAGGTGCGGCTGCCACCGCTACGCGCCCTGGACGACTTTGTTCTGGGGTCGGCGCGTCTGGCGGCTCCGGATCCATGCGACCCGCAGCGATGGTGCCACCGCGTCATCAACAACCTCCTCTACTACCAAACCAACTACCTTCTCTGCTTCGGCATCGGCCTCGCTCTCGCCGGGTGAGGGAGGGAGGCGCCGGTTGGCCAGGGACGTCTGCAGAGCGTGGGGGTAGACCCACAGGTCTTTGAGGACCAGGACGGGGAACCTGAGGGGGGTGCAAGGCCGGGAAGGGCGAAGTCAGTAGAGATGGACGGCCTGAGGGGCTTGGAAGGGGGGCCTTGAAGGAGGTGGAGCCTAGTTATAAGGAGGGCCTCAGGGAGATGGAGCCTGGCTGATGAGGAGGGCCTGCGGGGGATGGGGGTCTGCAAGGAAGATATGGGGAGGATGGAGACAAGTGTGGGACTGAAGGGGAAAGTGGGCTGGAAGGTGAACCGGAAAAAAAGGAGGGCCCGAAAGGGGGACATGAGAGTACTTGAGGGGCGTAGGGGGGGTGTGATGTGAATGATGGGGCCAGATTGAGGCCGACCCTGGAGTACTTAGGGCAGAGACCGGGAAATAGACGGTAAAGTTGGAGGGTTTGGAAGATGTATTTATTGGGGATCCGGTCTTGGAGGGGAGCCTGGCTATGATTGGAAGGCGCCAGGGGCAGGTACCTGTTGGGGAACTTGGGCCCAGGAGGAGGATCCATGGTTGGAAAGCCTGAGACCAGAGAGGGATGGAGAATCTGGAGGAAGGACTTGAGCAGTGCTGAAAGTTCAGAGTGGGGCTGACGACCTGGAAGAGGTCCTAGCAATGATGGAGGGAGGAATCTATAGGGAAATGGGAGCCTGGAGGGCGGTTCTATAAGGACCCTAGGCCTGGGGAGAGGGGAACGTGTGAAGACAGAAGGCCTGAAAGAGGGATTTGCAGGGGCTGGTGTTAAAGGGGGAGCTTGCGGGCAGGCTGATGAGGGGCCCTACGGGGGCAGAGTCGGAAGGAAAGTCCAGGGAAGTGTTGGGAGCCCGGGGGTGTGGGGAGTGTCTAGCAGGATGGGAGGGCCTGAAGCGGGGACCTGAGGAAGACAGGACAGTGGAATTGACAAGGAGGAAAGGAGGGGTCTACAAGGGTGAGTCGGGAGCCCTGGCAGATGGGCCTGCTGGAGATAGGGCTGGTGGGAGGATGTGCCAGGCTGGAGTGTCCGGAGACGGGAGACCCTGGCTCTTGGGGCCCAGGGTGGGTGGTGGTCCGGAGGCCGTCTCTCCGCCCGGCCGGCTAGCTTGGTTCCCTTGTACCCGCAGGTACGTGCGGCCACTTCATACGCTCCTGAGCGCGCTGGTAGTGGCGGTGGCCCTCGGCGTGCTGGTGTGGGCAGCTGAGACCCGCGCAGCTGTGCGCCGCTGCCGCCGCAGCCACCCTGCAGCCTGCCTGGCCGCAGTGCTTGCCGTCGGCCTCCTGGTGCTCTGGGTCGCGGGCGGCGCTTGCACCTTCCTGTTCAGCATCGCCGGGCCGGTGCTTCGTGAGTCTCCACTACCCCGAGATAGCCAGGAAAGCAGCCAGAGCATGCTTAAGGCACCAGGCCAGCCCTGCCGGTCCCCGGGTTGAGAGGGGGCTGGGAAACCCGAGGGCCTCGCCACGCCCCCGCTAAAAGCGCCTTCCCGGGCTTCGTTCCCCCTTCTGGGAACACCCCTTTTATTATCGCCTTTCCTATCTCACTCTTGGTGTTAAGTGCCTTCCACTGGCCACGTCCCCGTTACCGGGCGTCTTCCCTGGCCATGCCCACGTTGCCAAGCCAATTACTCGGCCACGCTTTCAGTATCTGAGGCGTCCTGGCTGCTCACCACTCCATTGGCCTGCCTGCGCGCCAATTCCCTTCGGTGGGCCCCGGTTGGCTGCAGGCTGAGGTCTATTCCACTGACCACCCCTCTCGGTGCCGCCCACAGTGATCCTGGTGCACGCCTCGTTGCGCCTGCGCAACCTTAAGAACAAGATTGAGAACAAGATCGAGAGCATTGGTCTCAAGCGGACGCCAATGGGCCTGCTACTAGAGGCACTGGGACAAGAGCAGGAGGCTGGATCCTAGGCCCCTGGGATCTGTACCCAGGACCTGGAGAATACCACCCCACCCCCAGCCCATAATTGGGACCCAGAGCCCTTTCCCAGCACTTAAAACAGGAGCCTAGAGCCCCCTGCCCAAACAAAACAGGACATCTGTGACCGCCCTACCCCCACGCCAGCCCCAAACTAAGATATCCCTCACACCCAGCCCCCATTACCTAGGGACAAGAGTCTTCCCCAGCCTTGAACCCAGGACCAAGAGCCACCTACATCCAGCCCCAAAACTGGCTTCAGGCCAGAGCATCCATGGCCAATTTCAAATTGTGAACCCAGAGACACTCCCATCCACCCTTCTCCATGCTCATCCCCAAACTGGGGCCTGGGGCAAGGCACTCTCAAATCTTGAACCCTGGACCAAAGCTTTTCCAGACCCCACCCTACCTTCCAACCCAGGTCAAGACATTGCCAAATCTTGAACTCAGAACCCAAGTGTTCCATGCCCCTGTGTGGATGGAGTCGGGTATCCTGACTGTTGGACCCCTGGTCCAGGTGATCCCGACCCTCACCAGTCCCATTTGCCTCCCTCCAGCTCTGCTTAGGCATTTTGCCCCTCACCCCAATGTTCCACACCATCGACAACCAAGGGGTGAGGTGGGGACAGGCCTCAGCAGGGAATGGGGCGTATATGTTAGTGTTGCTGCAACAATAAAGCCTGTTGCATCTCTCATGCCAATTTGAGCCTCCTGGGTAAAGTCCTTGTACATTTCAAAGGACAGAAGTGGCCTACTTTTCAATTCTGCTAGACTCTTCCTGAATATGTGGGCTGAAGAGGTGATCTCTGAGGCCCTTCCTTGAACTTATGACCTCTGGATCAGCATTAAAGCACAGGGAAGGACAGGTGCAGTGGCTCACGCCTGTAATTCCAACACTTTGGGAGGCTGAGACTAGAGGATCACTTGAGGCTAGGAGTTTGAGACCAACCTGGGCAATATAGCAAGACTCTTATTGCTACAAAAAAATTAAAATTTAGCTGGGCATGGTGGTGTGCTTCTGTAGTCCCAGCTACTTGGGAGGCTGTGGCAGGATGGCCAGAGCCTAAGAGGTAGAGGCTGCAGTGAGCTGTGATTGTGCCACTGCACTCCAACCTGGGCAACAGTGAGAACCTGTCTCAAAAAGCTGGGCATGGTAGCTCACGCCTGCAATCCCAGCACTTTGGGAGGCTGAGGCAGGAGGACTGCTCAAGCCTAGGAGTCCGAGACTAACCTGGGCAACATAATGAGACCCCCATCTCTACTTTTTTTTTTTTTTTTGAGACAGTCTTGCTCTGTCGCCCTGGCTGGAGTGCAGTGGCATGATCTCGGCTCACTGCAATCTCTGCCTCCCGGGTTCAAGCGATTCTCCTGCCTCAACCTCCCGAGTAGCTGGGATTACAGGCACGTGCCACTACGCCCGGCTAATTTTTTTTGTATTTTTAGTAGAGACGGGGCTTTACTGTTAGCCAGGATGGTCTTGATCTCCTGACCTCGTGAGCTGCCCACCTTGGCCTCCCAAAGTGCTAGGATTACAGGCGTGAGCCACTGCGTACCCGGCCTACAATTTTTTTTTCTTTTTTAATTAGCGGGTATGGTGGTGCACAACTGTAGTTTCAGCTATTCAGGCGGCTGAGGTGGGAAGATTGTGAGTCCAGGAGGTCAAGGCTGCAGTGAGCCGTTATCGCGCCACTACATTTCAGCCTGGGCAACAGAGTGAGACATTGTCTCAAAAAAATAAAAATTTTTAAAAAATGTATAGGGAGGTTAAGGACAGAGTCTTTGTTATCACCATTTATATTACCAAGAGTTATTGTTTGAGGTTGGCTAGAAATTTGAGTGCAGACAGGCAAAGAAGTTGCCCCACATCACAAAGCAAGTAAAGTCAAAACAGATGACACTATCACAGGCTATTCCCAAGGTATGTTTTTTCCTGCAAAAATATATTATCTGGTCTTGACTAGAGGTGTGGGTCCTCAAGGTGAGGCAGACAGAGCAGCAACACATGGGTTCAGTTTACACATTTATTATACAAATCCCCTTCCAGTGTGGGTAATGTCTTGGGTCCAGATCCACTGGTATAAAAAGAAAAGCTTAACGCCAGGAAAAGGGGGTAGGGGAACCCCCAGCTCCGAAAATCACAGACAGGTATCATAGAAAACACAACTTGTGTGGGTTTGCTTAAAAAGTGGTGGATTGGGGCTGGGTGCAGTGGCTCACGGCTGTAATCCCAGCACTTTGGGAGGCCAAGGCGGGCAGATCACGAGGTCAAGAGTTCAAGACCAGCCTGGCCAATATGGTGAAACCTTGTCTCTACTAAGAATACAAAAATTAGCCGGGCATGGTGGCGTGTGCCTGTAATCCCAGCTACTCGGGAGGGTGAGGCAGGAGAACCCAGGAGGCAGAGGTTGCAGTGAGCTGAGATTGCGCCGCTGCACTCCAGCCTGGTGACAGAGCAAGACTCCGTCTCGAGAAAAAAAAAAGGGTGGAAGGAAAGCCAAGGAAGGTGTGAGTGGTGAGTGGCCCGTGGCCCGTAGGCAGACCTCACCTGAGGATTTCACTGGCATCTACCGGGTGCCCCTCCTGTGGGGCCTCCTGACTGGGGGTGGTCAGGGCAGAGGCCATGGGCACAGAGGGGGTTGGGCTCTTTCAGGCATCCCACCCAGACTGCAGTCCTTCCAAGTGTGGGCAGAGAGCCCACTGCCCCAACTGCCCTGGCGATGCGTGGCAGGGATTTCTGTTCACACCGGAGTCTCCTGGCTGCCCTAAATGGCCCTGAGACCCGATATGGTCCATTTTATGGAGGGGGTTCCTGAATGGAACCTGGTTGGGCATGGGAACAGGAATGAACCCAACCAGATGAGATCACAGTTTCCCTTTTGTAAAACGCCTAGTGTTGGAGGAAGACAGTGAATACCTAAGTCACAACTGTAAACATAAATGGAGGAAGGGGCTTGGGGTCCCCATGACATCATCCCCCCTCTTTTAAGCTAGCTGAGGGCCCCCAGTCCCCAGCACAGTGTGAGAGAAGAAGCAGGGTGTCAGACACCTTCCTGGGCCTACGGGGAGCCAGGGGCCTTGGAAGATTAGGTTGGCGCACTCTGCTCAGGACTGAGAGCAACCACACCCCAGGGCCCAGCGAGGTCAGCTGTGTGCTCCCCAGATTGGAATCGTGCCCAGGCCAACAAGGGACATATCAGAAGGGGTCAGACCAGTGTCCCCGGGGTCTGGGTGTCAGAACTGGAGGACTGCTCCCCCTCTAGCGTCAGGTCACTTAAACGAGCGCTCAGCTCCGGGGGATACAGGAAGTCCGCGTAGTATCTTTAGAAGGGGTAGCAGGAATCCGGAGGACAGGGCGGGGAAGACAAGAAGAAGAAAAGACAGACAAGACACAGAAAAAGAAAGGAAAAGAGGCTCGTTAAAGAGGTGGAGGCAGGCACAGGACAGCACTTTCAGGCTCTGGGGCATGGAGAAAAAAGGAAGAAAACAGCAAGGGGCATGAGATGTCCCTTCCTCCCGGCACCCTGGCTTCAAGGCTCATCTTCAGCCTATAACTTGATAAAGAATTGCTGCTACCAGTGCCCAAGATCCCCTCCACCAGGACCCCATGGACTAATGCAGGTCATGTGCAGTAGAGTGACCCTGTGCCATCACAGCAGCTAGTTTCCTCATGGTCCAATTCATTAGCTATCATGACTAGCCACTCCCTGGCCTGGATATCTTCGCCATCTGCCTTACGAGACCCCTACCCATCAGTAAAAGCACCCCCCATACCTGCCAGAGACAGGGGGCGCCGTGAAACTCCTCGAGTGTGGGAGTGGCGCCTGGCTGGGGGCCCCGTACAGCGCCTGGCCCACCTCATAGCAGCGGGCATGGAGGAAGGGTGGGTGTGGCGGGCCCACGGAAGGGAGCACAGGCCGGCGCTGGGGCCCCGCAGCCAGTCCCGAGTTCCGGATGTACCAGTCCCGCAGCCCCTCCAGAGCCAGGTTCTTGTGGCCACTGCGTTCACCAGCCGAGGGGATACGGGTGGGTGGGGGCATCCACAGCAGAGGGTTTGGATGCACCTCAGGGCCTTCGGCAGCCTCTGGGGGCAGGCCACAGGGCTTAGTGCGGGTGGCACGGGTGTGGGGGTCCTTGGTGCGGAGGAGGGGGCTGTTGCTGTCAGCTGCATACACAGGTGGTGGGCCGGGGAGCATGGTGAGGAGCCCATCCCGGCGGGAGAGGGGTCCTGGGACCTCAGCTGCAGGCGGCAGCTCCCCCCAGCCTGTTCCACCGCCACTGCGGGGCAGGCCCCGGTCCAAGGAATAGTCCAAGAGGAAGTCTCCACACACAGGTGGGAGCCGGGGGGCACCTCGGGAGGCAGGGGCAGCTGAGCTAGGCCGGGCGGCCCGGGGAGGGTCTGGGGGGCCTGCTGTGCGGGAGGAGAAGGCAGGGGTTGGTTGGGGGCGCTCATACAGCACCTCACTGCTCTTGCAGACTGGGGGGCCAGAGGCAGAGGGAGCCAGAGGGGCAGGCGGGGAGCCAGCTCCCCCACCAGCGGCCCGGTCCACCAGCAGGGCCTCAGAACTGTTGCTGCGGCGGGTGCGAGCTACGAAGAGGGAGGCGCGATCGGAGGCAGGGTCCGCCCGGGGGAAGCCCATCTGGGAGTCCTGGCTGCCGGACCACTGACGAGAATGAAGGCCTTCAGGTCTGGGGTGAGAGGCGAGGGTCATGGGAATAGGGTCAGAAAAATCAGGCAGAAGGCGTGCAGTGCCCTCCCTACCCCAGCCCTTTCTAAGCCTTCACTTTCACATCTCCAAATGGGCCCAAGGTTGGAAGCTGTGTGTATAAAGGTGGCAGGTAGTGACATGTAAAGGGCAGCTGAGGTTCTATCCTAGGCTAGGCGGTCAGGGGTAGAAATGCGTGGGGGAGGCCTGGCACTGTTAGCTCCAAGGGAGGTGTAAATCTGTGTAGGGACTCAGAGGAAAGGCTAGCAGAGTAGATGCCGGGCAGGGGGCTGTTCCTAATCCAGCTGACCCCTCCCCCTGCTAAGGCCGTTCTCATGGCTCGCACGGCCTCCAGGATTAAGTCCTAGGCCTTAGGGCTCACATGTAAAACCCTGCCTGAATTCTCTATCCGACCATACGTATGAACCACCCAAAGCTACCATCCCAACAGCCACCGTTCACAGAATGCAAGCCCCACAAGGAAGGGGACTTGGTTTTGTTCAGAGCCTGGGGAAAGTAGGCACTCTGTTTAAGAAGCAGAAGAGGACAGTGGTTAAAAGCATGGACTCTAGAGTAAAACTTGCCTGGGCTCAAACTCCAGGACTTCAGTTTACTAACAAGTTACTTAACCTTTCTGTGCCTCACTTGCCTCATCTATAAAATGGGAATAACAATAGCACCCACCTCACAGGGATCTGATTATGATTAAATGAGTTGATGCCACGTAAAACACTAATTCCTAGCAGATGGCAGGCACTCAGTATATGTTAACCAGAACTTATTATGTCCATGTCTTTCAAAGGCAGATATTATTATTTCCATTTCACAAATGAGGAGACTGACTCCTACCCCATTATCCACCGAGATGCCTGCTCACCTTTAATGCCCAGCCTCCCATGTCCCACACCTTTTGTTTTTTTGTTTGTTTTGAGACGGAGTTTCGCTCTTGTCGCCCAGGCTGGAGTGCAATGGCACGATGTTGATCTCAGCTCACTGCAACCTCCGCCTCCCGGGTTCAAGCGATTCTCCTGCCTCAGCCTCCGAAGTAGCTGGGATTACAGGCATGCCCCACCATGCCCAGCTAATTTTTGTATTTTTAGTAGAGACAGGGTTTCACCATGTTGGTCAGGCTGGTCTTGAACCCCTGACCTCAAGTAACCCGCCCGCCTCGGCCTCCGAAAGTGCTGGGATTACAAGCGTGAGCCACCGCGCCCAGCCATCCCACCTTTTGATAATGTTGTCCTCAAGCTTCCAGTGAGAACTAATGGTTCCCTCCCCTCTGATCCTCCAGCCCACCCTCAGATTCCCCTTACTTGCAGAGCTGGGGGCCAGCGCCCCGGGTGAGGACAGGGGTGGCAGGCACACTTCGCCCCTCAAAACTGGAGGCACTCCTGGGCAGCGAGCGTGTGGGGCTAGACAGAGACAGGCAGGCCTAGGTTAGAGACTGTACCCACCAGCAGACCCTCTGCCAGCCCAGGCTTGCTATCCCATTCCCAGCTCCTGCGGAGGGGAGGAGGGGCTCATTCTCACCTGGTGGGGCTGGCCACAGAGTTCCGCCGGCTCTTCAGATCCCCATAAAGATCTGATGGAGGTGGTTTCCATGGGGTTCGCCGCTCAGGGCTCCCCCCAGATACTGCCCGCAGCTGGTCCCAAGCCTTGGGTGGTGAGGGGCGCTCGGCCAGAGAGAAGCAGCCATGGGGCTCCTCTGAGTGGAAGAGAGCAAGTGGGATAGAATTCAATGAGGGGGGCCCAGAGGGGGCAGGACAGGCTGGGGGGCAAGGCCATGGGGAGGGGCAAAGTGCTGGGACAGGTTAAGCAGGCTGAGGAGGAACTAAGGCTGACAAGTAGGTTCTGGGGCTGTGGGGCTGGGGTGGGGTGAGGCTAAGAAGATGGGGGACCCATAGGAAGATGGAGCATGGCTAAGGAGAAGCTGAAGCAGCACAGGAGGGGCTGGGCATCAAAGGATGGGCTGATCATGCAGGATGTGGTCGGATGAATAAAGGGGATGGGCTAAAGGGACGTAGGAGTCGGGGGCAGGTTTGGGGGATAGGAGTCCTCACCGTTGTCATGGCTGGCCCCAGACTCTGAGAGGGAGCTGCTCTCTGAGTGCAGAACTACGTCCTCTACAGGTGAGAGGGGGAGAAGTGGGCCTCTCACTCCCAGGCCTGGGTGCTGCCCCCTTACACCACTGGGTGGGCACCTCTACTTGGGCCACCTTCTGGCCAGTTTCCGCCTCATCCTGTTCCTGTCCCAAGAATCTGCTTTTACCAGAGCCCAAGACCACCCCAGTTTGGTTCCTGACTGTCCTGGCAGATATTCATCAGTCCCCCACAGTTTGTCCTTTCCGGTAAGCCAGTTTGTCACAACTCTTCTCACGGGTTGGGCCACTTGAGTTGTGCCTACCTCCCGGTTTTCACCGGCCAGTCACCCATCCCAGCCCTACCACGTCCATTTGCCAGTGTCCACTCTCCCACCCTCACCAGGGGATGCTCACCTTGGCTGAGCTGAGCAAGACGCATGCCCAGGCAGACTCCCTGGGTGGTGATCACTGACCCCGTGGACAGTGGCAGTGGCTGGGGCAGCGGGAGCACTGGGAGGCCAAGGCGGGCCCGGACATCCCTGAGCTGCTCCTCTAGCTCATGCAGCCTCCTCAGTGCATCTGCCTGGACCTGGCGCCGGCGCCGGCGCTGCTCGGTGCTCAGATCAGGGGCCAAGGCCAGGCGGCGGGCGGCCGCCGCGATCTGCTGTTGCACTGACACCTCGCGTTCCAGGGCCTCAAGAGCCAGCTCCTGTTGGGCCCACCCAAATGTTGGAAATGGCCAGGAACAGGGACCTGGCGGGGCCAAACCCAGTAGAGGCTGGCCTGCACTTCCTGCAGCCTATTCAGACCTATTCACCCCGGGGAGGGGGCGTGTCAGGGCCTCTCTTGGTGAAGGGCTGGGTCTGTTCATCTTCCTTAGGGTTGGAGGCCTGTCCTGACAGTTAGGGACCAGCATCCTCCCTCATCACAGGAAACTAACTCCAGAAGCCCTTTTCCTTCTCATCTTAGCCTCTCCCTCACCTGGCCACAAGCCCCCTCCCCACACCTTCCTCCTGGCTACTCCTCTGTACCTGTCCCCTCTTCCCACCCTCTTGCTCTCCACACCCATCTGCTCACCTCAGCAGGGCACAAGGAGTGGTGTGCTTGGTTGGGGTGCGGTGGAGGGTAGGCGCGGGCTGTGGGGGGCCGCCGGCGGACCAACTGGGGCCGTTCACCAGGCTCTAGTGGGCACTCAGGGGGCAGCTGGCCAGTCAGCTCCTGGTGGGAGGCAGGGGTCAGAGACTACCAAGGGTTAGTTGGAAGGATGGGGTGAAGCATTAATGATCCCAGAAGCTACAGAAGTCCTACCAGGAGCCTGGCCCTGCTCAGCAACCACGCACGATACTCCCCTCCCTCCTACCAGTATCTCCACTAGGCAGGTGTGCCCAAACCTCAGTGGCCCAAACCCCTGGGGTGGTGGGCATGGGAGGCAGGGAGACCTGCTTTGGAATCCAGAATTGTTTTGTTTTTATAAAGGTGATACCATCGAGATCCTAAGTATTATATAACTCACTTCAGGGGCTGTGGCTGCGTGGTCTGAGCTGTAGTATTATTTCCGGCACACTGTGGGCATTCACAGTAAGAGGGGTAAACTGAAACTACAGATCAGCCTGTGCCAGTTCAGGTCAGACTGTGCTGCCAAATTTTGGACAGAACCTGTTTTCTGAGGTTTGTTGGATTTGAAATTGTCAACAGTGGGCCTGTATTACCATATTTTTTTTTTTTGAGGTGGAGTTTTGCTCTTGTTGCCCAGGCTGGAGTGCAATGGCGCAATCTCAGCTCACCGCAACCTCCACCTCCAGGGTTTAAGCGATTCTCCTGCCTCAGCCTCCCAAGTTGCTAGGATCACCACACCCAGCTAATTTTGCTTTTTTTTTTTTTTTTTGAGACAGAGTCTTGCTCTGTCGCCCAGGCTGGAGTGCAGTGGCGCAATCTGGGCTCACTGCAAGCTCCGCCTCCCGGGTTCATGCCATTCTCCTGCCTCAGCCTCCCGAGTAGCTGGAACTATAGGTGCCCGCCACCACGCCTGACTAATTTTTTGTATTTTTAGTAGAGACGGGGTTACACCGTGTTAGCCAGGATGGTCTCGATCTCCTGACATCGTGTTCCGCCCACCTCGGCCTCCCAAAGTGCTGGGATTACAGGCGTGAGCCACCGCGCCCAGCCTAATTTTGCATTTTTAGTAGAGACGGGATTTCTCCATGTTGGTCAGGCTGGTCTGGAACTCCCGACCTCAGGTGATCCACCTGCCTCGGCCTCCCAAAGTGCTGGGATTACAGGCGTGAGCCACAGCGCCCAGCCTATTTCATTCATTCTAACACATCTAAGCTGAGCTTTGAGGAGAAAGTAGGTGACAGGGAATCTACAGCCAAGACAAGTGGTTGAGGAATTGCCACCCAAGTCTGTCTACCTAGGGGCCCCAGCTCCTCACCTCCTCCCAACCTCCCCGCCTGATACCCCTAGGGCCAGGCCCTCACCGCCTCCTGGAGACACACTTTGCGGAGCTCCTGAAGTTTCAGGCTCAGGGCCTCCTGCAGGGTCCGCTGCCGGTCAAGCAGCCCCCGCAGACGCTCTGACTTCACCTGGGGGGCAGCCTCTCCGAACAGGGCAGCTGGACACAGAGGGAGCAAAGATCAGTGGGACAGCCAGGGCATTCTGGAGCAGCTGTGGGGCAAGGGACCAACTCTTCCCGAGCAAGCAGGTGGTGATTCAGAGCAGGGGAGGAGGCAGCAGGAGGGGAAGCAGCCACCGACCTGGGGCATTGAAGGTAGGAGAGCTGATCAGCTGACCTTTGACTTCCATCTTGGTGCTGTCGAGAGGCCGTGGCTGATGGCTGGACAAAGTCTGGCAGTGACACAAAGGAGCCGTTAAGGAAGCACATCCCATGATACCCCAACCCCCAGCCCTTCCCAGCTTCCCATGCCACAGCGGGGAATAAGGGGTAACCTGGGCCCCACGTGCCTGCTTGACCTGCCCTTTCAGAATCCGTGTGGATGTCTGGACCCACTTGGCCCTGGTACCTTGGTTCCCTTCGCATTGAGTGAGAGCACAGCAAGTGGGGAGCTGGGCGGACTTACAACGCCTCCTCAGAGGCCCATGGGTCACAGCCACGAGTCTTGCCTGGGGAAGGAGAATTAATGGGACAGATTCAACCAACTATAACAACAATGGACACGCAGTCAACACCTGGGTGCCTGCAACAGTTACCTATGATGCCACACTCAATCTTCAGAGCCACCCGGAAAGATTCGTATCCCCATTTTAGAGATGAGGAAAGGAAGGCACAGAGGTGAAATAACTGGCCCATAGCCACAGACATAAACCAGGCCCACCCCTCTGGTCCTACACTCTCGCTCATGAGAACCGCTCTAACTCCACCAACTTCCTCATAAGCTCCCTGGTCCCTCAGGCCTCAGGGCCTTTGCCCAGGCTGTGGATGCTGCCTGAAGTGCTTTCTTCAACCTCTCACCACCCCAGCCCCTGCATCACACTTATCATTCTAGAACTTAATTATCACTTCCACAGTTATATCCTCTCACAAACGGTTGTCCAACAAGAGATTGTGCCTCCTGGAACATCGACGAGGACAGGAAACATTATCTGTCCCATTTTCAGCAGCATCACCAGCACCCTGAACATGGCTGTACACACAAGTGCTCAATGAATGGGTGCCAGCTGAATGAATAAAAGATAGAGTAAGTAAATGAGGAGGCGGTGGAGCCAGGGTTCAAGCTCAGATCTGTGGGTCTGTGCTTGTCCCAACTCCATTCTGTAGCTCTAGTGTAGCAAGGAGAATGTTCACTTGACCCAGGGTCCCTCCAGCCCCTCTTGCCATGACAGCCTGTCCTGAGCCTAGTGTAGGGAAGTCCTCCTGCTGGGATTTGTGAGAAGCAAAGTCCACAGCTGCAAATAACGAACCACCTGCCTCCTGCCTCCTTCTCTGCCCCCGATGGCTCAGCTGACCATGGAACCTGCCTTGGCTGGCCACCCCTCCTCTGGAGTTTGCTCCCTTCCTTCCACATCATGCTCAGTCCCCAGCTGGGCAGCTGAGTGACATCACCTCCCACCACCTGGCCTAACCTAGGTGGCAGGTGACTGGGAGGGCTTTATGGGGCCACAGAGCTCCATTATCACCTACCTTGAAGTCGGCAGCTTGTCATGACATGTTAGCCTGGTGTGAGGAAGACCCAGCCAACCAAGGAGGCATGGGTTCAAGCCCCTTCCCCATCTGTGTATTGTGGGGTGAGGCCAAGCTGCTTGTAAGGTGTCATGTTTCTCTGCAGTCCTCCTGCCTGCCCCATAGGGCCTGTACCCCTCTCTTGAAGCAGTGGTGCCCTGCCTTCAACAGCAGGGGTGGGGATCAGTCCCTAAAGCCTTTTGACAAACCCAGGCCCCACATCCCCACTCATCTAAGGTCTGACACTTCCCAGCATGGCAGGGGTTCCTCCACATCCCAGATCACTGGGGCTCCAACTTTCCCAGCCCCCATTTAGGCCCAAGGAACTCTCACAGGGTTCCCTGGAACCTTCCTTTACCCCCACAGGAACCCAACTCCATCCACGGTCCCCCTTGCCAGCATTGGTCCCAATCCAATCCCAATTCCATGCTGGGCTGCTTCGATTCTTTTTTTTTTTTTTTTTTTTTTTTTTTTGGAGATAGGGCCTGGCTCTGTCACTTAGGCTGGAATGCAGTGGTGGCACGATCTTGGCTCACTGCAGCCTCCACTTCCCAGGTTCAAGCAATTCTCCCACTTCAGCCTCCAAAGTAGCTGGGATTACAGGTGCACGCCACCATGCCTGGCTACTTTTGTATTTTTAGTAGAAATTGGGTTTCACCATGTTGGCCAGGCTGGTCTCGAACTCCTGACCTCAGGTGATCCACCCGCCTCGGCCTCCCAAAGTGCTGGGATTACATGCGTGAGGCACTGCACCCAGCCAATCCTTTCTTCTCTAATTTCTCAGAGCGTCCTGGAAGTCCAGACAGGGTCCACACAGGAACCCCAACTCCTCCCTATCAGCCCGACCTCGGGGGGACATAGTTAGAGTATGAGTCATGGGGTCACTGGGCAGGCTAGACACAGTCAACGCCCCACACCCCCACACCCAGTTCCTAAGCTTCTGCCTCCGCTCACCTGCCCTCTGCATACTTGCCTTGGGGCCTGGAGCTGCCTCATCCCCGCCCAGATGGCGAGAAAGGGATCCCAGCAAACCCCTCCCCAGCACACCCCCACACCAACCCCAGGTCTCCCCCTACCAGTGACCCCATGGCCCCCATCCTGTCCCAGGGACCAGCTGCAGCGGGAGAGCAGTAGAGGGCACCCCCCACACCCAGAGGCGGGCCCGGCAGGTTTTTCAGGTCTGCCATTCTGACACCACAGCCGAGAAAGAAATTCCTGGCTGTAATAACTGTTTACAACCAAGATACCTCACCTGGGTGGCACCCCAACAGTTGGGGGGTCATTTCCACATCCTGCCACTATTAGAGCAAATACAAAATCTCAATGTCTGGGCCATTACCCTCCCCAGAGCCCCTGCTTCCTCCACTGCAGTGAACAAATCAGGCATAGGCAGGCAGGTGCCTGAGTAATGGTTTCTTAGTAGCCCAGTCTGGTCTTTCTTGGAGAGCTGGGCCCTGGGTTGGGGGAGGACAGAGGCTACTCCTGGCGGGGAGGAAAGGAAGCAGGGATAGGGTGGAGAAGGGGGGACTCATACTTCTCTTTTCCCCGATCCCTCCTCGTCCATTTCCGGCCGGGAATCGGCTTGGTGCCAGGAAAGGAAATTGGTGTTTTGGGCTTTGCCCCTGTCCTCAGGCCCTCCATTCTCACTGCCCCCCTACCCCCCCACCACCACCCTGCCCTGCATTGTTGGTGTGCCTCTCCCACAGACCTAGCTCTCTACCGAAGGGAACTTCAGTACACCCTGCCCCAGCTCCCCAATGCCCTTATCCCCCTCGCACCCTGGGCCCACTGCTCCCAGGTGCTCACCAATGCCAGAGAGTGCTGTGGGGTAGCCTCAGATACCTCAAAAATAGTTGTCTCGACCAGGCCCTGGCTCCGGCTGGTAGTGGCAGTCAGCAGCAGTGGCAGATGCCTTGGCCACCTCCCACTAGGTAATGGCCCAGCCTACCTGGCCAGGAACTGGGCCGGCCCACACCTTTTAACCCTTGCCTGTCTGCCACCAGGACTAGGGTCACCCCTGGGGGCAGTTTCAGGGCCAGGTCCACTCAGGGTGCTCAGCATGTCTAAGAAGACAGCCTGGGCCAGGCAGGGTAGCTGGTGCCTGTAATCTCAGCACTTTGGGAGGCTGAGGTGGGAGGATTGCTTGAAGCCAAGAGTTCAAGGCCAGACTGTGCAACATAATGAGACCCCCATCTCTACAAAAATTTTTTTTAAAACTGGCCAGGCATGGAGGCCTGTGCCTCCTCACCCCGTACACTTAGCAGAAAACTGGGAAGAAGGGCTGAGAGTGGTGGGAGTAGCAGCTGCCTCTCCTACTGCCCAAATTCCCAGAGGATTAGACGCTGCCCACCCAAGGGGCAACTTGGATCTGGGCCATAGAGGTGTGGGGAGCTGTAAAGTACATGGGAGGCTTCGGGTGTAAACTGAGTTTTTGTGTCTTGGCACTAAGCATCACATTCTGAGGCCCCTACCCTTTCCTCCCAGGGCAAGGCAGTGGTAGAAGGCCTTGGGGCAATTCCCACCCTCACTGGGGAATAATAGTTTCCCAAGTTGGGGACAGAGGAAGTCAACCTTTCTAAGGAGAGGTCAGGTCTCAAGATCCTTCTGTGGCTCCAGAAGAAATAATCTCAATAAATCAAGCACAACTTACACCCTACAAAACACTTATGGGTTTTGATCCCTCTTGGTTCCTACAAATGTAGCAGGATGGCACAGACCCAGCCTCCTCACAGCCATTTTATAGATGCAGAAGCTGAGGCCTGGAAAGGTGAAGAGGCCTGATTCAGATCACAGTGGCAGAAGAGCAGGTGAAATCAGAATTTCCGGGGGCTGGGTCCTGGCTGGGAGGCAGACAGAGGCTACTCCTGCAAGTGGGAAGGAGAAGTAGGGAAGGGGGCTCATGCTTCTTCACATCCATGCTGGGTCTCTCTTCTTCAGAGAGTCAGGCTTCATGCCAGAGAAGGAAATGAGAGCTTTGAGTCCTTACGACGTACTGTCCCTGCCTCCCCTCACCCCGCCCACCACCACCACCATCACCACCACCACCATCACCACTACCACCTGAGCTCTGGGCCAGTCCCGGCACACAGCACACATCCTGTGCTCCATTCAGGACCATCTGCTCTGTGACCCAGGGCCCAAGCCCTACCCAGACCCCTGCAGCAGCCCACACCATGACCTGAAGTGAGAAAAGCTGCAGATGGGCTGAGCCTAGAGAGGAGCTCACTCTGAATCAGCAATGCCCCAGACTCATACTATTAAGGCCTCCCGCCATCCCTGCCCACCTTTCTTCCTGGGTGTGAGATTTCCAGCATGGAACACAAAGGCCCCTTTCATCGCCCTCCCCACTTCACTGCCTGGGGCGGGCAGTGGTAAGGTGGGCATTGGGGAGTGTCCTCTCGGCCACAGCCTCTCCCACCTCTTATGGGCCACCAAAGATGTTGGGAAGTGAGACAGTAATAAAATCAGAGCCAAGAGGGATGAGAATCTGGCTGGCAATGTAGATTGAGTCTCAAAGCTTAGGTCTCCTCATCTGTAAAATGGGTAAAAGGTGGTTACAGAGACAATGGAGGCCCCAAATAACTTTGAAAGGCATTTCAAAGTGCAAGGAAACACACCATGTCATTAATGACTCTTACTAACAACAATTAATACACTCACACAGAGGTGGGCTGTTGTGGGGGTAACTGGGGGAGAGCAGGTAACTGGACCTCCTGGGCCAGGCAGACAAATGGGGCAGTCACTAACACACATCATTGCCCTGGTCCATGACTTTTAATAGCCTCGAAGAGGACCCAACCTCTAAGCCCTACCCCAGCTGGGCCCTGGGCCTCACGTGACCCTGCTGTCACTAGTAAATGGTGAGTCTGGGATTCAACCCAGCTCTGCCACTTACTAGCTGTGTGACTGCTTGAACAAGTCACTTAACCTCTCTGTGCCTCTCTGTCAATTGGGGACGATGATAACAGTATGTACCTCACGGGGCTATTGTGAGCATTAAATCAGTTAATACATTTAAAGCTTGTGCAGAACAGTGCCTGGTAAGAGCTCAGTGTATGTTGGCTGTCACAGTTACAAGTATTCTTCCCCACAGGAAGTCAGGAATCAAGTAGATACATTCAGACACATTTTTTCCAGACAGAGCTGGTGTCCTTCAGTCTCACTTGATACATTTGAAACAGTTGTTTTTCCTCAGATAACTTGTCTGAACTCTTGCTATCCAAAATCAGAGACTAAATGTATTCAGACGCAATTTTTTTTTTTTTTTTTTTTTTTTGAGACGGAGTCTCACCCTGTCACCCAGGCTGGAGTGCAGTGGCATGATCTCGGCTCACTGCAACCTCCACCACCCGGGTTCAAGCAGTTCCCTGCTTCAGCCTCCCGAGTAGCTGGGATTACAGGTGCGTGCCACCACACCCAGCTAATTTTTGTATTTTTAGTAGAGACGGGGTTTCACCATCTTGGCCAGGGTGGGCTCGAACTCCTGACCTCGTGATCCACCCGCCTCAGCCTCCCAAAGTGCTGGGATTACAGGCGTGAGCCACCGCGCCCGGCCTCAGATGCATTTTTGAGACAGAACTGGTATCCCTCAGCTTCCAAATCCCACTTGCTATCTAGACACGGTACCCTCCCTGCTCACCAAATGAGACATATTTGAAACAGAGCTGTTTCCCTCATGATCCAACCTCTCCTTTCTCAACATCAAAAATGCAGGAACCAAATACATTCAGAGAAATTGTCTGAACTCTCACCATCCAAATGCAAGAACTGAATGGATTCAGAAACATTTTTGAGATACGACTGGTATCCCTCATTCTTGAACTTTCCTTACCCTCCAAACAAAATGCAGGAACCATTTACATAACAGGGTACCCTCACTATCCCAACTCTTGTCCCTGGAGCTCAGGAAAGTTCATAGATTTGGATACATTTTTTAGTTAGTCATTATTCTTCATTATCTCAATTTTCCCTACTCACTATGTAAGATGTGAAAACAAAATACCTTCAAATAACTTGGTAGGTTTCACTGTCTGAACTTCGGGCACTCTCCCTCTCAGAATTCAGGTACCAAATAGATTGGGAAAGTGAGGAATGCTTGTTTTGTTATCAATAGGTTTGGATAGATTTTCAGGATAAGATAGGTCTGGCATCTTGTTATTCAAACTCACTAGTCTCTATGAGAAATGCAGGAACAAAACCCAATTGAGTAACACATTACCCTCTAGCTATCCAAGTTCTCCCCATCATCCTCAGAATCAAGGAGATTCGGACAATGAGGGGAACACTGCATTATTGTTGTTACTGTTACCACTGGATAGGCCTGATTCTTAAATCCAGTGACTGCCTGGCCTTCTCCCCCAAGACAAGCCCCACAGAGGTGGAGTGGACTTAGCACCAAGATTTTTATTGCTTACTGCTGAGAGAAGGAGGATGAATCCTTGACCCCATCCCTCCTCTATACCAAGTCCCGAAGCCTTGGCCTAGAATAGACTTCTTCTTTTTCAGTCCAGGAAAGCAGGGATCATGCACCCAGAATCAAACATGGCCTAGAAGATTCATACATACCCCTGGGTCCCCCATCTCTTCATATTTTCTTAACTCTTCCCCCCAACATGAGGCAGTCCCCAACACAGCAAGACTGGAAACATGACCCAGACCTCTCAGACTCCCAGAGAGTCACTGAATAATTTAGGGTATTCTTTCACACTTGCAGAGGGCAGGGGCGTAGGAACAGTTGCATGCCCTCCTGGGGCAGGAAGAGAAATGTAAGCTCTATGTAAGATCACTAGGGTGGGGATAGGGGAGATCACACACAAAAACCCCCATCAGCCACGCAGGGCACATAGGGCTGCTTGCTCTTGCTAAGAGAAGCATTTGGGATGTACTTCGGAGGTCCTGGGAACAGCAGAATCTTCAAGTTCCGGGCACAGTATAATGGGACCCCTGTCCTCGGCTCAGAAGGGATGGCAAGTGGATATTAGGAAGGAAGAAGATCTGAACAGGGTGGAGGGGCATGGTAAGGGGAAGAACACCCTGGGGCTGGGATGGGAAGGGACAGAACAGGAAGGAGTGTAGGGGACAAGATAGAGCCAGAGTTATCACAGGATGGAGGTCAAGAGGCAGGATGGGGAATGAGCCAGAACACTGGCCAGGGGATGGGATAAGGTGGGGTTCAGGACAAGGGTCAGAGAAAAAGTACAAGAAAGAGACAAAACAGCAGGGCAGGGGTCAGGATTAACATAGAACAGCAGTCAGAAGACATGACTAGGAAAGGCTAAGCCAGTGGTCAAAGGAGGGGACAGGGAAAAGGGCAGGTTCAGGATGGAGGTCAGGAACAGGAAAAGACCAGGACACAATGAGGATAGGAATGAGTATGGTGATGGGACAAGAAAAGAGGGAAAAACGGGGCAGAGTCAGGGGCAGGGACAAGGCAGGAGACGAAGGTGGTGAGCCAGGATGCAGATCACGAGTATATAGGAGAGGATATCACATAGGGTGCAGAGAAAGGACAGAAGTTAGAGGGCAGGAATCAGGACAGAACTACACCAGATTGTGGTTAGGGGGACAGGACATGACTGGAAGAGGTTTGGAGACTGGATAAGAGTTTAGGGAACAGACAGGTCAAGCGTCAGGACAGAAACTGGGGTCAGTGTTGGGCATTAGGATAGGGCAAGATGTTTCAGAGATGAGACGGGGTCAGGCAAGGATCAGGGTCAGGTCAAAGATCCCCAGGACATAACTGGATGGGGTTTGGGGTCAGGACTGGATTTAGGGGGACAAAACAGGGGTTGAGGACCATACCAGGCCAGAATATGGTTAGGTCAGGGCTCGGATGGAAGGTCCTGAGGCCAAGGCCAGCAGGGGTTGAGGTTTAAAAAAGATGTAGTCAGGTCGTAAGGGGTCAGGGCTGAGGCCACGGGGTCAGAGGTCGCGGGTGCGCGCGCAGGTACGCCCCGTCGGCGTTTCCGGGCCTTCACCCCACCCTGTCCCCTCCCTTCCTCCGCAGGCGGGGCTGGTTACTCACCAAGGGTCCCCGCGCCGCAGTAGGCGGGGTCGGTGTCGGTCGGCCGGCCGGGGCAGTGGACGCGCCCCTCCCTCACTGCGCCCTGCTCGTCCCCGGGCGCGCGCCTGCTCCTCTTCGGCGCCCTGCCCGTGGGCCGTGTTCGGCTGCGCTACCGTTAGCCGTGGGGGCCAGACGGGGGTCGCGGGGAGGGTAGGAGGGGAGCGCCGGCCCGGCCGCGGGCGATGGACCCCCGCCCCCACCTCTAACTCGGGTCTGTCCGCTTCCAGCGGCACGGCCACCTCCGCCGCTCAGCCTAGCCTAGAGGGTGGGGGGACCGGGGGGCGGGGCACGAGACCACAGCAGTGGCGGAGACTAAGTGCGCAAGCGCCGGCTCGGGTCTTCGATTTTTCTTGCCCTGGGAGCGCCAGGAGCGAACAAGCTGGGAGCGCGTGCGCACACGCTTTCTCGAGGGCGGCGGAGCCCTCCCTCGCCGAAGCCACGCCCCTCAGGGAGCCTACTGGCGCCCCTCACCCCAAGTCGTCCCCCAGGGACCCTCAAGCAGTACCCCAAGCTGCTCTCTGTAAGCTCTCCCCACACCTGTAAACCCCAGCTACCCTCCCTGTTGTTCCTCAAATGCACTCCAAACCAACCTCCATTATCCTCCAAATTATATCCCCAAACTACTGTCTGTTGATTCCAAGCGGTACCTCCAGTCCACCCTCTATGGACACCCAAGCTGTGGCAGTAAACTACCTTACACTACCCCCAGTTTGCTCCATCAAACCATCTGCAATCAGCCCTGAAACCATTACCCTCCAAACAGCATGTCCAAATCACCTGCTATCTACTTCCAATGTGCACCCGTAACACCCTCCATTGACCCCAAACTCCTCTCCATGTACCCTCCAAACCATACTCCATTGACCCAAAATGGCTCTCCAGGAGCCCCCAACACCAGCCCAAACATTCCTAATTACCCTCAACGTGGGCCTCACCTGCACCACAAAATAATTCCAACAGTCACCCACACTACCTCCAAACCATGTTCCATGGACCCCTCTTACCCAGCCACCTTTCATTGACCTCCCCTCGTATCCCCACAAAATTACCTTCCAACAGCCCCTATCACTGTGCCATATAACCCAACTATACTTTCTGTGGTCTTTCAACTGCATTTCAAGCCACCCTCCAGCACCATCTACACCTCTAACCCACACTCCACTGACCCAAACTGCACCTCAAACACTCTCCAACAGTCCTCAACTGTACCTCCGAATAGCCACCAACCATCCTGCTGTAGTTACCCAATTGGGCTCCCAAATCATACTCCAGTGGCCCCAAATGTGTCCCCTAAGCCCTCCAAAGACTTACTTGCACCCTGGATCATACTTAAGTGACCTAAATTACAAAGCACTCTCAGTGATTTTTTTCTTAAAACAACTTAACCGGGATATAATTTACGTACCAGGCCGGGAACAGTGGCTCACACTTGTAATCCCGGCACTTTGGGAGGCCAAGGCGAGTGGATCACTTGAGGCCAAGAGTTCAAGACCAGCCTGGCCAACATGGTGAAACCCCGTCTCTACTAAAAATACAAAAAAGTAGCTGGGCATGATGGCTCACACCTGTAATCCCAGCTACTCAGGAGGCTGAGGCAGGAGAATCGCTTAAACCCAGGAGGTGGAGGTTGCAGTGAGCCAAGATAGTGCCACTGCACTCTAACCTGGGCAACAGAGTGAGACTCCATCTCAAAAAATAATAATGATAATTATGTACCATAAAAGTCATCCACGATTAAGTGTGCAATGCAACAACTTTAGTAAATTTACCTAAGTGAGGCACAGTGGCTCACACTTGTAATCCTAGCACTTTGAGAGGCCAAGGTGGGCAGATCACCTGAGGTCAGGAGTTCAGGACCAGCCTGGCCAACATGGTGAAACCCCATCTCTACTAAAAATACAAAAATTAGCCAGGCGTGGTGGCAGGCACCTGTAATCCCAGCTACTCAGGGGGCTGAGGCAGGAGAATAGCTTGAACCTGGAAGGCGGAGGTTGCAGTGAGCTGAGATCATGCCACTGCACTCCAGCCTGGGCGACAGAGCAAGACTCTGTCTCAAAAAAAAAAAAAAAGAAAAGAAAAAAAAAAGAAAAAAATATTTACCAAAGTGTGCAACAATCGCTATAGCCCAGTTTTAGAGCATTTCCATTACCCCAAAAAAATCCCTCATGACTGAATGCCATTCCCATTCCCAACCATAGGCAACCACAAATCTACTTTCTGTCTCTATAAATTTGCCTTTCTTGGACATTTCATAAAAATGCAATATGTGGATTTTTTGTGTCTCACATCTTTCATTTAGCTTGATGTTTTTGAGGTTCATCCGTGTGGTAGCATGTAACAGTGGTTTGTTCCTTTTATTGCTGAACAGTAGTCTATCCAATGATCTTTAACTTCTCTCCAAATTACCCACCAATAGCTCCTCAACCACAACTCAAAACACCCCTCTGACATCCAGACTTCAAAACAGACCCCCAAACTGCACACTGGACCATACCTACCAGCCCTCAACTGTACCCCAGACCACTCTATAATCCCCAAATATCATCACTAAACTTCCCTCCCGAGCCTCATCTTCACCCCTAAAGCACCTTCCAGCAGTCTGCTCTACATCCTCAAACTGCCCTTTATCAACTCCCAAGAATATCCCCAAAATGCCTTTTCAGTAATACCCAAACCTAACTAAACTACTCTCCAACAATTCCAAACCCCACCCCTAAAATTCCCCTTCCAACAGCCCCAGCCATGACTCTACCCACTAACTACCTTCCTTTGGTCCCAGAACTGCAGACCCAGACTGTAACCTCAAACCACTCTTCACTGACCGCCATGCCCAACCTTGTCTTTTTTTTTTTTTTTTTTTTTTTTTGGAGATGCAGTTTGGCTGTTGTTGCCCAGGCTGGAGTGCAATGGTGAGATCTCTGCTCACTGCAACCTTCGCCTCCTGGGTTCAAGCGATTCTCCTGCCTCAGCCCCACGAGTAGCTGGGATTACAGGCATGTGTCACCACGCCCGGCTAATTTTGTATTTTTAGTAAAGACGGGGTTTCTCCATGTTGGTCAGGCTGGTCTCGAACTCCCGACCTCAGGTGATCTGCCCGCCTCAGCCTCCCCAAGTGCTAGGATTACAGGTGTGAGCCACTGCGCCCAGCCCCAACCTTGTCTTAAATTATGAGCAACTACACCCACAAAACATCTTTCAATTTTTCCCAACAATACCACCCAAACCACCCTCCAAGAACTCCCAACTACACCCTAAACTGCCCTCTAATAGCACCCAATGCTACCTGTAAACATTTCCCCTTTACCTCCCCACAGTCTCCCAACTATACCTCCCATCCACCCTCCAATGACCCCCCAAATCCCACCTCAATTTTCCCTTTGATGGCTCCAACTGCACCCAAATGCTTTCCAACAGCCTCTAATTATACTCTCAAACTGCCCTTGGTAACCCCCAACGTAGCCCTAAGTCCTTCCAGTGACCCCCAACTCTTCCCCAAAGCCATCTGTAGTTCTTCCCTGTGGCTGTTGTAACCAATTACTGCAAACTTGGTGGCTTAAAAAAACAAAGAGGGCCGGGCAGGATGGCCCACACCTGTAATCCCAACACTTTGGGAGGCCAAGGTGGGCAGATTAAGAGATCAAGAGATGGAGACCATCCTGGCCAACATGGTGAAACCCCGTCTTTACTAAAAATACAAAATTAGCCGGGCATGGTGGCACATGCCTGTAATCCCAGCTATTCGTGGGGCTGAGGCAGGAGAATCGCTTGAACCTGGGAGGCGGAGGTTGCAGTGAGCCGAGATCTCGCCACTGCACTCCAGCCTGGCGACAGAGCAAGACTCCGTCTCAAAAAAAACAAAAAAAGAAAAAAAGAAAAGAAAAGAAGAAGAAACAAAAACAGAAATTTGCGGTGGCTCACCCTTGTAATACCACCACTTTGGGAGGCCCAGGCTGGCGGATCACTTGAGGCCAGGAGTTTGAGACCAGCCTGGACAACATGGCCAGATCCCGTCTCTACTAAAAAAATTTAACAAAAATTAGCCAGGCATGGTGTAGTCCCAGCTACTAGGGAGGCCGAGGTGGGAGCATCGCTTGAACCTGGGAGGTGGAGGTTGCAGTGAGCCAAGATCATGCCACTGCACTCCAGCCAGGGCAATAGAGCGAGACTCCATCTCTAAATAAATAAATAAATAAATAGCTACCTCTCTTAAAAACAAACAAAAAACAGAAATGTATTCTTTCACAGTTTTAAGGGCCAGAAGTCTAAAATCAGTTGCACTGGGCCAAAATTAAGGTGTCACCAGAGCTGCACTCCCTCTGGAGGCTATAAGGCAGGGATCTCCAACCCCTGGGCCAAGGACAAGTACCAGTCAGTGGCCTGTTAGGAGCCTGAGTGGCAGGCAAGCAAGCATTAACACCTGAGCTCCAGCTTCTGTCACAGCAGCAGCGGCATTAGATTCTCATAGGAGAGCAAACCCTATTGTGAACTGTGCATGCAAGGGATCCAGGTTACATGCTTACAAGATTCTCCTTATGAAAATCTAACTAATGCCTGATCATCTGAGGTGGAACAGTTTCATTCCGAAACCATCCCCCACCACACTCCATGGAAAAATTGTCTTTAGGCCAGGTGAGGTGGCTCACACATGTAATGCCAGCAATTTGGAAGGCCGAGGCAGGTGGATCACCTGAAGTCAGGAATTCCAGACCAGCCTGGCCAACATGGCGAAACCCCGTCTCTACTAAAAATACAAAAATTAATCAGGCATGGTGGCGGGCGCCTGTAGTCCCAGCTACTTGGGAGGCTGAGGCAGGAGAACCGCTTGAACCCAGGAGGCAGAGGTTGCAGTGAGCCAAGACTGCACCATTGCACTCCAGCCTGGGTGACAGAGCGAGATTCCATCTGAAACAAACAAACAAACAAACAAACAAAAAGGACTATCTGTTGCCTCTTCAGGCATTCTTTGGCTTTTGGCAGTCATATCACTACAGTCTGCCTCCGTGGTCAAATTGCCTCCTCCTTTTCTGTCAGTCGAATTTGCTTCTGCCTACCTCTTATAAGAACATTTAGGATTACAGTTAGGGTCTACCAGCTAATCCAGAACAATCTCCTCATCCCAAAATCCTTAACTTAATCACACCTGCAAAGTCCTTTTGTCACATAAAGTAGCATTCAAAGGTTCCAGGGAATTAACCAGGCATGCTGTCACACATCTGTAGTCCCAGCTACTCGGGAGGCTGAGGCGGGAGGGCTGCTTGAGTCCAGGAGATGGAGGCTGCAGTGAGCCGTGATCATGCCACTGCACTCCAGCCTGGGTGACAGAGTGAGACCTTGACTCAAAAAACAAACAAAAAAAATGGGTGAGGGGGCAGGCGCCGTGCCTCATGCCTGTAATCCCAGCACTTTGGGAGGCGGAGGCAGGCAGATTGCTTGAGGTCAGGAGTTCAAGGCTAGCCTGGCCAACATGGTGAAACTCTGTCACTACTAAAAATACAAAAATTAATGGGGCATGGTGCAGCATGCCTGTAATCCCAGCTACTTGGGAGGCTGAGGCAAGAGATTCGCTTGAACCAGGAAGACGAAGTTGCAGTGAGCTGAGATCACACCACTGCACTCCAGCCTGGGTGACAGAGCAAGACTCTTTAAAAATAAAGAGTTCCTTGGCCGGATGCGGTGGCTCACACCTGTAATACCAGCACTTTGGGAGGCCGAGGCGGGCAGATCACGAGGTCAGGAGATCAAGACCATCCTGGCTAACACGGTGAAACCCCGTCTCTCCTAAAAATACAAAAAATTAGCCGGGCGTGGTGGCGGGTGCCTGCCTGTAGTCCCAGCTACTCGAGAGTCTGAGGGAGGAGAATGGCTTGAACCCAGGAGCCGGAGGTTGCAGTGAACCAAGATCACACCACTGCACTCCAGCCTGGGTGACAGAGTGAGACTTTGTCTAAAAAAAATTAATTAATTAAAAAAAAATTCCAGGGATTAGGACATAGGACATAAATATATTGGCAGGGGTGGAGGGGATTATTCAGCCTACCACAACATCTTATGACAGTTAACATCTGTTCCTTAAACCACCTTACAGAAGGCCGAACTCTATCTCTAAAAACCCATCTTCCTATATTCCCTCCAACTGTACCCCAAACCATCCTCCACCCATTAACCGTATTCCCAATCCACCCTCCCAATAGCTCCCACCTGCATTCTTAAACTGTCTTATTGAAGCCCCATTCCTCCCAAAGACCTTCAAATGATCCTTCAATTGCCTGCAAACTGTCCTGTTGTAGAACCCAAACTCACCCCCAAGCCACCTTCAATCACCACTCATATCTATCCCTAAATACCCCCAACTTCACCATCCAGCTGCCCTCCCACTTCGCTCCACATGTCCCCTTCACAGCACCTTGAAGTTGTCTTGCAGTGAAACCCCAGATAAGGTTGCAGTGAGCCGAGATCGCACCACTGCACTCCAGCCTGGATGACAGAGCGAAACCCTGTCTCCAAAAAAAAAGAAAGAAAGAAAGAAAGGAACTCCAACTATATGGCAGGGGTGCAAGTATTGAGAAAGTTGAGAATGAGATATTGATAGAAACTAGGGCCGGGCATGTGGCTCATGCCTTTAATCCCAGCGCTATGGGAGGCCGAGGCGGGCGGATCACTTGAGGTCAGGAGTTTGAAACCAGCCTGGCCAACATGGGGAAACCCTGTCTCTACTAAAAATACAAAAAAAATTAGCTGGCCGCGGTGGCGGGCACCTGTAATCCCAGTTACTTGGGAGGCTGAGGCAGGAGAATCGCCTGAACCCAGGAGGCAGAGGCTGCAGTGAGCCGAGATAGTGCCACTGCACCTCAGCCTGGGTGACAGAGCGAGATTCCATCTCAAAAAAAAAAAAAAAAGAGAGAGAGAAAAAGAAAAAAGAAGTCCGGGTGCAGTGGCTCACGCCTGTAATCCCAGCACTTTGGGAGGCCGAGGCAGGCGGATCACGAGGTCAGGAGATCGAGACCATCCTGGCTAACATGGTGAAACCCCGTCTCTACTAAACATACAAAAAAATTAGCCGGGCATAGTAGCGGGTGCCTGTAGTCCCAGCTACTGGGGAGGCTGAGGCAGGAGAATGGCGTGAACCCGGGAGGCGGAGCTTGCAGTGAGCCGAGATCGTGCCACTGCACTCCAGCCTGGGCAAGAGCGAGACTCTGTCTCAAAAAAAAAAGAAAAAGAAAAGAGAGAGAGAAACCCAGAAAGATGCAGGGTAGGCATATCATGCAGGGTGTCATGGGATATCACTTGTCATGGAGACATTTGAGATGCGTGTGTGAAGCTGGTGTTTGTAGGATTGGGATGTGTGACAAGATAATTACTCTGTGGCTCTACTGCTATAAATATTTGTTGCCAGTCTGTTGTAAGTCTTTTAACTTTGTAGCATCTTTCATCAGACAGTATGTAGTTTTATTTATTGATTAATTGATACAGAGTCTCATTCTGTCGTCCAGGCTGGAGGGTAGTGGTACAAACACGGCTCACTGCAACTTCAAACTTTCCAGGCTCAAGCGATCCTCCTGCCTCAGCCTCCCAAGTAGTTGGGACCACAGGTGTGCACCACCATACCTGGCTAATTTTTCTTTTCTTTTCTTTTCTTTTTTTTTCTTTTTTTCTGAGACAGAGTCTCACTTTGTCCCCAGGCTGGAGTGCAGTGGTGCAATCTCGGCTCACTGCAACCTCCGCCTCCTGGGTTCAAGAGATTCTCCTGCCTCGGCCTCCCAAGTAGCTGGGACTACAGGCCAGGCGCGTGCCACCATGCCCAGCTAATTTTTGTATTTTTAGTAGAGACGGGGTTTCACCATGTTGGCCAGGATGGCCTCAATCCCTTGACTTTGTGATCCTCCCGCCTCAGCCTCCCAAAGTGCTGGGATTACAGGCGTGAGCCACCATGCCCGGCCTAATTTTTTAAAAGTTTTTTTGTACAGACGGGGTCTCCCTATGTTTCCCAGACTAGTCTCAAACTCCCGGGCTCAAGCAATTCTCCCACCTTGGCCTCCCAAAGTGTTGGGATTACAGGTGGGAACCACCCCGCCAGACCCTCCTCTTTCTTCTTTTGTAAAATTAGCCATTCTTACATGTTTGTTTTTGTTTTTTTTGAGACGGAGTCTAGCTCTGTCTCCCAAGCTGGAGTGCAGTGGCACGATCTTGGCTCACTGCAACCTCCACCTCCCGGGTTCAAGCGATTCTTGTGCCTCAGCCTCCCTAGTAGCTGGGATTACAGGCGCACGCCACCATGCCTGGCTAATTTTTTTGTATTTTTAGTAGAGACAGGGTTTTGCCACGTTGGCCAGGCTGGTCTTGAACTTCTGACCTCAAGTGATCCACCTGCCTCGGCCTCTCAAAGTGCTGGGATTACAGGCGTGAGCCACCGCACTGGGCCATTGTTTTTGTTTTTGAGACAGAGTCTCACTCTGTCGCCCCAGGCTGGAGTGCAGTGGCGTGATCTCGGCTCACTGCAACCTCCGCCTGTCGGGTTCAAGCTATTCTCCTGCCTCAGCCTCCCGAGTAGCTGGGACTACAGGCCAGGCGCAGACCACCACGCCCGGCTAATTTTTGTATTTTTGTAGAGACGAGGTTTTGCCATGTTGGCCAGGCTGGTATCGAACTTCTGGCCTCAAGCGACCCACCAACCTTGGCCTCCCAAACTGCTGGATTACAGGTGTGAGCCACCGTGCCCGGCCCATTCTTACATGTTTAAGGCATCATAGGAATTTTAACATTGGATCTACAAGTTCCGTTTTAGAGTTTTGATTGGTACAATTGGTAATGTATTCTTTTTTCTTTTTTTTTTTTTTTTGAGACTGAGTCTCACTCTGTCACCCAGGCTGCAGTGCAGTGACACTATCTTGGTTCACTGCAACCTCTGCTTCCCGGTTCAAGGGATTCTCCTGCCTCAGCCTCCCGAGTAGTTGGGATTACAGGCGCCCGCCACCACGCCCGGCTAATTTTTTGTATTTTTAGTAGAGACGGGGTTTCACCGTGTTGGCCAGGCTGGTCTCAAACTCCTGACCTCAGGTGATCCACCCGCCTCGGCCTCCCAAAGTGCTGGGATTACAGGCATGAGCCACCGCGCCCGGCCAGAAGTCATCTTTATTATGTAGAGGTTTCCCCCTTGTACGAGATGGTTGTGTGTGAGTATGGATGAGTTTACGAAAGCAACTGACAGACCTGTGAAATAATGATGCCAATACAGGAAGGTCCAAGGTAAATGAAAGCCCGGTGAAATTCCTGGAGGCGCAACTCAGGGTGGGGTCTTGGGATGTCAGGAAAGAGGAAGGGAAGGCTGTAGGTCTGGGTGTTTTGTGAGCTATTTGCACCTGAGGATATATGAGTGAGACCCTCCGCCTTGTGCGAGCCGGCTTGCATGCGTCTGGCATACAGAAGCGCTCAGTGAATGTTGAATAAGTGAACAAATGAGTGAATCAACTAATTTTGGGAAGCTTCTTGTATGCCAAACAACCTGCTAGCACTTTTCATACATTATCTTTAATCCTCAGAACAACCCTGCCAGACAGGTATTTTGACCCCCATTTAACAGGCCAGGAAAGCTGAGGCTGGGAGAGGGGAGGTCCCCTTCCCTATTCAAACCTGGATCTTTGTGATTCCAGAAGTCGTCATTCACCGAAGGGACCAGATTCATTCACCCGTCAAGAATTTATTAAGCACATATTGCGCAGCGCAATGAACATAGTACAACCGCTCTCGATGGCATGGAACAGGCGGAATACTCCCGGAAGACCAGCTGGGCGGCTGGACTGCGGACAGCGAAAGGGGGGGGTTTCTGGCCCGCACCTTCAGGGAATGTAGCTGCCTCTGCCTCATAGTTATGGCTTTGGCTGAGAGAGCACAGCCAGATCGAGGTTGGAGCGCGGTCTAGGGCTCAGATATTACAAATATTGGCCGAAAGAGGGCGCGGTTCCGCAGCTAAAAGCTTGGCCAGGAGACCCTCCGTGCGCCGACTGGCCATCGATGCGCAGGCGCAGAGGACCCAAGGAGCGGCTTAATATTACCTTGCAGAGGGATAATTTGAGAAGAGAGGGCGTGGCTCCGAAAGCGACGCAAACATAGAGGCGTGGTTCAACCAAATCAACCCTCGCCTATTTGTCGCTGCCCCTGAGGGCGTGGTCTGGGTGCTGCTTCTCGGAATGAGGGCGGGCCGAATCGCGTTTTTCCTCCGCGTCGGAGGCGTCGCTTAGGGTGGGCCCTCGAATCGCCGTTCAGCGATTGGCCGCCTCGCTAATGGGTCGTGGCCAGACGGGCCATCCATCCCCAGTGCGGTCACTTCCTGTGGAGTTTCCCCATCCCTGGGAGGAGGGAGGAGGGGGAAGAAGACGAGGGGGAGGAGGGCGGTCGTCCGGGGTTAGGTTGAGGGGGGGCGTCGGTCCGTTCTGGGCGGGGGATGACTCACAGCCCATCCCATCTCCCCGACGCCGCCCGCCCGCGCAGTGCTAGCTCCATGGCTTAGCGGAGGAGGCGGCGGTGGCGAGCTGGGGGGAGGGGGGACTCTTATTTTGTTAGGGGGACCGGGCCGAGGCCCGACCGGCCTGGCAGGGCTCGCCCGGGGCCGGGCGTCATGTCTCATGCGGCCGAACCAGCTCGGGATGGCGTAGAGGCCAGCGCGGAGGGCCCTCGAGCCGTGTTCGTGCTGTTGGAGGAGCGCAGGCCGGCCGACTCGGCTCAGCTGCTCAGGTGCGGGGCCGCCTGGGGCTGGGAGTGCCGACTGGGGCTCCCAGGGGCCTGATCTCGGGGGCAGTGGGGGCCCCGGACTGGGATTGGAGGCCCTCGGCCTAGCCTTGGAGGACGTCGGGGCGCCCGTCTTGGGGGGGCACCTAAGGAATCCGGCAGTGGCCTGCTTGGATTGTGGCTTTATTAAAGGAGTCGTGGGAGTGCATTAAGCGGGGTCTGGGTCAGGTTTGGGGAGCCCTTGACTGCGTCTAGAGGGGCCTATTCTGGAGTATCCAGAAACTGGTCTGAGATAGCTGAACTTGGTAGACAGGGTCTCTGATTAGAGGCTGAATTCGGGGATTTTCAGTCGGACATGAGGGGAATGAATTTGAGGGGACACTGTCAGGTGAGGCACTGGTTTTAAGGGAATCCTAGAATCTTTTTTCCCTCAGTGTGGGAGAAGGGGTCCTGAGGGACAGAAGTGCTGTCTTGGGAGCTTGGTGCCTCTCAGTGACTGGTTGCTGTGTTTGGGGATAACATGAATCTGGAGGGATTTGGAGGTATCTCAGATATGCTGCCTGGGACCAGCCTTGTGAGTGCGTGTGAATGAACAAGAGAAGCAACATTCAGCAAGACTTGACCAGAATAATCCTTTCCCCTCTGCCCGCCTACCCAGCTGGGGCAGATCCCAAGGATAGTGGAAAAGCCCTCTTCCCACACCTGTTAAGGGCCTGAATGGAAGATAGACAGCCAGGCAGAGGGCGATGATGTTACCTCTTAGCTCAGAGGCCTCAGACCTTGTTTGGGAACCCAGAGGAGGCTCTTGTTCATGCTGCTACTCGCTCTAGCCTCTCAGCCCTTCCCACTCCCTAGCCCCACACCCCTTTTCTTTTTATCTTCTTTTCGATCTCCGAGCTCCTGGGGGTAATCTTGAATCTGTCCATAGAGCTGGAACGAGTACAGATTGCACCATCCCTGCCTGGGTGGATCCCCTCTGGCCTCTTCTCATCCTTACTTTCATCAATGGGCTTTGGAGCCCCAGCCCTCCCTGCTCACCCCAGTGCCCATCTCTTCCAACTTCTGTGCAATGGGTGTGTGAGCCCTGGGTGGGGGGGGGTCTTTGCCTCCTTTGTGCCTGGGATTGTGCTGAGCTCAGTGGCTCGCCCGAGCTTCCTCTTCCCAACTTCCTGGGTGGTTTTAGGGCTCCATCTGAGGGTGAGGAGAGGAAGGAAGACAGATCCTTGGGGAGGGGAGAGGATTCTTGTCAAGTGAAGTCACCAGCAATCTCTCAGCATTCTAAATGTTTAGCTAAATTGAAGGATGCATATTCATCCACGTGTGTGTTAACTGTCCCTTGCTCTCTGGGGCTGAGCAGAGCCTTTCTGTATATCGATTCACCATCTTCTAATTCCTCTGTAACAACCTAGATCATCGCAGTAGTGGACATAGTTAAAGGGATGGGTGTATATGGCTTCTTATTTTGTGCGCCAGTGGGTGTTAGTGTTGGGGGTGTGTGTGTGTTTTGATCTATCCAAAAAAACAGGAGAAGGCTGGGCAGGCTCCTCCGGTAAGAAAAGAATGCTTGTATAAAGTGGATCAACCACCCAAATTCTCCCTCTTGTAAATCCAGTCTGTTGGAGCGAGGGGAGCCTTTGATATTTCTATTTTATATTTAGGCATGTGTTGGCATCCCATGAACTCTGGCTGGGGCTGGGAGAAACTCATTTGTGAAATGGTAGATCTTTACGTCAAGTGAATTATTTCCAGTTCTCTTTGTGATGCATTCAGTTTGTGTTACAAGGGACTGTTATGCTGAGGGATGCCCCTACTTGCTCTGTGTGTGTGTGTGTGTACACACATATACCTGGGCTCACATTCAGCTGTAAAGAAAATAGCAGGGGGTTGGCCGGGCGCAGTGGCTCACACCTGTAATCCCAGCACTTTGGGAGGCCGAGGCAAGCGGATCTTGAGGTCAGGAGATCGAGACCATCCTGGCTAATACGGTGAAACCCCGTCTCTACTAAAAATACAAAAATTAGCCGGACGTGGTGGCGTGTGCCTGTAATCCCAGCTACTCGGGAGGCTGAGGCGTGAGAATCACTTGAACCCAGGAGGCAGAGCTTGCAGTGAGCTGAGATCGCACCACTGTACTCCAGCCTGGTGACAGAGCGATACTCTGTCTCAAAAAAAAAAAAAAAGTAGGGGGTATGGGGGCTGGGAGAACTCTGAATAGGAAGTCAGGAATCCTTCTATAAAGTGAATTGTTATTCCTAAATTCTGTTTTCCTCAAACCCAGGTTGTTACAGTGTGGGGGTTGGGATGCAGGCGTTCTTATTATTCTGACTCCTAAGGGACTATGAGTAACACAGTGGGGAAGGGAAAGGGGGATGGGGGAAGGAGGTGGGAATTCATGGTGGTGTGGTACCCAGCAAGGTGGCCAAATATGAGGGGCTTGTACCCTCCTCTTCGTTCTCCCCCCCTCTCTCTCTCTTTCTCTGTCTCAGGGGAGGGCTGGGGAATAAGGTCCTTCATTCAATCACTGACCACCACTCCACCTCCCCCTCAGCCTGAACTCTTTGCTTCCGGAATCCGGGATTGTTGCTGACATAGAATTAGAAAACGTCCTTGATCCTGACAGCTTCTACGAGCTCAAAAGCCAACCCTTACCCCTTCGCTCAAGGTATGTATGACTTGTCTATCTGATTCCCCTCCCAATTCCTCAGCCCTCCTCTCCCCTCTTGATGGGCAGAGGCCCTCAGTACCAGCCCAACCCATTCTTTCACCAGCCTGCGTTTTCTAGGTGGTAAAATTAGGGACCAGAAAGAGCATGTCACACAGGAAAGTAGGTGGCCAAGCTAGGATTCCAGTATCTCTGTCAAGACCTCCCCTGCCTGCCCCCAGCCCACCTGCACACCCATTCATATGCAAGTGTTTCAGCCTCAGGTGTTCCAGCCGGCCTGGAGTGCTCAGAGATAGGGCGTGGCCTGCTTAAACTCATGTCCCCGGGTGGGCGGGGACATGCCTCTAGCCCCAACTCAGTCCCTTCCCACACTACCAACTCACCCACCCTCAGCCCTTGAGGAGCCCCTGCTGGTCTCTTCTTTCCCCAAGCTTGGAAGTCTAAATGTGCTGAGTCATCGGCCCGGGCTCTGAGAGAGGGGAGGGGAGGGGGAAGAGGGGCAGGAAGAGAGTATTGTGAAATCTCCGAGGTTTTCAAGACTGACTAGCTCCTGGGACCAGAGGCCCAGGCAGGGGAAGAAGAGGAACCTGGGGCTTCTCCTATCACCTGACGCCCACCCCCAGGAGCTCAGAGAGCTTCTCTAGCCTCACATTGGGCTTAGGAGCCCTCTGTATCCACATTCTGCTGCCAAAGCCTCAATTCTGCTTCTTCTGCTCTCCTGTAAATAGGACAAACCCCCCCTTGCAGAGCTGAACAATAGCATCTCCACTTAATATGTGAACAGGCTCAAATCTAGGCTTCACCATAAGGACCAAAGGCTAAAACTCCCCCACCAGACTGACCTCCAGTGTGTCCCCCATCAGACTGTGACCCCTGAGAGCCATCACCAAGCCTGGTTCCTGTGTCTCTGCTTCTACATTGTGGCCTCGGAAGGCAGAGAACAGGCCTGGTTCCTGTGTCTGCTCCGTCACGCTAAGACCCTTTAGGCTTGGGATGAGACTTTTAGCTTACCTAAAATATGGCCCCATATTTCCCATTCCACAGCCTCCCAATATCACTGCAGGCCACACCAGCCACCCCAGCTACACTCTCTGCATCGTCTTCTGCAGGGGGCTCCAGGACCCCTGCCATGTCGTCATCTTCTTCATCGAGGGTCTTGCTGCGGCAGCAGCTAATGCGGGCCCAGGCGCAGGAGCAGGAGAGGCGTGAGCGTCGGGAACAGGCCGCCGCGGCTCCCTTCCCCAGTCCTGCACCTGCCTCTCCTGCCATCTCTGTGGTTGGCGTCTCTGCTGGGGGCCACACATTGAGCCGTCCACCCCCTGCTCAGGTGCCCAGGGAGGTGCTCAAGGTAAGGTGAGATCCAGAGGCCCTGGGAGGGGGCTCCTGGTGACTGAGGAGTGATCCTAGGAGCTAGGGATGGCCTCGATGCACTGGTGATTTGGGGGCAAGGTCTTAGGGGCTCTAAGGAAGGTCCCTGGTACTGTTTAAATTATCTGTGTTCATGTCTCATGTGTTTTGGGTTTCTGAGATGATCTTGTGAAATTGCGAGGAGTTCGTGGGGGCCATGAGGATGTCTTGGTGGACCATGGAGGCTCATGAGTGCCCCAAGTGGGCCCTGGCTTTGTAGGAAGAGCTTCATGTGTGTGGGATACATTAGTTCTTTGGCCATTAGGGGGTCTTGGGAAGCATTGTATGGTTCCCAGGTCTATTAGGTGGTGTCAGAGACTAGGTGGGGAATCTTGGGGACTGTGACAGGGTTTTCCAGAAACTACGAGGGATCCTGTCAGTCATGGGTGGATCTTGGCAGCTGTGAAGGATTTCTGAGAAAGAGAGTTTGGGTCCTGGGGGAGACTCGCTAATATTTTTGGGGTGTTCTCAGATTCTGGGCCCAGCTTGTCTGCGTGAGTCTAGGCACCAATGAGTTAGGAGGGTCAGGCTGGGGCTCAGAATTCACCCCTTTGAGTCCTGTTCTGCCTTGTCCCCTCTCTTTCCTTGTCTACCTTATTTCACAGGTGCAGACCCATCTGGAGAACCCAACGCGCTACCACCTGCAGCAGGCGCGCCGGCAGCAGGTGAAACAGTACCTGTCCACCACACTCGGGCCCAAGCTGGCTTCCCAGGCCCTCACCCCACCGCCGGGGCCCGCAAGTGCCCAGCCACTGCCTGCCCCTGAGGCTGCCCACACTACCGGCCCCACAGGCAGTGCGCCCAACAGCCCCATGGCGCTGCTCACCATCGGGTCCAGCTCAGAGAAGGAGGTAAGAGGCTACAGCCAAACCTCCTCCCACATTCCCCTCCCAAATTCTTCTAAACCTGTATAATATTTACTTCTTCCCCTAGATTGATGATGTCATTGATGAGATCATCAGCCTGGAGTCCAGTTACAATGATGAAATGCTCAGCTATCTGCCCGGAGGCACCACAGGACTGCAGCTCCCCAGCACGGTGAGGCCCTGAGATGGGAGGTTGGTCTGAAAATTAGGGCATTTCTGTATCACCAAGACCATACTCAGTCTGGCTGTGTGTATAGGAGACCCTTGCCTTGATTGTGCTAAGATAGAGAGGGAGGCCTTATGACGAGAACAGGGTATGTCAACAATGCCTTTGGACCTTGTTGGACTGTGTTGAGAGGTGGACCATGTAGACTGTGAGAGATACAGGTGGGGAGTTCACTGAGACAGTAGGGCATATCAAAGTGCTTGGGCTTTGCTGTGAGAAGTACCAAGAGATGATAATCTTTTTTTTTTTTTTTTTTCGAGACGGAGTCTCGCTCTGTCACCCAGGCTAGAGTGCAGTGGCGCGGTCTCAGCTCACTGCAACCTCTGCCTCCCAGGTCCAAGCGATTCTCCTACCTCAGCCTCCTGAGTAGCTGGGATTATAGGCACGTGCCACCATACCAAGCTAATTTTTCTATTTTTAGTAGAGACGGGGTTTCATCACGTTGGTCAGGCGGGTCTTGAACTCCTGACTTCGTGATCTGCCTGCCTCGGCCTCCCAAAGTACTGGGATTACAGGCGTGAGCCACCACACCCGGCCGAGATGAGCATCTTATAGCAACTTGAATGTACCAAGGGATTCAGGTCATCGGGACATATACACCAGACCATGTAATGATTGGAGCATTTTGTTTTATTTTATTTTTACCTTTTTTTTCTTTTAAGACAGAGTCTCACTCTGTCACCCTGGCTGGAGTGCAGCGGTGCGATCTTGGCTCACTGCAGCCTCTGGGTTCAAGCGATTTTCGTGCCTCAGCCTCTCACGTAGCTGGGATTACAGGTGTACGCCACTACGCTTGGCTAATTTTTGTATTTTTAGTAGAGACCGGGTTTCACCCTGTGAGCCAGGCTGGTCTTGAACTCCTGACTTCAAGTGATCCACCTGCCTTGGCCTCCCAAAGTGCTGGAATTACAGGTGTGAGCCACCACGCCTGGCCTTGAAGCATAACAAAAGTTTTCAAACTTGCTGTGGGTTATAACAAGTAGTTGGATCTCGTAGTGATTGGAATATACCAAGTGAACTGTGCCAGGAGGCAGAGTCCTTCTAGTCAGTAGATAAAACTTTCTAGAGCAAGGGATATACCATTGTAACATTCTGGTTTTGAACACTCCAAGAGTCTCATAACTTGCTTTATTATATTTATTTATTTATTTTTTGAGACAAAGTCTTGCTCTGTCACCCAGGCTGGAGCGCAATGGTGCTATCTCGGCTCACTGGAACCTCCGCCTACCAAGTTCAAGCGATTCTCTTGCCTCAGCCTCCTGAGTAACTGGGACTACAGGCGCGTGCCCCCATGCCCGGCTAATTTTTGTATTTTTAGTAGAGACGGGGTTTCACCGTGTTACCCAGGTTATCTCAATCTCCTGACTTTGTGATCTGCCTGCCTCGGCCTCCCAAAGTGCTGGGATTACAGGCATGAGCCACCATGCCTGGCCTAACTTGCTTTATTTATTTATTTATTTATTTTTTATTGAATTTTTTTTTTTTTTTTGAGATGGAGTTTCACTCTCCTTGTCCAGGCTGGAATGCAATGTGCGATCTCTGCTCATTGCACCCTCTGCCTCCTGGGTTCAAGCAATTCTCCTGCCTCAGCCTCCCAAGTAGCCGAGATTACAGGTGCCCGCCAGCACGCCTGGCTAATTTTTGTATTTTAGTAGAGACGGGGTTTCACTATGTTGGTCAGGCTGGTCTCGAACTCCTGACCTCAGGTGATCCACCTGCCTCGGCCTCCCAAAGTTCTCGGATTACAGGTTTGAGCCACCGCGCCCGGCCTATTTATTTATTTTTGAGACAGGATCTTGCTCTGTCACCCAGGCTGGAGTGCAGTGGTGTAATCCTGGCTCACTGCAGCCTCCACCTTCCGGGCTCAAGTGATCCTCCCACCTCAGCCTCCCAAGTAACTGGGACCATAGGCTTGTGTCACCATGCCTGGCTAATTTTTTGCATTTTTAGTAGAGACAGGGTCTCACTGTGTTGCCCAGGCTGGTCTCGAACTCCTGAGCTCAAGCCATCTGCCCACCTCGGCCTCCCAAAGTGCTGGGATTACAGACATAGCCACCATGCCTGGTCTCATAACTTGCTTTAGAGCATACCAAGTGGCTGTAGTTTTGCTTTTTTCCAACTTATCAATAGGATGGAAGCATGTATAAAAATGGGACTAATTTATCAGAACTTTTTATTGATTTGGACACAACTAGAGAATGGGACCTTATATCCACCAGACTGGAAGTGGGTTCAAGAGATTAAAGCTCAGCCAGGCACGGTGGCTCACACCTGTAATCCCAGCACTTTGGGAGGCTGAGGCGGGCAGATCACAAGGTCAGGAGATCCAGACCATCCTGGCTAACACAGTGAAACCCCGTCTCTACTAAAAATACGAAAAAATTAGCTGGGCGTGGTGGCGGGTGCCTGTAGTCCCAGCTACTCGGGAGGCTGAGGCAGGAGAATGGCGTGAACCCGGGAGGCAGAGCTTGCAGTGAGCCGAGATTGCGCCACTGCCCTCCAGCCTGGGTGACAGAACGATACTCCGTCTCCAAAAAAAAAAAAAAAAAAAAAAAAAGAGATTAAAACTCATGAAGAAGTGGGATTTGGATATACTTTATTTTATTTGTATTTATTTATTTATTTATTTATTTTGAGATAGAGTCTTGCTCTGTTGCCCAGGCTGGAGTGCAGTGGTGTGATCTTGGCTCACTGCAACCTCTACCTCCTGGGTTCAAGCAACTCTCCTGTTTCAGCCTCTCAAGTAGCTGGGACTACAAGTGCAGGCCACCATGCTCGGCTAATTTTTTTTGTTGTTTTGTATTTTTAGTAGAGACAGAGTTTCACCATGTTGGCCAGGCTGGTCACGAACTCCTGACCTCAAGTGATCCGCCCGCCTTGGCCTCCCAAAGTGCTGGGATTACAGGCGTGAGCCACTGCACCTGGCCCTGGGTATACTTAAGATTGACGTGCTCCTCTGGAGTATATCCAGGAAAGTGTGAAGGAGAGGAAAAAAAAAAAACTAGGCTGACATAAAGCAGTGCTAATTGAATAGTTGGATAAGAATCTCCTGAGAGAACAGAATGTGCAGGAAGATACTGGAGTCAGGACCTTGGTCCACAGCAGCAGGAGACCCTGATGTGGAAGATGGTACAACTTGATCAGAGTGGAAGATGGTACAACTTGATCAGAGTGAAAGACTGGAGATTAGGTTGGAATTCTCCAGAAGGCCAGATTTTGGATAGAATGTTGTCATGACAATTTACCAAGGTCGGAGAAGATTGGGTTGGAGTGTTCCAAGAATGCTGGATTGGAATGTTGTGCTGGGAGGAGCTAACGGACTGGAATGTCCCATCAGAGCCGACAAAGACCTGAGAAGGGTGGTTTTCCAGCATTTCTTCTCAGAGCCAGCCCCGGGGTTTGGGAAAGGGGCTTTAGAGGTCACTGAGGGATATGAGGGACTGGAGGAAGTGATAAGCAGGCCAGGCAGGCTCCAGTCTCCCAGCGAAGCAAGGTAGGTCCAGTTTGCTCTGTCCTCCCTGTTTGGTCGCCATGTGAATTTGCCTTGAAGGAGAAGCAAGGGTTCTGGTGCTGAGTCAGCCAGTCCTTGCATTAGAGGGTGCCCCATCTTTGGGATATGTGGAAGCTCAGGAACCTGGTTCTGAGGAGGAGCCAAGCCTGGGGTTTGTTCCCAACTGGTGGTTCTCTGCCCTCTCTGCCCCCAGCTGCCTGTGTCAGGGAATCTGCTTGATGTGTACAGTAGTCAAGGCGTGGCCACACCAGCCATCACTGTCAGCAACTCCTGCCCAGCTGAGCTGCCCAACATCAAACGGGAGATCTCTGGTAGGTGATAGGGTCTTGGCCCCATGGCCCTACACTTTACCCCAGGTGAGCCCTGTGCCTACCAGGTCTAGAGATGGGCCTGATTCTGAGGGGAATGGTTTGGACATATGGAAATGGAGGCTGTTTGTCCCCTTTCCCCCTATGGCTTGTGGTCTTGCTTTCACCCCACTTCAGTTCCTCTCGTCTTGGATTTAACAACCAGCCTATCACCATGGCTTAAAATAGTAAAAAGAAGGCACTTTTTAAAAAAGGCATTTCCCCTGCTTTTGGCTACCAAACCCTACCTTAGTATCTGCATGTGTTTCTTGCCTTCCTGTGCTCAGAGGCCCTGATCACTCCACTCTTTTCCAGAGACCGAGGCAAAGGCCCTTTTGAAGGAACGGCAGAAGAAAGACAATCACAACCTAAGTAAGCCAGAGAGCGTGTGCATTGCCCGGGTGCTGTGCAGGCCTGCCTCACCCCGAGTCCTGGCCCCCCATGGGGAACTCCTTCCCTGCAACAGCCTCCCAACTCCCTACTTTCTGTCTCTTCCATTTTTGGCTAATTGACAACTCTTTCTCCCACTCTTTCTTCCTCTCCTCCCCTCTCCAAAGTTGAGCGTCGCAGGCGATTCAACATTAACGACAGGATCAAGGAACTGGGCACTCTCATCCCTAAGTCCAGTGACCCGTGAGTCTGGGCTGGGACCCTCAGGCCAGCGGGAGGTGGGGCAGGCGTCCCATGCTACTAAAATTGTGCCTTGGTGGGCTCACCAGGCAGTCTCGGCCCAGGCATTTCTCCTCTGTCTGGTTCTTTCTCAGCCTGAGCAGGGTTGCAGACCCTCACTATGTCAGCACCTAAAATTTTAGGCACATAATGTTATGGTCTGTGTGCCCCATCTGGTCCCCGTAGGATATATGCACCTACTTTTCTGTTCACTTAGTACTTCCTTTTTTTTTTTCTTTTTTTTGAGATGGAGTCTCACGCTGTCACCCAGGCTGGAGTGCAGTGGTGCAATGGTACTTCCTTTATTTATTCAAGATTTATTTATTGGCCGGGTGTGGTGGCTCATGCCTGTAATCCCAGCACTTTGGGAGGCCAAGGCGGGGTCGATCACCTAAGGTCAGGAGTTTCAGACTAGCCTGGCCAACATGATGAAACCCCGTCTCTACTAAAAAATACAAAAATTAGCCAGGTGCAGTGGCTCACACTTGTAATCCTGGCACTTTGGGAGGCCAAGGCAGGCGGATCACGAGGTCAGGAGGTGAAGGCCAACATGGTGAAACCCTGTCTCCACTAAAAATAAAAAAAATTTAGCTGGGCGTGGTGGCACGCACCTGTAATCCCCGCTACTCGGGATGCTGAGGCAGGAGAATCACTTGAACCCGGGAGGTGGAGGTTGCAGTGAGCCAATATGGTGCCACTGCACTCCAGCCTGGGTGACAGAGCAAGACTTTGTCTCAAAAACAAAAAAAAAAAAAGATGGCCGGGTGCAGTGGCTCACGCCTGTAATCCCAGCACTTTGGGAGGCCGAGGCGGGTGGATCACAAGGTCAGGAGATTGAGACCATTCTGGCCAACATGGTGAAACCCCATTTCTATTAAAAATATAAAAATTAGCGGGGCGTGGTGGTGGGCACCTGTAATCCCAGCACTTGGGGAGGCCGAGACGGGTGGATCACCTGAGGTCAGGAGTTTGAGACCAGCCTGGCCAACATGGTGAAACCCCATCTCTACAAAAAATACAAAAAAAATTAGCTGGGCGTGGTGGCGTAGGCCTGTCATCTCAGCTACTCAGAAGGCTGAGGCAGGAGAATCGCTTGAACCTGAGAAGTGGAGGTTGTAGTGAGCCAAGATTGTGCCACTGCTCTCCAGCCTGGGTGACAGAGCGAGACTCCATCCCCCACCGCCCCGCAAAAAAAAAGGAAAAGAGAAAGATTTATTTTTTGAACCTCTGGTTTGTGCCAGGTACCATATTAGGCCCTAAAGATACCAGAGGGAACAAAACAGACCTCATGAAACTGATGTTTTAGTGGGGGCAGACAAATAGTAAATAAGTAAACATCCATGAGATCCATTATGATGAGTGTTATGAGAAGAATAAAGACTGGAAGGAAAATGGGAGAATGTTGGGGAGGGTTAGTTTGGGATAAGGAAGGTGAGGACAGGGCAGGCCCCAACTGACAAGGAAACGTTTGAATAAAGAGCCTAAGGAGGCAAGGCGGGGAGCCGCATGGGTGTCTGGGGGTAAGAGTATTCAAGGCAGAGGGCACGGCTGGGATTGATGCCCTGAGATGGGAGTGGTTTTCCATATTCTAGGAGCACTGAGAGACCAATGTGGCTGTAGTGAGATCAATCGGAGGGACATAGGGAAGAGAGGAATCCTAAGGGGTCAGGTCAGAGACGGCTTCCAGGGTTTGGAGTGTGATGGGGCACCATTGTAAGATTCCAGGCGGGAAGTTTTCCTCTGGATACTCCATACCTTTGAAAGACCCCAGCCTCAAGTTCTAAGCATGTGGTGGGAGGCTCCCACCTGGTGCAATCCCCGCCTCAGCTCCTGAGAAACTCCTCATGTGGCATTTCCTGCTTGCCTCCCACTTGGGCCCCACAGGGAGATGCGCTGGAACAAGGGCACCATCCTGAAGGCCTCTGTGGATTATATCCGCAAGCTGCAGAAGGAGCAGCAGCGCTCCAAAGACCTGGAGAGCCGGCAGCGATCCCTGGAGCAGGCCAACCGCAGCCTGCAGCTCCGAATTCAGGTTTGAAAAGAGGAGATGGTGGTGGGGGAAGAGGGGGAGAGCTTCCTGCAGGTGGAGGCAGAGAGAGAGCAGGCCAGGGTTTCCCTTCCTGGCATACTTGGGGGATCCCTGGGCTTCCCAGATCACACGATGATGATAGTGATAATGATAAATAATAATCATAATATTAACAAGGATAATAATATTGCTAATGTACATAGCATTTATCTTGTGCTCTGTACTGTGACAAGAGCTTTATATCCACTAACTTATTCAATCCTCAGAATTCTATGAGATAGGGGCCATTATTTTATTTATTTATTTATTTATTTTTGAGATGGAGTTTCGCTCGTTGCCCAGGCTGGAGTGCAATGGCGCAATCTCGGCTCACCGCAACCTCCGCCTCCCGGGTTCAAGCAATTCTCCTGTCTCAGCCTCCTGAGTAGCTAGGATTATAGGCATGCACCACCACACCCAGCTAATTTTTGTATTTTTAGTAGAGATGGGGTTTCTCCATGTTGGTCAAGCTGGTCTCGAACTCCTGACCTCAGGTGATCCACCTGCCTCGGCCTCCCAAAGTGATTACAGGCGTGAGCCACCGCGCCCAGCCTAGGGGCCATTATTATATACCCACTTTACAGTTTGCGACTCTGAAGCTTCAGAGATGTTAAGCACCTTGCCTAAAGTTTTGGAACTAGTGAGTAGCAGAAGCTGAATTCCAACCCAGGGAACCTACCCTTTTCAACCTTTATACTCCTCTGCCTCTGAGGGACTCTGAACCCTACTTATCCTGCACCCAACCCCTATTTTTTACAGGAACTAGAACTGCAGGCCCAGATCCATGGCCTGCCAGTACCTCCCACTCCAGGGCTGCTTTCCTTGGCCACGACTTCGGCTTCTGACAGCCTCAAGCCAGAGCAGCTGGACATTGAGGAGGAGGGCAGGCCAGGCGCAGCAACGTTCCATGTAGGGGGGGGACCTGCCCAGAATGCTCCCCATCAGCAGCCCCCTGCACCGCCCTCAGATGCCCTTCTGGACCTGCACTTTCCCAGCGACCACCTGGGGGACCTGGGAGACCCCTTCCACCTGGGGCTGGAGGACATTCTGATGGAGGAGGAGGAGGGGGTGGTGGGAGGACTGTCGGGGGGTGCCCTGTCCCCACTGCGGGCTGCCTCCGATCCCCTGCTCTCTTCAGTGTCCCCTGCTGTCTCCAAGGCCAGCAGCCGCCGCAGCAGCTTCAGCATGGAAGAGGAGTCCTGATCAGGCCTCACCCCTCCCCTGGGACTTTCCCACCCAGGAAAGGAGGACCAGTCAGGATGAGGCCCCGCCTTTTCCCCCACCCTCCCATGAGACTGCCCTGCCCAGGTATCCTGGGGGAAGAGGAGATGTGATCAGGCCCCACCCCTGTAATCAGGCAAGGAGGAGGAGTCAGATGAGGCCCTGCACCTTCCCCAAAGGAACCGCCCAGTGCAGGTATTTCAGAAGGAGAAGGCTGGAGAAGGACATGAGATCAGGGCCTGCCCCCTGGGGATCACAGCCTCACCCCTGCCCCTGTGGGACTCATCCTTGCCCAGGTGAGGGAAGGAGACAGGATGAGGTCTCGACCCTGTCCCCTAGGGACTGTCCTAGCCAGGTCTCCTGGGAAAGGGAGATGTCAGGATGTTGCTCCATCCTTTGTCTTGGAACCACCAGTCTAGTCCGTCCTGGCACAGAAGAGGAGTCAAGTAATGGAGGTCCCAGCCCTGGGGGTTTAAGCTCTGCCCCTTCCCCATGAACCCTGCCCTGCTCTGCCCAGGCAAGGAACAGAAGTGAGGATGAGACCCAGCCCCTTCCCCTGGGAACTCTCCTGGCCTTCTAGGAATGGAGGAGCCAGGCCCCACCCCTTCCCTATAGGAACAGCCCAGCACAGGTATTTCAGGTGTGAAAGAATCAGTAGGACCAGGCCACCGCTAGTGCTTGTGGAGATCACAGCCCCACCCTTGTCCCTCAGCAACATCCCATCTAAGCATTCCACACTGCAGGGAGGAGTGGTACTTAAGCTCCCCTGCCTTAACCTGGGACCAACCTGACCTAACCTAGGAGGGCTCTGAGCCAACCTTGCTCTTGGGGAAGGGGACAGATTATGAAATTTCATGGATGAATTTTCCAGACCTATATCTGGAGTGAGAGGCCCCCACCCTTGGGCAGAGTCCTGCCTTCTTCCTTGAGGGGCAGTTTGGGAAGGTGATGGGTATTAGTGGGGGACTGAGTTCAGGTTACCAGAACCAGTACCTCAGTATTCTTTTTCAACATGTAGGGCAAGAGGATGAAGGAAGGGGCTATCCTGGGACCTCCCCAGCCCAGGAAAAACTGGAAGCCTTCCCCCAGCAAGGCAGAAGCTTGGAGGAGGGTTGTAAAAGCATATTGTACCCCCTCATTTGTTTATCTGATTTTTTTATTGCTCCGCATACTGAGAATCTAGGCCACCCCAACCTCTGTTCCCCACCCAGTTCTTCATTTGGAGGAATCACCCCATTTCAGAGTTATCAAGAGACACTCCCCCCTCCATTCCCACCCCTCATACCTACACCCAAGGTTGTCAGCTTTGGATTGCTGGGGCCAGGCCCCATGGAGGGTATACTGAGGGGTCTATAGGTTTGTGATTAAAATAATAAAAGCTAGGCGTGTTTGATGCGCTTTTAACTTTGGCAAAGAGTCTCCTGTCCTTGTTTTACACTGTGCAGTGAACATAGCCCATGCAGGCCAAGAGGGATAAAAGTCCTTGGGAGAAACAGATTCCAGAAGGATGGATAAAAGAATTTAGAAAGGAAGAGGGCATGGAGGAAGACAATATGCAAACAAAAGACAGTATTTTTAAAGACCAATCACCAGGCACAATTTTAACTGCTGCAAGTGTTTCATCTAATTTATTTCTCTAAAGGGATGTTAGTCAGAACATGCTGCTTCTTACTTCCATTTGGTCTTTGAAGAAGCTGAGGAATAGAATTGAACTGTTCTGAAGATATGCAAGCCTGTAAATGGGTGAGGCGGTAAAACAGTAAAGTCAGGTGAGTGAGGGCTCGATTGAAAAATGCCACTGAGGGCAGAGGGGGAAAGAAGCTTTTCTTGCAAATCCACTTTTGAAACTGATAAAGAAGTCTATGAGGATATTTCCTGGCAGACAACAGAGGTATTTAAGATGGTGGAAAGGACAAAGACAAATATCTGAAAGGCAGAGGAACAAGCAACCAACTGAATTTTGGAACAGATGTTGAGATTTTGGGAGAATTTAAATGAACACAAGTATCTTCTTGAAGGCTGGGAAAAAGTATTTTCCCGCAATTTCTCAACCAGACACTGACTCCTAGAACAAGCATCAGGCCTGGTCCCTCCATTTCCCCCACCAGACTGTGACCTCTGAGGGCTGGAACTGGGCTTGGTCACCGTGACTACCCTAGACTGTGACCACCATACTTGTTATCTCTTTTTTTTTTTTTTGAGACAATCTCGCCCTGTCACCCAGGCTGGAGTGCAGTGGCATGATCTCGGCTCACTGCAACCTCTGCCTCCCAGGTTCAGGTAATTATCTTGTCTCAACCTCTCTAGTTGCGATTACAGGCATCTGCCACCACACCCAGCTAATTTTTTGTGTTTTTAGTAGAGACGGGGTTTCACCATGATGGCCAGGCTGGTTTCGAACTCCTGACCTCAAGTGATCTGCCTGCCTCGGCCTCCCAAAGTGCTGGGATTAGAGGTGTAAGCCACCACACCCGACCCTTGCTAGCTCTTTCTAACCTATCACACTGCTACCCCTCCAAGCCTGGTTGCTGAATCTCTGTAACCAGACTGATGGCTCCCTAATAACCTTTATTTTTTCTCCTCAACTTTGCTGTACTCTCTCTCTTTTTTTTTTTTTTTTTTTTTTGAAACGGAGTCTCACTCTATTGCCCAGACTGGAGTGCAGTGGCATGATCTCTGCTAACTGCAACCTCTGCCTCCCAGGTTCAAGCGATTCACGTGCCTCAGCCTCCCAAGTACCTGGGATTACAGACGCGCAACCACGCCCAGCTAATTTTTGTATTTTTAGTAGAGACAGGGTCTCACCATGTTGCCCAGGCTAGTCTCAAACTCCTGGCCTCAAGTGATATACCTGCCGTGGCCTCCCAAAGTGGGATTACAGGCATAAACCACCATACCTGGCCCTATACTCTCTTATTTTATTTTATTTTATTTTATTTTATTTATTTATTTATTTATTTTGAAACAGGGTTTCCCTCTGTCACCCAGGCTGGGGTGCAATGGCGCGATCTCAGCTCACTGCAACCTCCGCCTCCCGGGTTCAAGCGATTCTCCTGCCTCAGCCTCCTGAGTACCTGGGATTACAGGCATGTGCCACCACACCTGGCAAATTTTAGGTACTTTTCTTTTTTTTTATATGGAGTCTCGCTCTTTTGCCCAAGCTGGAGTGCAGTGGCACGGTCTCGGCTCACTGCAACCTCCACCTCCCAGGCTCAAGCAATTCTCCTGCCTCAGCCTCCCGAGTAGCTGGGATTACAGGCACCTGTCACCGCGCCTGGCTAATTTTTGTATTTTTATTAGAGACAGGATTTCACCATGTTGGTCAGGCTGGTCTCAAACTCCTGACCTCGTGATCGCCCACTTCGGCCTCCCAGAGTGCTGGAATTACAGGGGTGAGCTACTGTGCCCGGCCTTTTTTTTTTTTTTTTAAAGACAGAGTCTCGCTCTGTCGTCCAGGCTGGAGTGCAATGGTGCGATCTCGGCTCACTGCAACCTCTGCCTCCCAGGTTCAAGTGATTCTCCTGCCTCAGCCTTGCGAGTAGCTGGGATTACAGACATGTGCCACTACTGCTCAGCTAATTTTTGTATTTTTAGTAGAGATGGGGTTTCACCATGTTGGCCAGGCTGGTCTTGAACTCCTGACTTCAAATGATCCGCCTGCCTTGGCCTCCCAAATTGCTGGGATTACAGACATGAGCCACGGCCCCTGGCCCAATCTTTTGTACTTTTAGCAGAGACCAAGGTTTCACCATGTTGGTCAGGCTGGTCTCGCATTCGTGACCTCAGATGATTCGCCCGCCTCGGCCTCCCAAATTGTTGGGATTACAGGCATGAGCCACCGTGCCTGGCCTCTTCTTTATTTTTTAAACGTAACATGTAATGCCCAGAGGTTTTTTTTTGGGGGGGGAAGGGGGTACAGGGTCTCACTGTCACCCAGACTGGAGTGCAGTGGCATGATCTTGGCTCACCACAACTTCCAACTCCCAGGTTCAAGCGATTCTCCTGCCTCAGCCTCCCGAGTAGCTGGGATTACAGACACATGCCACTACTGCCCGGCTAATTTTTGTATTTTTAGTAGAGATGGGTTTTCACCATGTTGGCCAGGCTGGTTTTGAACTCCTGATCTCAAATGATCCAACTGCCTCGGCCTCCCAAAGTGCTGGGATTACAGGTGTGAGCCACTGCACCTGGCCTCCCAGAGGTGTGTTTTTTTGTTTTTGTTTTTGTTTTTGTTTGAGGCGAAGTCTCACTCTGTCGCCCAGGCTGGAGTGCAATGGTGGGATCTTGGCTCATTGCAACCTCCGGCTCCTGGGTTCAAGCCATTCTCCTGCCCTAGCCTCCCAAGTAGCTGGGACTACAGGCGCACACCACCACGCCCGGCTAATTTTTTTGTATTTTTAGTAGAGATGGGGTTTCACCACGTTAGCCAGGATGGTCTTGATCTCCTGACCTCGTGATCCACCCGCCTCAGCCTCCCAAAGTGCTGGGATTACAGGCGTGAGCCACCGTACCTGGCCTCCCAGAGGTTTTTTAACAGTTTTTCTGAAATAATTTTAGATTTACAGAAGAGTTGCATCACCATTAGTGAGCTTTCATACCTGTCACCCACCTCCCCCTAATGTTAACATTCTACGTAACCATGGCACATTTATCAGTGCTAAGAAAATAACATTGGGCCGGGCGTGGCGGCTCACGCCTGTAATCCCAGCACTTTGGCAGGCTGAGGCAGGCGGATCACAAGGTCAGGAGATCGAAACCGTCCTGGCTAACACGGTGAAACCCCGTCTCTACTAAAAATATAAAAAATTAGCTGGGTGTGGTGGCGAGCACCTGTAGTCCCAGCTACTCGGGAGGCTAAGGCAGGAGAATGGCATGAACCCAGGAGGCTGGCAGTGAGCCGAGATTGCGCCACTGCACTCCAGCCTGGGCGATAGAGCGAGACTCCATCTCAAAAAAAATAAAAAATAAAAAAAAAAATAAGATTGGTAGAGTACTATTAACTCAACTTCAGACTTTATTTGGATTTCACTGGCTTTTCCACTAACGTCTTTTCTGTGCTAGGATCCAAGTAAGTATGCCGTACTACTTATTCCTGTGAAACAAATGACCACAATCTTAGTGGCTCCAAACAATACACATAAATTATCTCTCAGGTTTTGCAAGTCAGGAATCCAGGCTGGGTTCAGCTGGGTCCTCAGCTTCAGCCTCTCTCACTAAGGCACAATCGAGGAAGGAGTTGGGCAGGATTGAGGACTTCTCTGAACGTGCGACCGGGGAAGGATCTGCTCTGTGCTCCCATATTTGTTGGCAGGATCCGGTTCTCTGCAGCCTGTTGGACAGAGGGCCCCAGTTCCTTGCTGGCTGTTAGCCAGAGGTGCCCACCATCCACACCATGTGTGCCTTTCCATGCAGTGGCTCACAGCATGGTAGTTTGCTTCATCCAAGCCAGCGAGAGAAAGAGTTGGCTAGCAAAACAGAGGTCACATCTCTTGTGATCTAATTATGGAAGTGATATCCCCTCAAGGTTGAGGCATTCTGTTACTTGCAAAGAAGTTACTAAAGGGGAGGGGATTACACAAGACCAAGAATATAGCAGGCAGGGAGCACTGGTTGAGGGCATCTCAGAAGGCACCTACCATAGATACTATGTTGTACTAAGTGGTCCTATCTTCTTGGTTTTTGCAGACGGTTTCTCAGTCTGTCTACTGAGAAGTCCTACAAATCATGCTATCCCAGAAACAATGAGCACATCTAGTGGCCAGATCTTGGTTTCTTTTTTGTTGTTGTTGTTGAGACAGAGTTTCACCCTTGTCACCCAGGCTGGAGTGCAATGGCGCAATCTTGGCTCACTGCAACCTCCGCCTCCTGGGTTCAAGCGATTCTCCTGCCTCAGCCTCCTGAGTAGCTGGGACTACAGGCGCTGCCCACCACGCCTGACTACTTTTTGTATTTTTAGTAGAGACAGGGTTTCGCCGTGTTGGCCAGGCTGGTCTTGAACTCCTGACCTCAGGTGATCTGCCCATCTTGGCCTCGCAAAGTGCTGGGATTACAGGTCTGAGCCACCGCGCCTGGCCTGGACCTTGGTTTCTAAATGCCATTCTCCAATAAAAGAAACCAGTGCTCCTGGAAAAATGGCTGATTTTCAGTCTGGGGTGGAGAGAAATACAAGATGAGCCTGGAGCATCCTGTAGTGACAGAAAGTAAGGAAATGCCTAAAACCAATGATGGAGGCTAGGCATGGTGGCTCACACCTGTAATCCCAGCACTTTGGGAGGCCAAGACGCATGGATCACCTGGGGTCAGGAGTTTCAGACCAGCCTGGCCAACATGGTGAAACCCCGTCTCTACTAAAAATACAAAAAATTAGCCGGGTGTGGTGGGGGGCACCTGTAATCCCAGCTACTCAGGAGGCTGAGGCAGGAGAATTGCTTGAACCTGGGAGGCAGAGGTTGCAGTGAGCCGAGATCATGCCATTGCACTCCAGCCTGGGCAACAAGAGCAAAACTCCATCTCAAAAAAAAAAAAAAAAAAACAAACAAACAAAAAAGCAATGATTGCAGCATGTCATAAGATACAGAAGCCAACCTGAAAGAACTCCTGGTCAGGTGCGGTGGCTCACGTCTGTAATCCCAGCACTTTGGGAGGCCAAGGTGGGCGGATCATGAGGTCAAGAGATCAAGACCATCCTGGCCAACATGGTGAAACCCCGCCTCTACTAAATATACACAAATTAGCTGGGTGTGGTGGCACGCGCCTGTAGTTCTAGCTACTCGGGAGGCTGAGGCAGGAGAATTGCTTCAACGTGGGAGGCGGAGGTTGCAGTGAGCCGAGATCTCGCCACTGCACTCCAGCCTGGCAACAGAGTGAGACTCCGTCTCGAAAAAAAAAAGAAAAACAACTCCCAATGGCCAAAGCTGGAACAATTTGAGCAAGAATAACAGAAAGGGTAATATTAGATTATAGTTCAAAAAATGAACATCCATGATTCCATACTTATTTATATAAGTGATATGATTGAATAAATAAATGCTGAGAGCCAGACGAGGTGGTGTGTGCCTGTAGTCCCAGATACTTGGGAGGCTGAGGCAGGAGAATGGCTTGAGCTCAAGAGTTTGAGGCTGTAATGCACCATGATCACTCCTGTGAATAGCCCCTGAACTCTAGCCTGGATGACACTGGGAGATGCTGTCTCTAATAAATACATGAATGGTGGAGAAGGGTCAACTCTTTCTTACACAAGAATTCCAAATAATAAATATAGAAGGAATGAGGGAAGTAGAAAATTCCCATTAGAATACCACAGTAATAATTGCTGCAGACAAGATCCATTAAATGCTAAAACTAGTGGGCAAAACTTTAAGGTGAAACACAGTTGCACATCCTTAAAGTATCACCTTCAGGCTGGGCACAGCAGCTCACGCCTGTAATCCCAACAAAAGGCTGAGGTGGGAGGATCGCTTAAGCTGAGGAGTTCCAGACCAGCCTAAGCAACATGGTGAAACCCCATGTCAAAAAATATATATTTTTTTAATTTTTATTTTTATTTTGAGACAGAGCCTCGCTCTGTTGCCCAGGCTGGAGTGCAGTGGCGCAATCTCAGCTCACTGCAACCTCCACCTCCTGGGTTCAAGCAGTTCTGCCTCAGCCTCTCGAGTAGCTGGGATTACAGGCACGTGCCACCACACCCGGCATGGGGTTTCACCATATTGGCCAGGCTGGTCTTGAACTCCTGACCTCAAGTGATCCACCCGCCTCAGCCTCCCAATGTGTTGGGATTACAGGCGTGAGCCACCGTGCTCAGCCAAAAAATATATTATTTTTAAAAAGTATAGGCCAGGCGCGGTGTCTCATGGCTATAATCCCAGCACTTTGGGAGGCTGAGGCAGGCGGATCACAAGGTCAGGAGATCAAGAACATCCTGGCTAACAAGGTGAAACCCCGTCTCTACTAAAAAAAATTTTTAAAAAATTAGCCGGGAGTGGTGGCAGGCGCCTGTAGTCCCAGCTACTCGGGAGGCTGAGGCAGGAGAATGGTGTGAACTCGGGAGGCGGAGCTTGCAGTGAGCAGAGATAGCGCCACTGCACTCCAGCCTGGGTGACAGAGCGAGACTCCGTCTCAAAAAAAAAAAATTATCACCTCCAAAATATGTATTAGATATCTTATTCTCATCCCCTCAAAAGGTGGAACCTAATTCCCCTCCTCCTCTTGAATGTGAGTTGGACTTAGAGACTTGCTTCTAATGAAGAGTATAGGCCAAGCGCAGTGGCTCACGCTTATAATCCCAGCACTTTAGGAGTCCGAGGAGGGCAGATCACTTGAGGTCAGGAGTTCAGGACCAGGCTGGCCAACACGGCGAAACCCCGTCTCTACTAAAAACACAAAAGTTAGCTAAGCGTGGTGGCACATGCCTGTAGTCCCAGCTACTTGGGAGGCTGAGACAGGAGAACTGCTTGAACCTGGGAGGCAGAGGTTGCAGTGAGCCAAGATCGCACCACTGCACTCCAGCCTTGGTGACAGAGCGAGACTCTGTCTCAAAAACAAAAAACAAAAAACAAAAAACGGCCGGGTGCAGTGGCTCACACCTGTAATCCCAGCACTTTGGGAGGCCGAGGCAGGCAGATCACAAGGTCAAGAGATCGAGACCATCCTGGCCAACATGGTAAAACCATGTCTCTAAGAAAAATACAAAAATTAGCTGGTGTGGTGGCATGCGCCTGTAGTCCCAGCTACTCGGGAGGCTGAAGCAGGAGAATCGAGCCAGGATGGTCTCAATCTCCTGACCTCATGATCCACCGGCTTGGGCCCCCCAAAGTGCTGGAATTATAGGCGTGAGCCATTGTGCCAGGCCGCCCAGCTAATTTTTGTATTTTTAGTAAAGATGGGGTTTCACCATGTTGGCCAGGCTGGTCTTGAACTCCTTACCTCAGGTGATCCACCCGCCTCGGCCTCCCAAAGTTCTAGGATTACAGGTGTGAGCCACCGTGCCTGGCACTGAATTCCTTCCTTCCTTCCTTCCTTCCTTCCTTCCTTCCTTCCTTCCTTCCTTCCTTCCTTCCTTCCCTTCTTTTTTTTTCTTTTTTCTTTCTTTTTTTTTTTTTGAGACAGTCTCGCTCTGTTGGCCAGGCTGGAGTGCAGTGGTACAATCTCGGCTCACTGCAACCTCCGTCTCCCAGGCTCAAGCAATTCTCCTGCCTCAGCCTCCCGAGTAGCTGGGATTACAGGCGTGTGCAACCACGCCCAGCTAATTTTTGTATTTTTAGTAGAGACGAGGTTTCACCATGTTCTCCATGGTGGTCTTGAACTCCTGACCTCAGGTAATCTGCCCGCCTCGGCCTCCCAAAGTGCTGGGATTACGGGCATGAACCACCGCGCCCGGCCGGGAGCTCTTTGAGACAAACAAACAAAAAAACAAAAAAAACTGATAAATAGTTCACTGTTATTACATTCTTTTTATTTAAAAAACTATTTTGTTCTACTTATCTTTCACCAAATTTGTCTGGAAACCTGGTGCATGATTTTCTGCATTTGTAATTATTGGTTTTCATTTTTTTTTTTTTTGAGACAGAGTCTCACTCTGTCACCCAGGCTGGAGTGCAATGGCTCGTTCTCGGCTCACTGCAACCTCCACCTCCTGGGTTCAAGCAATTCTCCCACCTCGGCCTCCTGAGTAGCTGGGATTACAGGCACCCACCATCATGCCCGGCTAATTTTTTGTATTTTTGTAGAGATGGGGTTTCACCATGTTGGGCAGGCTGGTCTCGAACTCCTGACCTCAGGAGATCCACCTGCCTTGGCCTCCCAAAGTGCTGGGATTACAGGTGTGAGCCACCGCGCCCAGCCCAATTTTCAACCAAGATGGAATAATGGGGACAGAATTTGCCCTCCTGCCTGAAACAAACAAAAATCCAGATGAATAAAATGGAAAAACAAATCTCACGATAGTGGACATCAGATTAGCTGAGTGTGGTGGCTAATCTGGAAGCCTCAGCTATTTGGAAGGCTGAGGCGGTAGGATTGCTTGAGCCCAGGAGGTCAAGGCTGCAGTGACCCGTGATTGCGCCACTGCACTCCATCCTGGGTGAGAGTGAGACCCTGTCTCAAAAACAGAACAACAACAAAAAGATACTGGACATTAGACAATGAAGGAAAGTGATCCCTGAGAGATGGGAAACAAACAAGGTAAGCATGATGGTTGCCCAGCTTACTGCCTGGAGATGGAGAAGGCCAATTCAGGATGAACCTTGAAAATACGCTAAGTGAAATTTGCCAGACACAGGACAAATATTGATTCCACTTATATGTGGTATTTAGAATAGGCAAGTTACTAGAGGAAGAAAGTAGAATAGAGGTTACCAGGGCCTTGGGGATGGGGAAAATGGAGAGTTATTGCTTAATGGGTACAGAGTTTCTGTTTGGGATGATGAAAAAGTTCTGGAAATAGACAGTGGCGTTGGTTACACAACACTGTGAATGTACTTAATGCTCCTGAATTGTACACTTACAGATGGTTAAAACGATAAATTTTATGTCATGCACATTTTACCTCAATTTTAAAAAAGGATAAAGGAGAATATTACAAACAAATTTATGCCCATACTTCTCACAACAAATTCCTTGCAAGACACAAAATACCAATGCCCACTCAGGAAGAAATAGATAACTTGACTAGCCCTATATATATTAAATAAATTGAATTTGTAGTAAAACACATTCCCCTGAAGGAAATTCCAGGCCCAGATGGCTTCCTTGGGGAACTGTACCATATATATATAGAAGAAATAATATGAATTCTGCACAAACTCTTCCAGAAAATTTAAGAGGAGGGGATACTTTCCAACTCATTCTATGAAACTAGCATTACTCTGATACAAAACCACAGAAAGTCATTACAAGAAAAGAAAGCTATATGTAACTATCCTTCATGAACACAGATGCAAAAGTTCTTAACATTTTAGTAAATCTTGTTTTTTTGCTTTTTTTTTTCTTCTTCTTTTGGAGACAGAGGCTCACTCTGCTGCCCAGGCTGAAGTGCAGTGGCGCAAACTTGGCTCACTGCAACCTCTGCCTCCTGGGTTCAAGCGATTCTCCTGCCTCAGCCTCCCTAGTAGCTGGGATTGCAGGCATATGCCACCACGCCCAGCTAATTTTTGTATTTTTAGTAGAGACGGGGTTTCACCATGTTGGCCAGGCTGGTCTTGAACTCCTGATCTCAGATGATCCACCCGCCTCTACCTCCAAAAGTGCTAGGATTACAGGCGTAAGCCACGTGCCCAGCCCATTTTAGTAAATCAAATCCAACAATATATACAAAAGAAAATACATCAAGATGAATTTGAATTTATTCCAAGAATGCAAGAAAAACCATCTCAAGAGATGCAAAGAAAAGCGTTTGACAAAATCCACCATCCATTCCTGATTTAAAAAAAACTCTTGGCCGGGTGCAGTGGCTCACGCCTGTAATCCCTGCACTTTGGGAGGCCAAGGCGGGTGGATCACCTGAGGTTAGGAGTTTGAGACCAGCCTAGCCAACATGATGAAACCCCACCTCTACTAAAAATACAAAAAATTAGCTGGACGTGGTGGCGTGCACCTGTAATCCCAGCTATTCAGGAGGATGAGGCAGGAGGATCACTTGAACCCGGGAGGTGGAGGTTGCAGTGAGCCTAGATCGGACCACTGCACTCCAGCCTGGGCAAGAAGAGCAAAACTCTGTCTCAGAAAAAAAACCAAAAACCAAAAACCAAAAAAACCTCTCAGAAAACTAGAAATGAAAGAAGGTAATATCTCCTCCATATGATAAAGAGCAATTACAAATAACCTATAGTAATGTCAAACTCAATGGTGAAAGACTGCCTTTCCTCCTAACATAACATTACAAACAGGCCAACATGTCCTTTTTTTTTTTTTTTTTTTTTTTTTTGAGACGGAGTCTCACTCTGTGGTGGCCCAGACTGGAGTGCAATGGCGCGATCTCAGCTCTCTGCCTCCCAGGTTCAAGTGATTCTCCTGCCTCAGCCTCCCAAATAGCTGGCATTACAGGCGCCCGTCACCATGCCCGACTAATTTTTGTATTTTCTTAGTAGAGATGGGGTTTCACCATGTTGGCCAGGCTGGTCTCGAATTCCCGACCTCAGGTGATCCACCCATCTCAGCCTCCCAAAGTGCTGGGATAACAGGCGTGAGCCACCGTGCCTGGCTCTTTTTTTTCTTTTTTTTTTTTCTTTTTGAGACAGGGTCTGGCTCTTGGCTCACTGCAACCTCCGTCTTCTGGGCTCAAGCATTCCTCCCACCTAAGCCTCCTGAGTAGCTGGGACTTACAGGCGCACGCAACCATGCCTTGCTAATTTTTGTATATTTTGTAGAGATGAGGTTTCACCATGTTGCCCGGGCTGGTTTCTAACTCCTGGCCTCAAGTGATCCACCTGCCTCAGCCTCCCAAAGTGCTGGGATTACTGGCGCGAGCCACTGCACCCAGCTAATTGTATTTCTATAAACTAGCAGTGACCCATAGGAAATTGAAACCTTAAAATAACATGTATGGGCTGGGCATGGTGGCTCACGCCTGTAATCCCAGCATTTTGGGAGGCCCAGGCAGATGGATCACTTGGGGTCGGGAGTTTGAGACCAGCCTGGCCAACACAGTGAAACCCCCATTTCCACTAAAAATGCAAAAATTAGGCCAGGAGGGGTGGCTCACACCTGTAATCCTAACACTTCGGGAGGCCAAGGCAGGTGGATCACCAGAGGTCAGGAGTTCAAGACCAGCCTGGCCAACATGGTGAAACCCCATCTCGCTTGAACCCCGGAGGAAGAGGTTGCAGTAAGCCAAGATGGCGTCACTGCACTCCAGCCAAGGCAACAGAACAAAACTCCATCTCAAAAAAAAAAAAAAAAAAAGGCCAAGTGCAGTGGCTCATGCCTGTAATCCTAGCACTTTGGGAGGCTGAGGTGGATGGATCACGAGATCAGGAGTTGGAGACCAGCCTGGTCAATATGGTGAAACCCTGTCTCTACTAAAAATAAAAAATAACTAGCCCGGTATGGTGGTGTGTGCCTGTAGTCCCAGCTATTCAGGAGGCAGAGGTGAGAGAATCGCTTGAACCTGGGAGGCAGAGGTTTCAGTGAGCCGAGATTGTGCCGCTGCACTCTAGCCTGGGCAATAGAGGGAGACTCTGTCTCAAAAAACAAACAAACGAAAAATTAGCCAGGCGTGGGGGCATGAGCCTGTGGTCCCAGCTACTCAGGAGGCTGAGGCAGGAGAATCCCTTGAATGCGGGAGGCAGAGGCTGCAGTGAGCCGAGATGGTGCCACTGTACTCCAGCCTGGGTGAGAGAGTGAGACTCTGTCTCAAAAAATAAAAGAAAAAAAATAAAAAAAGAAAGAAAGAAATTAAATAATTCCCAAATGAATAGACACACCATGTTTATGAAGCAGGAGACTCAATATTATTAAGATACCAGTTCTCCTGACGTTGATCTATAGAATCAATGTAATCCCAGTCAAATCCCAGCGGATATTTTTGTAGAATTGACAACCTGATTCTTTTTTTTTTTTTTTTTTTTTGAGACGGAGTTTCGCTCTTGTTGCCCAGGCTGGAGTGCAATGGCGCAATCTTGGCTCACTGCAACCTCTGCCTCCCAGGTTCAAGCAATTCTCCTGCCTCAGCCTCCCGAGTAGCTGGGATTACAGGCATGCACCACCACGCCCAGCTAATTTTGTATTTTTAGTAGAGACGGGGTTTCTCCACGTTGAGGCTGGTCTCGAACTCCTGACCTCAAGTGATCCGCCTGCCTCGGCCTCCCAAAGTGCTGGGATTACAGGCGTGAGCCACCGCACCCGGCCGACAACCTGGTTCTAAAAGTCATATGGAAATGTAAAAAAACTAAAACAACTTTGAAAAACAAGAACAAATTTGGAGGACCTGCACTTCCTGACTTCATGACTTATTATAAAGCTACAATAATCAAAATATTGTGGTATCTGTGTCAAGACAGCCAATTATATCAATGAAAGAGAACAGAAACCCCAGAAATAGACCCACACATATATGTTCAATTGATTTTTGAAAAAAGTGCTAAGTGCAGAATGGATATTCTTTTCAACAAATAATGTTGGAACAATTGGATAGCCATGTGCCCTCAATTTCTTTTTTTCTTTTTCTTTTTCTTTTTTTTTTTTTTTTTTTGTGGAAATGGAGTCTCGCTCTGTCGCCCAGGCTGGAGTGCAGTGGTGTGACTTCTGCTCACTGCTACCTCCACCTACCGGGTTCAAGCAATTCTTGTGCCTCTGCCTCCTGAGTAGCTGGGACTGCAGTCGCATGCCACCACGCCCAGCTAATTTTTGTATTTTTAGTAGAGATGGGGTTTCGCCATGTTGGCCAGGCTAGTCTCCAACATCTGGCCTCAAGCAATCCACCCGCCTCGGCCTCCCAAAGTGCTGGTATTACAGGATCCCTGAAGTTTTAACACTCATTGCCTCATAGGGGAGAGGATTGACTGAGAACAGCTGGGAAAGAACTGGGGTGATGTAAACATTCTTTTTTTTTTTTTTTTTGAGACAGAGTCTAGCTCTGTCGCCCAGGCTGGAGTGCAGTGACGCGATCTCAGCTTACTGCAACCTCCACCTCCTGGGTTCAAGCGATTCTCCTGCCTCAGCCTCCCGAGTAGCTGGGATTACAGGCACCCGCCAGCACACCCAGCTAATTTTTGTATTTTTAGTAGAGACGGTGTTTCAGTGTGTTGCCCAGGCTAGTCTTGAATTCCAGACCTCGTAATCTGCCCGCCTTGGACTCCCAAAGTGCTGGGATTACAAGTGTGAGCCCCCGCGCCCTGCTGATGTAAACATTCTATATCATGATAGGGGTAGGAGCTACTTGAGTGTATTCTTTTTTTTTTTTTTTTTTTAGAGACGGAGTCTCACTCTGTCACCCAGGCTGGAGTGCAGTGGCGCGATCTCGGCTCACTGCAAGCTCTGCCTCCCAGGTTCACGCCATTCTCCTGCCTCAGCCTCCCAAGTAGCTGGGACTATGGGCAGCCGCCACCACGCCCGGCTAATGTTTTGTATTTTTTTTTAGTAGAGATGGGGTTTCACCATGTTAGCCAGGATGGTCTCGATCTGACCTCGTGATCCGCCAGCCTCGGCCTCCCAAAGTGCTGGGATTACAGACGCGAACCACCACACCCGGCCAAGTGTATTCTTTATCAGGCTGCTGTGAATTTTGATTTGTGAATTTTACCACATGTAAATTTTACCTCAAAAATGCCTGTAAACAGGCTGGGCGCGGTGGCTCACGCCTGTAATCCCAGCACTTTGGGAGGCCGAGGCGGGCGGATCACGAGGTCAGGAGATCGAGACCATCCTGGCCAACACGGTGAAACCCCGTCTCTACTAAAAAAAATACAAAAAATTAGCCGGGCGTGGTGGCAGGCGCCTGTAGTCCCAGCTACTCGGGAGGCTGAGGCAGGAGAATGGCGTGAACCCAGGAGGCGGAGCTTGCAGTGAGCCGAGATTGCGCCACTGCACTCCAGCCAGCCTAGGCGACAGAGCAAGACTCTGTCTCAAAAAAAAAAAAAAAAAGAAAAAAAAAAGAAAAATGCCTGTAAACAATGGGTTGGGTATGCTGGCTCCCACCTGCAATCTGGGCACTTTGGGAGGCTGAGACAGGAGGATTGCTTCAGGCCAGGAGTTGGAGACAACCCTGGGGAACATAGTAAGGTCCCTGTCTCTACTATATATATATGTGTGTGTATATATATGTATGTGTGTGTATATATATATATGTATGTGTATATATAGTGTGTGTATATATATATACATATCTATCTATCTATCTATATATTTTTTGAGAGTCTGGCTCTTGTTGCCCAGGCTGGAGTGCAATGACGCAATCTTGGCTCACTGCAACCTCTGCCTCCTGGCTTCAAGCGATTCTCCTGCCTCAGCCTCCTGAGTAGCTGGGATTACAGGCGCCCGCCACCATGCCCAGCTAATTTCTGTATTTTAAGTAGAGATGGGGTTTCACCACGTTGGCCAGGCTGGTCTCGAACTCTTGACCTCAGGTGATCTGCCCACCTCAGCCTCCCAAAGTGCTGGGATTAAGGTGTGAGCCACCATGCCCGGCCTACAAATTTTTTTTTTTTTTGAGATGGAGTCTCACTCTGTCGCCCAGGCTGTAGTGCAGTGGTGCGATCTCGGCTCACTGCAACCTCCACCTCCCAGGTTCAAGCGATTCTCTTGCTTCAGCCTCCCAAGTAGCTGGGACTACAGGCACGTGCCACCAATCCCAGCTAATTTTTTGTGTTTTTAGTAGAGACGGGGTTTCACCGTGTTGGCCAGGATGGTCTCGATCTCCTGACCTCGTGATCCGCCCGCCTTGGCCTCCCAAAGTGCTGGGATTACAGGCGTGCGCCACCGCCCCCGGCCACAAAAAAATATTTTTTTTAAAATTAGCCAGGCGTGGTGGCATGTACCTGTAGTCCCCACTACATAAGAGGCTGAGGTGGGAGGATCGCTTGAGCCCAAGAGTTTGAGGCTGCGGTCAGCTGTGATCACACCACTGCACTCCAGCCTGGGTGACAAAGTGAGACCCTGTCTTAAAGAAAAAAAAAAAAAAGGTCTGGGAGGCTGAAGTATGAGAATTGCTTGAACCCAGGAGGTGGAAGTTGCAGTGAGCTGAGATCGTTCCACACTGCACTCCACCCTGGGTGACAGAGCAAGACGCTGTCTCTAAAAAAAATATATATATATATCTGTAAACAAATATTGTACTCTGGTAAGTAGATTTGCTTTTGTAGTGGTGTGGGTTAGGCAATTCTGAAAATTCCTTTGTGTAATCTAGGTTTGAGGAAACAAGTAATTAGGAATAATGGGAGTTAGATTACTTACTAAAAGAGTGACAAATATGGATGGGGAAAACAAAAGTTTACCCTGAAGTGTTGAATTGGAATTGGAGGTATCAGGATGATCTCATGGTTTTATATATAGACAGAGAAAGAGAGTTATGTTATAAAGAGAACTAGTGTGCATGTCTGTGTATGTGTCCCCTGTCTGTTCACTGAGAGGGCCTACAAACAGATATATCTCTAGCAATGAGCAATAAGCGCATCTAGGGTACAGATTTGGTTTCATTTTCATTTTTCTATTTTTCTTCTTTTTTTTTTTTTTTGAGATGAAGTCTCGCTCTGTCACCCAGGCTGGAGTGCAGTGGTGCGATCCCAGCTCACTGCAATCTCTGTCCCCCAGATTCAAGCAATTCTTGTGTCTCAGCGTCCCGAGCAGCTGGGACTACAGGTGTGTGCCACCGAGCCCGACTAATTTTTGTATCTTTAGTAGAGAGGGGGTTTCACCACGTTGCCCTGGCTGGTCTCAAACTCCTGGTCTCAAGTGATCCACCCACCTCGGCCTCCCAAAGTGTTGGGATTACAGGTGTGAGCCACCGCGCCCAGCCGGTTTTTCCATTTTAAATTATGTCTTGAAATAATTTCGGATTAATAGAATAGTTGCAGCTGGCCCGGTGGCTCATGCCTGTAATTCTAGCACTTTGGGAGGCTGAGGCAGGCTGATTGCTTGAGCTCAGGAGTTCAAGACCAGCCTAGGCAATATGGCAAAAACCATCTCTACAAAACATACAAAAATTAGTTGGGTGTGGTGGTGGGCGCATCTACAAAACATACAAAAATTAGTTGGGCCTGGTGGTAGGTGCCTGTGGTCCCAGTTACTCAGGAGGCTGAGGTGGGAGGATCACTTGAGCCCAGGAGGTCAAGGCTGTAATGAGCCGTGTTCATGCAACTACACTCTAGCCTGGGAGACTAGAGTTGAGACACTATCTCGAAAAGGCTGAAAGGCTGGATGCAGTGGCTCATGGCTGTAATCCCAGCACTTGGGAGACCGAGGCAGGTGGATCACCTGAGGTCGGGAGTTCAAGACCAGCCTGGCCAACGTGACAAAACCTCATCTCTACTAAAAATAAAAAAAAAAAATTTTAAATTAGCCAGGCTTGGTGGCAGGCACCTGTAATCCCAACTACTAGGGAGGCTGAGGTAGGAGAATCACTTGAACCCGGGAGGTGGAGGTTGCAGTGAGCTGAGATCACGCTATTGCACTCCATCCTGGGTGACAAGAGCAAAACTCCATCTCAAAAAAAAAAATAGCCAGGTGTGGTGGCGCATGTCTGTAATCCAGCTACTTGGGAGGCTGAGGCAGGAGAATAGTTTGAACTGGGGAGGTGGAGGTTGCAGTGAGAAGAGATCGCACCATTGCACTCCAGCCTGGGCAATGAGAGCCAAACTCCATCTCAAAAATAAATAAATTAATGAAAAGTCTGGGCACAGTGGATCACGCTTGTAATCCAAGCACTTTCGGAGGCTGAGGCAGGTGGATCACCTGAGGTCAGGAGTTGGAGACCAGCCTGACCAACATGGTGAAACCCCATCTCTACTAAAAATACAAAAATTAGCCAGGCATGATGGTGCATGCCTGTAATCCCAGCTATTTGGGAGGCTGAGGCAGGAGAATTGCTTGAACCCGGGAGGCAGAAGTGGCAGTGAGCTGAGATCTCGCCACTGTACTCCAGACTGGGCAATATGAGCAAAACTCTGTCTCAAAAAAAAAAAAAAAAAAAAAAAAGTTGGCTGGGCCTGGTGGCTCATGCCTGTAATCCCAGCACTTTGGGAGGCTGAGGTAGGCAGATCACTTGAGGTCAGGAGTTTGACACCATCGCCTGGCCAACATTGTGAAACCCCATCTCTATTTAAAATACGATAATTAAAACCCCATTGTCTCAGCCGAAAATCTCCTTAAGCTGATAAGCAACTTCAGCAAAGTCTCAGGATACAAAATCAATGTACAAAAATCACAAGCATTCTTATACACCAATAACAGACAGAGAGCCAAATCATGAGTGAACTCCCATTCACAATTGCTTCAAAGAGAATAAAATACTTAGGAATCCAACTTACAAGGGACGTGAAGGACCTCTTCAAGGAGAACTACAAACCACTGCTCAATGAAATAAAAGAGGATACAAAGAAATGGAAGAACATTCCATGCTCATGGGTAGGAAGAATCAATATTGTGAAAATGGCCATACTGCCCAAGGTAATTTATAGATTCAATGCCATCCCCATCAAGCTACCAATGACTTTCTTCACAGAATTGGAAAAAACTACTTTAAAGTTCATATGGAACCAAAAAAGAGCCTGCATTGTCAAGTCAATCCTAAGCCAAAAGAACAAAGCTGGAGGCATCATGCTACCTGACTTCAAACTATACTACAAGGCTACAGTAACCAAAACAGCATGGTACTGGTACCAAAACAGAGATATAGATCAATGGAACAGAACAGAGCCCTCAGAAATTACGCCACATATCTACAACTATCTGACCTTTGACAAATCTGAGAAAAACAAGCAATGGGGAAAGGATTCCCTATTTAATAAATGGTGCTGGGAAAACTGGCTAGCCATATGTAGAAAGCTGAAACTGGATCCCTTCCTTATACCTTATACAATAATTAATTCAAGATGGATTAAAGACTTAAACGTTAGACCTAAAACCATAAAAACCCTAGAAGAAAACCTAGGCATTACCATTCAGGACATAGGCATGGGCAAGGGCTTCATGTCTAAAACACCAAAAGCAATGGCAACAAAAGCCAAAATTGACAAATGGGATCTAATTAGACTAAAGAGCTTCTGCACAGCAAAAGAAACTACCATCAGAGTGAACAGGCAACCTACAAAATGGGAGAAAATTTTCGCAACCTACTCATCTGATAAAGGGCTAATATCCAGAATCTATAATGAACTCAAACAAATTTAGAAGAAAAAAACAAACAACCCCATTAAAAAGTGGGCAAAGGATATGAACAGACACTTCTCAAAAGAAGACATTTATGCAGCCAAAAGACACATGAAAAAATGCTCATCATCACTGGCCATCAGAGAAATGCAAACCAAAACCACAGTGAGATACCATCTCACATCAGTTAGAATGGCAATCATTAAAAAGTCAGGAAACAACAGGTGCTGGAGAGGATGTGGAGAAATAGGAACACTTTTACACTGTTGGTGGGACTGTAAACTAGTTCAACCATTGTGGAAGTCAGTGTGGCGATTCCTCAGGGATCTAGAACCAGAAATACCATTTGACCCAGCCATCCCATTACTGGGTATATACCCAAAGGACTATAAATCATGCTGCTATGAAGACACATGCACATGTATGTTTATTGCATCAGTATTCACAATAGCAAAGACTTGGAACCAACCCAAATGTCCAACAATGATAGACTGGATTAAGAAAATGTGGCACATATACACCATGGAATACTATGCAGCCATAAAAAATGATGAGTTCATGTCCTTTGTAGGGACATGGATGAAATTGGAAATCATCATTCTCAGTAAACTATCGCAAGGACAAAAAACCAAACACTGCATGTTCTCACTTATAGATGGGAATTGAACAATGAGAACACATGGACACAGGAAGGGGAACATCACACTCTGGGGACTGTTGTGGGGTGGGGGGAGGGGGGAGGGATAGCATTAGGAGATATACCTAATGCTAAATGACGAGTTAATGGGTGCAGCACACCAGCATGGCACATGTATACGTATGTAACTAACCGGCACATTGTGCACATGTACCCTAAAACTTAAAGTATAATAATAATAAAAAATAAATAAATAAATAAAATATAATAATTAGCCCATCGTGGTGGCGCCCACCTGTAATGCCAGCTACTCAGGAGACTGATGAAGGAGAATTGTTTGAACCCAGGAGGCGGAGGTTCCAGTGAGCTGAGGTTGCACCACTGCACTCCAGCCTGGATGACAGAGTGAGACCCTGTCTCAAAAAAAAAAAAAAAAAAAAAAAAAAAAAGGACACAGGTGGGATCCAGGAAATCCATGCACAGGCTTCTTTATGCTCTGTACCTCCCTTGAGCAACAGACTGAAATCCAGAGGACCAGGCACAGGCTTCCAAGAGTCGCCCTGTGGAGTCATACAAGACTCAATTTCTCCAGCAATGAGTTGTGACAACATGTGCAAAGTGTTGTCTACTGGGGAAGCTCATTAGAGACTCAGTGGCCAAGGCTTTTTAGTGGGGACTGGTCACATAGGTACTCTCTACCTAGCACATATCAGAATCCTAGACTCTGAGGGAATGCAGGTGTTCCGCATAAACCACATAGTTTCTACAAACAGTTTAGGCACAATAAACCACTCTTGTTTTTTGTTTTTTTGTTTTTTTTTGTTTTGTTTTTTGAGACAGAGTCTCGCTCTGTCGCCCAGGCTGGAGTAGAGTGGCATAATCTCTGCTGACTGCAACGTCCTCCTCCTGGGTTCAAGCAATTGTCCTACCTCGGCTTCCCCAGTAGCTGGGATTACAGGACACTGCAACGATGCCCAGCTAATTTTTGTATTTTTAGTAGATACAGGGTTTCACCATGTTGGTCAGGCTGGTCTCAAACCCCTGACCTCAAGTGATCCACCCGCCTCGGCCTCCCAAAGTGCTGGGATTACAGGCATGAGCGACTGTGCCCAGCCACAATGAACAACTCGTATCAGTGTAGCAAACTGTTTACTAGCCAAATTGGCAGATGCTAGTCAAGGGCTAACCTTGCAATCAGATCTTTCTAAGGATAATAGTCTCAGTCTCTTCTGTACAAAGACATTTAAGAGAAAGTCGTTCTCCAAAGACATTTAAGAGAAAGTCATTCTCTTTTTTTTTTTATTTGAGTCAAAGTCTCGCTCTGCCACCCAGGCTGGAGTGCAGTGTCGCGATCTTGGCTCACTACAACCTCCGCCTCCTGGGTTCATGCAATTCTCCTGCCTCAGCCTCCCAAGTAGCTGGGATTACAGGCGCCTGCCACCACGCCCGGCTAAATTTTGTATTTTTGGTAGAGACAGGTTTCGCCATGTTGGCCAGGCTGGTCTCAAACTCCTGACTGCAAGTGATCTTTGTTTTTTATGATGTTGATGTCTTGATGAGTTCTTTAGTTGGGGTTTGCCTAATAGCTTCTCATGATTCGATTCAGATTATGAATTTTTGGCAGAAATACCACAGAGGTGACTTGTGTCTTTCTCAGTGCATTACGTCGGAAAGCACATAATACCAATTTGTCCCTGTCCTGGTGACGCTAAAGGTGACTTGGTTAAGGTAGTGTTCTCCATTATAAAGTTACCCTAATCCTTGTTATAATTAAAAAGTAAGCCTGGGCAACATAGTGAGATCTCGTCTCTACAAAAAATTTAAAAATTAGCCCTCTGGGCCGGGTGTGGTGGCTCACGCCTGTAATTCCAGCACTTTGGGAGGCCGAGGCGGGGTGATCACCTGAGGTCAGGTCAGGGTTCAAGACCAGCCTGACAAACATAGTGAAACTCCGTCTCTACTCAAAATAGAAAAAATTAGCTGGGCATGGTGGCAGGCGCCTGTAATCACAGCTACTCAGGAGGCTGAGGCAGGAGAATCGCTTGAACCCACCACACCTGGCTAATTTTTGTATTTTTAGTAGAGACCGGGTTTCACCACGTTGGTCAGGCTGGTCTTGAACCCCTGACCTCAGGTGATCTGCCTGCCTTGGCCTCCCAAAGCGCTGGGATTACAGGCGTGAGCCACAGCACCCAGCCTTTTTTTTTTTTTTTTTTTTTTTTTTAATAGAGAGTCTTGCTCTGTCGCCCAGGCTGGAGTGCAGTGGCCCGACCTCGGCTCACTGCAACCTCTGCCTTCCAGGTTCAAGCGATTCTCCTTCTTCAGCCTTCCGAGTAGCTGAGATTACAGGTGCCCGCCATCATGCCCGGCTAATTTTTGTATTTTTAATAGAGACGGGGTTTCACCATGTTGGCCCGGCTGGTCTCGAACTTCTGACCTCAATTGATCCACCTGCCTCGGCCTCCCAAACCGCTGGGATTACAGGCGTGAGCCACTGCGCCTGGCCAATGATGCTTGCCTAAAACAATTATTACAGTAGTAGTTGCCAAATAGTTATTTTCTAATTCCATCATTCCTTGTACATTTATTAGTTGGCATTCCTCTGTGAGGAAGAGTTTTCCCTTCGCCTCCATTTATTTATTTAGATCACTTTGGACTCTTGTATTCTTTTTTAATTCAAATTCTTTCAATGTGTGGTTAAAACAAGATGTTCCAGGCTAATCTTGTACTTTCCTTGCCCCAGCCCTGCAATCAGCTATTTCTCTAAGGGGCCCTGGTTCCTGTTAGTGGAAAATGGTAATTAGGCAAGAGAAATCAATTACAGCCAGTGTGACTGATTGGAAAAGAATAAAGATATCCCTATTTTCAGATGATATGATTTTGTACCTGGTAAACCCTAGAGAATCAATGATAAAACACTCTAACAATAAAAGTATTCAGTAAAATGGAAGGATATAAAATTAACATAGAGAAATCAATGGCTTTTGTATATATCAACAATAACCAGTGAGAGGATATAAAGACGCATAGTGGCTCACATGTGTAGTCCCAGCTACTTGGGAAGTTGAAATGGGAGGATGGCTTGAGCCCAGGAGTTCACGGCTGTAGTGTGCCATGATCATGCCTATAAATAGCCAGTGCAGTCCAGCTGGGGCAACATAGTGAGATCCTGTCTCTACCGAAAAAAAAAAAAGAGATACAATGATAGAGAAAACCTCATTTACAATAGCATCCATAGCATCAAAGAAAATAATTAGGAAGAAATCTAACAAGAAATGTGAAAAAAATCTATGTGTGGAACACTTTAAAATGCTTCTGTCAAAACCCATTGATCTTTACGATATAAAAAAAGTTTGTTAATGTATGCAAAATTTTAAAAAAAGCAACCAGGAGGTCAGGGAATCCAGTATGGAATGGAGACTGTGACAACATAATTTATATATTACAAATGTAGGCAAGGGCCGGGCACGGTGGCTCACGCCTGTAATCCCAGCACTTTGGGAGGCTGAGGTGGGCAGATCCCTTGCAGCCAGGAGTTTGAGACCAACCTGGCCAACATGGTGAAACCTGTCTCACCAAAAATACAAAAATTAGACGGGCATGGTGTCACGTGCCCATAATCCCAGCAACTTGGGAGGCTGAGGTAGGAGAATCGCTAGAACCTGGGAGGCAGAGGTTGCAGTAAGCCAAGATCGGGCCACTGAACTCCAGAGCGAGACTTCATCTCAAAAAATCACACACATACAAAAAAAAACCAAAAGTAGGCCTAGTGTGGTGGCTCACCCCTGAAATCTTAGCACTTTGGAAGGCAGATGTGGGTGGATCACTTGAGCCCAGGAGTTTGAGACCAGCCTGGGCAACATAGTAAGACTTGGTTTCTACAAAAAATTAAAAAAAAATTAGCTGGGCATGGTAGCCTGTGCCTGTAGTCCCAGCTACTTGGGAGGCTGAGGTAGGAGGACTGGTTGAGCCCAGAAGGTCGAGGCTGAAGTGAGCCGAGATTGCACCACTGCACTCCAGTCTGGATGACAGAGCGAGACCCTGTCTCAAAAAAAAAAAAAAAAAGAAAAAGAAAAGGAAAAGGCCGTGTGTGGTAGCTTAGCTCACGTCTTTAATCCCAGCACTTTGGGAGGCCGAGGCGGGTGGATCACCTGAGGTCAGGAGATCGAGACCAGGCTGGCCAACATGGTGAAACCCCATTTCTACTAAAAATACAAACGTGGTGGTGGGTGCCTGTAATCCCAACTACTCGTGAGGCTGAGGCAGGAGAATCGCTTGAACCCGGGAGGCAGAGGTTGTGGTGAGCCAAGATCACGCCATTGCACTCCAGCCTGGGCGACAAGAGCAAAACTCCGTACACCCTCACCCAAAAAAGTTGTTAATATTCCTAATATGCAAAGAGGCCAGGTGCGGTTGTGCACACCTGTAACCCCAGCACTTTGAGAGGCAGAGGCGGGAGGATAACTTGAGGTCAGGAGTTTGAGACCAACCTGGCCAACATGGTGAAACCCCGTCTCTACTAAAAATACAAAAATTAGCTGGGCATGATGGTGGGTGCCTGTAGTCCCAACTACTTGGGAGGCTGAGGCAGGAGAATCTCTTGAACCCGGGAGGCAGAGATTGCAGTGAGCCGAGATTGCACCACTGCACTCCAACCTGGGCAACAGAGGGAGACTCTGTCTCAAAAGAAAAATAATAATTAAATTAAAAAAATAAAATAAGAACAGATATTAAAATGATTCTTGGTGGCATATGTCTGTAGTCCCAGCTACTTGGGGGGCTGAGGTGGGAGAATTGCTTGAGCCCAGGAAGTCAAGGCAGCAGTGAGCCCTGATTGTGCCACTACACTCCTGCGTGGGCGGTAGAGCAAGACCCTGTCTCAAAATAAAATAAAATGAAATAAAATAAGTTCGGGCACGGTGGCTCATGCCTGTAATCCCAGCACTTTGGGAGGCCGAGGCAGGTGGATCGCCTGAGGTCAGGAGTTCAAGACCAGCCTGACCAATGTGGTAAAACCCTGTCTCTACTAAAAATACAAAAATTAGTCGGGCATGGTGGCAGGCGCCTGTAATCCCACCTACTTGGGAGGCTGAGGCAGGAGAATTGCTTGAACCTGGGAGGCGGAGGTTGCAGTGAGCTGAGATCGCGCCAATGCACTCCAGCCTGGGCAACAAGAGTGAAACTCCGTCTCAAAAAAACAAATAAATAAAAATTAAAAATAAAATAAACATAGGACAAGGTGGTGAATCTCACTCATAATAAGAGAAACACAAATTAAAACTACACTAAGAGAATGGATAAACAAATTGTGGTATAGTCATACTATGGATTTTGTTTTGTTTTGTTTTGTTTTTGAGACAGAGTTTTCCCCTCTATCGCTAAGGCTGGAGTGCAGTGGCACGATCTCGGCTCACTGCACCCTCCACCTCTTGGGTTCAAGCGATTCTCATGCCTCAGCCTCCTGAGTAGCTGTGATTACAGGCGTGTACCATCACTCCTAGCTTATTTTTGTATTTTTAGTACAGATGTGGTTTCACCATGCTGGCTGGGCTGGTCTTGCACTCCTGACCTCAGGTGATACACCTGCCTCGGCCTCCCAAAGTGCTGGGATTACAGGCGTGAGCCACTGAGCCCGCCCGGCCCATACTATGGAATTTTACTAGTCAATAAAAAGAAAAAAAGATACTTATACACGAAACAACTTGGATGAATCTCAAAAGGATTATGATGAGTGAAAGAAGCCAGACAGAAAAGGATACATCCTGTCTCATTCTATTTGCATGAAACTCTGCAAGAGAAATGTAATCCAGTAACAGGAAGCCAATCATTGGTTACCTGGGATAGGGGGTGGGGTTTGGGATAGGATACAAAGAAATCAATGTTCCCTATCTTGCTTGTGATGGTGGTTACAAGGTTGTATACATTAGACAAAGCTCACTAAATTGTACCCTTAAAATGGGTGCATTTATGTATATAGACAGATCAATAGCGTTATCTTTCAATAAAGTCAATTAAATCAAGAAAGAAATCAAAGAGTCCTGGCTGGCAATACTTTTCTTTTTCTTTCTTTTCTTGGAGACAGAGTCTCGCTCTATCCCCCAGGCTGGAGTGTAGTGGTGCGATCTCGGCTCACCGCAACCTCTGCCTGGCGGGTTCAAGCGATTCTCGTGCCTCAGCCTTCCGAGTAGCTGGGATTACAGGCGCCCACCACCACACCCGGCCAATTTTTGTGTTTTTAGTAGAGATGGGGTTTCACCATGTTGGCCAGGTTAGTCTCGAACTCCTGACCGCAAGTGAACAGCCCTCCTTGGCCTCCCAAAGTGCTGGGATTACAGGCGTGAGCCACCGCGCCCGGCCCTGCTGGAAATATTTTTCCACAGCAGGGAAATCATTAAATTCTACGAAAATAAGAAGGCTGGGCGCGGTGGCTCACGCCTTAATCCCAGCACTCTGGGAGGCCGAGGCGGGCGGACTACCTGAGGTCGGGAGTTCGAGACCGGCCTGACCAATATGGAGAAACCCCGTCTCTACTAAAAAAAAAAAAAAAAATTACCCGGACGAGGTGGCGGGCGCCTGTAATCCCAGCTACTCGGGAGGCTGAGGCAGGAGAATCGCTTGAACTCGCCAAGCGGAGGTTGCTGTGATCGGATATCGTGCCACTGCACTCCAGCCTGGGCAACAAAAGTGAAACTCCGTCTCAAAAAAGAAAAACAACAACAACAACAACAACAAAAACAGAAAGAAAAAAGAAAATAAGAAAAAAACTACACTGAGATACCATTTCTTACTCTCAGATCGGTGAGGGTTATAGTGAATTCTAATACTTGAATGAGCCTGGTGTTTCACCACCCTGGTTTGTTTTTTGTTTTTGTTTTGTTTTAATGTAGCTTTTTCGTTTGATTCACTGTCACTCTTTCCACTCTGCTATTTTTATTGGTGGCTAAGTCCTTTACCTAACGTGACATGCAGTATCATGATAACAAAATAAGTGTCAAACCTTAAAAAAAAAAAAAAAAAAAAAGGCCAAAGGCTTTACAAGAGGTGGGATTCCCCTTTGGGGTCTCCCGGAGGAGGGGCGGGAACAAGACCAGAGCGAAGCTTCCGCTTTCATTTCTATGGTTATTAAGTTACCCATTCTCATTAAAGGAATACCGCGGAAGGGTGATTTTCTGTCGGCAAAGACTTCCCTAGCGACGAGTCCACCCATGAAACGGGGATGTAATAATGTCGTATCACAATGGGTGGCCTAGAAGAGTCCAAAAGCCAATCAGATGACTTACATTCGGGTAGAACGTTGTATTACAGTTCACCTGACTCGTCGGTTTCGTTCTCTTCTCTGCGTCTCCAAAATGCTGCCCTTCGGAATTAGGTTCTACCCCCTCCATTCCTGGCCAGTGGTTTGGTCCGACCTTAATACTGCCAGGAGGCGCGAGCTGCGTCTGCGCAGAAAGCTGGCGGGGGGGTGGGGGGAGGAACATGGCGCAAGCTCTGTCTGAGGAGGAGTTTCAGCGGATGCAGGTGCCGCTCGCGGTGGGAAAGACCACCCGGCTAGGCGACCGGGGGCGGGGTAGCGAGAGGTCGTGCTATCAGCTCTGAGAAGGGGTTGGTTGGGATGGACCCTGAGTTTATGGGGTGGGTCTGGAGAAGGGAAACTGAGGCTCGGAGTGGTGAGACTATTGGATTCCGAGATACTCTGCGGCTTTGAAGGTTGGACTCTGTTAGCATTGTGGGCTGGGAGAGCGCCATTAAGTAGGCGGTACCTTACTCAGACCTGGAGGGGACGAGACTTTTGGGCCCGTGCAGGGGACACCGTCGGCGGGTGATGATAATGGGCTTTGAGGGAAGGAGATCCTGAGAAGGCGAAACCATTTTGTCTGGAGAGGAAGGAAGCGGGTGTTGGGTCGTTTGCGTCATGGTGGTGGGAGCCCTTGAGAGGGCAGAACCATTAGCGGGTGGGAGGTGGTAAGTTTTGGGGGAGATACCACTGTGCCCGGGGATTGGGGAAAGACCCCAGATGTTGTCATTGTTCCTGGGAGGTGGAGATCCTGTGCCATTGGTGGTTGGTAGTGCATCCTAAGAGGGGGCGGCACCATTGGATGATTAAGGGTGATCCCATTAGGCCTGGGGTGAAGAAGGCCATGAATGGGTAATACCATTAATCCCATTAACTGGGGGGAGGACCAGAGGGGTAAAAGATTGATACCTTGGACTACAAGGAGGGAAGATCACTGGGCTTTGGGGAGGTACCCCCACTTGATTCTTTTGGGGGGACTCTGAGATGCAATGAAAGGCCATAGCATTGCACTATGAATGGGCCCTTGTTGAGAGGGTTCCTCACTGGGGGGGGGGTCTGAACAGGGTCCTGCATGGGGAGGGGAGGAACTCTGAGGGAGGACAGGTAATCCAATTGGTCCTTGAATGAGGGAAACCAGCTGTCCCTGTGTGAGGGACACTGAGAATGGAAGGGCGAGTTGATTAACCCATGAATGGGGAAGACCACTGTCATCTGAAAGGGATTCTAAGTGAGTAAGAGTCATCCAACTGGCCTACCCAAGGCCTTGTAGAGGCCTACCCTGAAGGGTGTAGGGCCATTCCCAATGGATCATGACTGGGGAGATCTTGAGGGGAGTGGGAATACCCTTGAATGAGGAACATTGATCCCACTGGGCCATGAATGAGGGAGAACTACTGGGCTTTGTTGGGGGGCAAGTCTCGGGGGGTACAAAGGATATTCCACTTGGACCAGTACTTGGAGAGACAGATCACTGGGTCCTGGAGAGGACAGGAGTAGGAAAGATTCTGTGAAGGCCAAGCCCTCTGACCTTGAGCAGACTACCAGAGAACAGTGAGTGGAGGCTGGTGGCGTGGGAGGGAGGGAAAAGTCCTGGTAGGGGAAGGAACAGTAAGTTCCTTAATGGGAAGGAACCGGCCTTGCTGGGTAGAACCAGCCTCAGGGTCCTATAGGGCTGGTAGGGAGGAGGATGCTTAATTCTTTTTCTTTTTCTTTTTTTTTGAGACAGAGTCTTTCTCTGTCACCCAGGCTATAGTGTGCAGTGGCACGATCTCAGCTCACTGCAACCTCCACCTCCCGGGTTCAAGTGATTCTCCTATCTCAGCTTCCCTAGTAGCTGGGATTACAGGTGCGTACCACCACGCCCAGCTAATTTTTGTATTTTTAGTAGAGATGAGGTTTCACCATGTTGGCCAGGCTGGTCTTGAACTCCTGACCTCAAGTGATCTGCCCACTTTGGCCTCCGAAAGTGTTTGGATTACAGGTGTCAGCCACTGCGCCTGGCACTTTCCCTTAATTCTTTTTTTTTTTTTTTTTTTTTTTTTTTTTTGAGACAGAGTCTCACTCTGTCACCCAGGCTGGAGTGCAGTGGCACAATCTCGGCTCACTGCAACCTCCACCTCCCAGGTTCAAGCGATTCTCCTGCCTCAGCCTCCCGAGTAGCTGGGACTACAGGTGTGCGCCACCACACCCGGCTAATTTTTTATATTTTTAGTGGAGACGGGGTTTCACCATATTGGGCAGGCTGATTTTGAATTCCTTACCTCGTGACCCACCCGCCTTGGCCTCCCAAAGTGCTGGGATGACAGGTGTGAGCCACCGCACCTGGTCCTCCCTTAATTATTGAAGGGGGCCTGGATGTATTTTGAGAGCCTTGGAGGTGGGGGGACCCTGGAAAGCCCCCTGACTCAATGAAAGTTGGGCAGAATACTTGACCCTTTTCCCTTAGGAAAGAGGGAGGAAGACAGGCCCTTAACCCCCTGCCATCAGAGGCCCCCAGGTCTGGTCAGAAATATGGACAACACCCCTGACAGTGTGTGTTCAGTGTGTGGAGAGGTCAGCCAGGATGAGGAGGAGGAACTTTATCCTGTGGGCATGGAGAGCCAGGGAACTCACACAAGCAAGACCCTGACTGGGGGCAGTGCTCTGGGATGGCCTGAGTGCAGCGTGGATTGTAGTGTGAGATGGAGGGGTGAGGCTGGCTGGGGTTATAAGTGGAGCTGGAAAAGGTGAGCCAGGGTCTGAGGGCCTGGAAGGTCACTTTGGGTGTAGCACATACAGGTCTTAAGGAGTAGCTACAGAGGCACATGGAGGGCGTAAGGTCTGTGGAGCTTAGGGGCTTGGTTCCCTCATGGTAGGGGTAGGGGCGCTTTCCTGACCAAGTCTTTTCCCTTCCTGCCTCCCCCAAAGGCTCAGCTCCTGGAACTCCGGACAAACAACTACCAGCTTTCAGATGAACTACGCAAGAATGGTGTTGGTGAGCCAGGAGGGCCTTATTAGATGGGGGTGGCTTTGGGGAATGGTGTCCGAGGTTTTCCCTCAGAGGCCTGGCAGGAAGGCCTTTCAGTTTCTTGCCACTGGCTGAGGCTGAGTTTCCCTGCTTTCCCGACACCAGAACTCACCAGTCTTCGACAGAAGGTCGCCTACTTGGATAAGGAGTTCAGCAAAGCTCAGAAGGTACCTCCCTCCACCCACCCATCCACCTACCCATCCACCCTTGCTTCTACCTATCTGACTCATTCATCCCTCCAGTGAGCACCTACAGTGAACCAGACCTAATGTTGCATGCTGTTTTCACGTAGTCATTTAAAGGATTCTCAATGGAATTCTCTTTAGTTGCTAATTTTACCTAATCCTGCTTAATTTAGTGATTAATTTTAATTTACTTTTAATTCATTTCTAATTTCAGTTACTCATTCTCATTCACTGACTTTTAATTAAATATTCAAATCTATCAGTAAATCTACCTCGAATCTGCCTCCCATCCTCTACTCACACTCCTGCCTTGTGCTCCTACTTCCCATCTCTGTCCTGGTCCAGTTGGGAAAATGAGAGCAAACCCACCTCTCAGATCCTCTAAAGATGAGATAGGATATAACCTATTGTGGCCCCTCAAGACATTCGAGGTGCTCCTTTGTCACTGCTCTGTCCCCATATCTAGCCATACCTAGCACAATGTTAATACATAATATGTGCTCAATAAATATTTGTTGGATGAACGAATACAGTATGCAGAAAATCCGACAGTCAGGAAGCTGCACTTCTCTTTGGTAGGATGCTGATTCCCCTAAGCTGGCAATGCTCTTGGCTGCCCAGTAGGGGAGCGACAGTTTCCACACTGCGTGGGAGGGACCCACAGAGACATGTATGGACAGATGTAGCAATGAAGCCACAGTTTCTGAGTCTGGAGATCCAGCCCATAAATGGTTAAATACCAGGGCATCTCCCTACCTCCCCTGTCCCCCCACCAGCCTCAAGAGCTTCCAAGAAAGGATGATTTATGTGTGCTGGGGCCCCAGGGCAAGACTTGCATTCATTCACTCACTCACACACTCATTCCATCATTCCTTTGGGCTCCAAATTGTCACACATGTTCTGTGGTTGAAGATGCTCCCATCCTGCAACCCCTGTCATCCTTGTCCTCCCAAAACGCTTGGCACAATTGTCTCCATATCCTAGTAAGGCAGTCCATCTCTGTTCACTTTAGCTCTCTTCCCACCCACCCCCACTTTAGGCACTGAGCAAGAGCAAGAAAGCTCAGGTAAGGGGATCCCTTGTGGGTGAGTGTGACTGGGAGATGTCTTGGTGGGCTATTTCTGTATGCTGATATTTCCTTGTACTGGCCTTTCTTTCTTTGTGTGCCTTTACATCTGCTACTACCTCACTGCCATGTGTTGCTGTATCTGTCCTTGTTTCCCTGTATTTGTCCTAACTCTGTGTCTCTTTCCTTCTCTCTCTTTCCATTCTTTTCTCTGAGTCTCTTTCTGTCTCTGTCTGTTTTCCTGTTCCTGTCTCTCTGACTCATTTCTCTTCCCAATCTTCTCTTTGTCTCTCCCCCTCCTGTTCCTGTCTCGGTGATTTCTCTTTTTTCTGCTTTCTCTCTCTAACTCCTTGTTTCTTCCACCCCATTCCTCTCTCTTCCTAACTCATTTCTTTTCCTGACCCCTCCTCTTCTCCCTGTTCTGTTCTCTCCCTGTTGATTTCTGTTTGTTCTTCTCTCCGTCTTTTTCACTCTCTCCCTCCCAATCCCTCTCCCCTTTTCTATCTCTCCCCCTTTCCCCATCTCTACTTCCTCTCTCCCCAATCATTATCTTCCTGTCTTTTCCTCCGCTCTCTTCCTCCCTGTATTCCCTTCTCTCTACCTTCCCATGTCTTTATCTTCCTTTCCCTGTCTCTCATTTTATCCCTCCCCATGTCTCTTTCTCCTATATCACCTCATTCTCTGTACCCTATGTCCTCTCCCACCCATGTCATTTTCTCCCTCTCTCTGTTTCTTTGCCCTACCTCCCTATCCTTTTTGCCCTTGCTGGAGTCCTGGCCCTTGTCTGCCACTGCAGGAAGTCGAGGTATTGCTGAGTGAAAATGAGATGCTGCAGGCAAAGCTGCACAGCCAGGAGGAGGACTTCCGTTTGCAGAACAGCACACTAATGGCCGAGTTCAGCAAGGTGCTGGTGCCTGGGATAGTCAAAGGGGAAATGAGGGGTAGGGGTCATCTGGGCTGAAACCTAACAGCGGCAGAGAGTGATTGGACAGGGTCTGGCCCTGGAGCACTGTCCGTGGTGCTGAAACAGGTCCTGGATTGCTGCTGGGGGGCAGTAATTTGACAGATGGGGCCGCTCACTCTGCTGGGATTAGAAGGCTTTGAGCCCTGAGGTCACCTGGTTCCTGGCCAAGTCACTCCTTTTATTTGAGCTTCAAGTCTCCATGTGTATAATGTGGGGTTGATGCTGTGGTGCTCCAAGGTGTTGGGGGGTTTTAGGCAGAGTTCTTATGCTTAATATAGGATGGAAAAGTGTTCGAGCTTCTTCCCTTTTCTCTTTCTTCTCTTCATCTGACATGAGCCTGGGGTTCTACCTCTTCCAGATAATTCATCCTGGAGCTACTAATTCTATCTCCCCATTGATTTTAGTGTCCTGTCTGTTTCTAAATCTACTGGGCAGTTGGAGACATTGTCTTTTGTTCCCTCATCTATCTTCTGTATCCACAGTTGATAATTGTCTATGTTTTTAGTGTGTTTTAAGGAAAAAAGTCTCATGGCAGCAAATTTTTTTGAGATGGAGTTTCACTCTCATTGTCCAGGCTGGAGTGCAATGGCATGATCTCAGCTCACTGCAACCTCTGCCTCCTGGGTTCAAGCGATTCTCCTGCCTCAGCCTCCCAAGTAGCTGGAAGTACAGGCATATGCCACCATGCCTGGCTAACTTTGTATTTTTAGTAGAGATGAGAGAAAATGACATGGGTGGGAGAGGACATTTAGTAGAGAAAATGACCATGTTGGTCAGGCTGGTCCTGAACTCCCGACTTCAGGTGATCCACCCGTCTTGGCCTCCCAAAGTGTTGGGATTAAAGGCGTGAGCCACCGCGCCCGGCCCAAAAATGGTATTTCTAAGGCTCCATCTGAGAATATAGTGCCTATGACCTTAAAAAAACAAAACCGAAAATAACCTTTAAGCAGGTACAATACCAGGAGAGGCAGTTGAGCAAGTAGTAGGTACCAGCAGGGACTCTGGAACCAGAAGGCCTAGATTAAAATCTTGGCTCTACCTTTTACTAACTGTAACCTTGAGGAAGTTACTTAACTTGCCTGGTTCTTGGTTCCCAAATGTTTAAAATGGAAGTCATGATAATAACAGTACCTGCCTCTTCACAGGGCTTTTGTGAGGATTAAATGAATAAATGTACGTAAATCACTTAAAACAGAGCCTTGCACATAGTATCAGCTATGGAAGCATTAGTTATAATATTATCCTTCTATTAACTCATCTTCCCTCTAAAATATTTGACTTTTTAAAAGTTTTATGGCCGGGCGTGGTGGCTCAGGCCTGTAATCCCAGCACTTTGGGAGGCCAAGGCAGGCAGATCATGAGGTCAGGAGATGGAGACCATCCTGGCTAACGTGGTAAAACCCCGTCTCTACTAAAAATACAAAAAATTAGCCGGGTGTGGTGGCACGTGCCTGTAGTCCCAGCTACTCGGGAGGCTGAGGCAGGAGAATCGCTTGAACCCGGGAGGCGGAGGTTGTAGTGAGCCAAGATTGCACCACTGCACTCCAGCCTGGGCGACAGAGCAAGACTCTGTCTCAATTTAAAAAAAAAAAGTTTTATATCCACCCTGTGGCCCTGCTTTGCCTTAGCCTCTACCACTTATCATCTGCTGTTTCTACAGCCGCCTCCCTGGTCTCTTCACTTCTAGTTTCTTCTACTTAGTTCACACCACAGAGGCTGTTCTGACCTGCAGATCTTATGACATCACTCCTTTACTTAATACATTCCAGTGCCCCAGTCCTGCTCCTAGTTCAGAGCCCCTGGTATTCACATAACTGCTGGCTTCACTGACTGACTCCTCACTGCTTCCTGCCTCCAGCCTCCATGGTATCATGATTCTTGCAGAGTGAGGCAGGGGCAGACATTCTTCCATAAATCCAGCTTGTTTCCCTGCATCTGCCCTGGGCCAGCACTGGGCTAGTCGTAGAGACTTCCTACATAGTCCCCTTCCTCCTCCAACTCCTCCCAGGAACTGGAAGTGCTCTCAGAGAGAGCTACGTTAAACCTGCCACCACCCCTTATTCATCAAGACATTTCAGCTTAATTGTTCCTTCGACAAATAGTTACTGAGTACCCACCACATGCTCTATGTTCTGGAAATACAGTTGTAAGCAGCACAGAATGATCTCCACTCTTGGGTAGCTTACATTCTGGGGGTGGGATGAGGAGAAAGATGATAACAGTAAACAAATAATACTAGTAGTGATAGCTGACATTTATATGGTGCTTACTGTGTGCCAAGTCCTGTTTGAAGTACTCTACATTATTCACTCATTTAATCTTTGAAATAAGCCTATGAGATATTAGTATCCCTATCTGACAGATGAGGAAAACTGAGTTCCAGGGAGATTAAGTAATTTGTCACACAGCTAGTAAATGGCAGAGCAGAAATTCACATTCAAGCAGTCTGGTTTCAGAATCTGTGCTTGTTACAAAAGAAAATTTTGATTAGTACTAGGTAAGAAAGAAATGAACAGTGCTGTGACAGAGAGTACTGGAATTTTCTGTGTTGAGGGATACTACTTTAAAGGCAACATCTGAGCAGAGCACTGAGGGATGCAAAGAAGCCAGTTAGGTGAAGAACTGGATGAGAGGATTGGTGTTCTGGGTAGAAAATATTGCAAGCAGGCCGGGTGCGGTGGCTCATGCCTGTAATCCCAGCACTTTGGGAGGCCGAGGCAGGTGGATCACCTGAGGTCAGGAGTTCAAGACCAGCCTGGCCAACATGGCGAAACCCCGTCTCTAATAAGAATACAAAAATTAGCCGGGCACGGTGGCGCATGCCTGTAGTCCCAGCTACTCAGGAGGCTGAGGCAGGAGAATCACTTGAACCCGGGTGGCGGAGGTTGCAGTGGGCTGAAATCGTGCCACTGTACTCCAGGCTGGGTGACAGAGCGAGACTCCATCTCAAAAAAAAAAAAAAAAAAAAAAGAAAGAAAATATTGCAGGCAATAAAATAAAAATTCTCTGTAGGCCTCGATATTCTCATCTGAAAATGGGGACAAGGAATTTTCTCAGGACTGCTTTGAGAAGTGTACTTCAGCCAGGAGTTGGGCAGGGGGCTGGCTTAGTTGTATTGGCATTGTATACCTCTCCAAGACTAACGGCTGGCAATGCAGGAGCTGTCATCAGTGTTGGCCCTGGAAATGCCCTGCGAGCTCTTTGTGGTGCTTAGGATGAGAGGGAGCTATCTCTGGGCCCAGGATCCAGCCCTCCACAGAAGAGGGGTTGCAGTGAGGCTGTCTGTAGCACTAACAACTTCCAGAGGAGCCTGAGGTCTTGGATTGCATCTCTGAGGTTGGGAGTAGGAAGAGGAAAATGGTTTTTGGTGTCCTCATACTTGGTATGCTCTTGGTATTCTCTGACTCTGCCACTTAAAAGATGTGTGAATTTGAACTTGTTTAACATCTCTGTGCCTCAATGTCCTTATTTGTAAAGTGGGAGGGCACCTATATCATAGGGTCATTATGGGAATTAAGTGAATTGTAAAGTACATGGACAAATGCTATGTAGGTTTCAGCAAATACTGCTCTGATTCTCTGCTTCTCTGCCCCTTCTCTTCCTCTGTTCAGCTCTGCAGCCAGATGGAACAGCTGGAGCAAGAGAACCAGCAACTGAAGGAGGGGGCTGCAGGAGCAGGGGTTGCCCAAGCTGGGCCCCTCGTGGATGGGGAGCTGCTGAGGCTACAGGCTGAAAACACAGCCTTGCAGAAGAACGTGGCAGGTGCATAGAGGCCCTCCTGGGGATGCGGAGACATTGGGGCTTGAGTAGGGCAAGGAAGGCCGTCATCCTCTCAGGGGAAGGAGAAGGGCTTCAGAAATAGGGTTGGCCCATGCCCTGTGTGGCTTTGGACAAGCCATTTCACCTCTCTGAGCCAAAGCCTTATCATCTACACAGTGCATGTAGTGATGTCTGTCACCCAGAAGATTGTAGTAGAGATAAAAGGTGATATCATTCTGCATTAGTTCAGTGTCTGGTACCTAGCAGATGTTACAGATTAGCAGCTTGAATGTCAAAAAGGAGATATTTGCGGCCGGGCGCGGTGGCTCACGCCTGTAATCCCAGCACTTTGGGAGGCTGAGGCGGGCGGATTGCGAGGTCAGCAGATCAAGACCATCCTGGCTAACATGGTGAAACCCCGTCTCTACTAGAAATACAGAAAATTGGCCGGGCACGGTGGCGGGCGCCTGTAGTCCCAGCTACTCTGGAGGCTGAGGCAGGAGAATGGTGTGAACCTGGGAGGTGGAGCTTGCAGTGAGCCGAGATCACACCACTGCACTCCAGCCTGGGCGACAGAGCGAGACTCCATCTCAAAAAAAAAAAGGAGATATTTGCTAAGTGAAAAAGTGAATGGAGTGTTGGGAAGATTCTGAGCCCAGATTGTAAGTGGGGTCTGGGATGAAAGCTGAAAGAAAGCTTGATAGAGTGTGGGAGCATGTGGTGTGTGGAACTTTGGAGAGCAGCTGGGACTTCTGTGGTGATGGATGCTGGTTCCATGACCAGGAGGGAGACTTAGTAGAATGTGAGTAGGAATTAGGAGGCTCTAGGAGGGATTCAGCTGTAAGTCAGTGGTAGCATATGGTGGGCATGGCCTTCAAGGGCTATGGGTGGGGCTTCAAGGATTGAGAATGGGATTTGTGAAACCAGCTTGGGCTAATTTAATAGTAAACAGAATCTTAGTGGTTGATAGGGCTTAAAATATTTGTGAGAGCCTGGGCACAGTGGCTCATACCTTGATTCCAGCACTCTGGGAGGCTGAGGCAGAAGGATCTCTTGAGGCTAGGAGTTTAAGACCAGCCTAGGCAACATAGCAGGAACTTGTGTGTACTAAAAATAAAATAATTAGGCCAGGCACGGTGTTTCACACCTGTAATCCTAGCACTTTGGGAGGCCAAGGTGGGCAGATCGCCTGAGGTCAGGAGTTCAAGACCAGCCTGGCCAACATGGCAAAACCCCATTTCTATTAAAAATACAATAATTAGCCAGGTTTGATGGCAAATGCCTGTAATTCCAGCTACTTGGGAGGCTGAGGCAGGAGAATCACTTGAACCTGGGAGGCAGAGGTTGCAGTGAGCCGAGATCACACCACTGTACTCCAGCCTGGGTGACAGAGAAAGACTCAGTCTCAAGAAAATAAACAAATAAATAAATAATAAAATAAAATTAACTGGGCATGGTGTGCACTTGTAGTCCCAGCTACTTGGGAGGATCGCTTGAGCCCAGGAGTTTGAGGTTGCAGTGAGCTATGATTGCACCACTGCACACCAGCCTGGGCAACAGAGCAAGACTGTCTAGGGAAAAAGATTTTTTTGAGACGGAGTCTCACTCTGTCACCCAGGCTGGAGTGCAATGGCTCGATCGCGGCTCACTGCAACCTCTGCCTCCTGGGTTCAAGCGATTCTCCTGCCTCAGCCCCACGAGTAGCTGGGATTACAAGCGCGTGCGCCACCACGCCCAGCTAATTTTTGTATTTTTAGTAGAGACGGGGTTTCACCATATTGGTCAGGCTGGTCTTGAACTCCTGACCTCATGATCCACCTGCCTTGGCCTCCCAAAGTGCTGGGATACAGGCGTGAGCCACCGTGCCCAGCCACGGAAAAAGATTTTTGGGGGAGGCTGAGGTGGGAGGATTGCTTGAGCTCAGGAGTTCAAGACCAGTCTGGGCAATGTAGCGAGACCTTGTCTCTACAAAAAAATCAAAAAATTAGCCCGGCATGATGGCACACACCTCTGATCCCAGCTACTTGGGAGAGTGAGGTGGGAGAATCACTTGAGCCCAGGAGGTCAAGGTTGCAGTGAACTGTGATCATTCCAGTGCACTCCAGCCTGGGTGACAGAGCAAGTCCCTGTCTCAAAAAAAAAAAGAAAAAAATGTGAGAGGCATGGATAGAGCTGAACCTTCGTCTTTTAGGCATGTGGTCATTTGGCACAGGGACTCTGCCACCTGAGGGGTTGAAGGCCAGTTCTCCCTCTATTCGAGGCATGGCAAGGGACTTCAGAGACCACCTCATCCATCATATATCCCTGTTCTACTCACCAGCCCTGCAGGAACGCTATGGGAAAGAAGCCGGGAAGTTCTCAGCTGTCAGTGAGGGCCAGGGGGATCCCCCAGGGGGCCTGGCCCCCACCGTCCTGGCCCCCATGCCGTTGGCAGAGGTGGAGCTGAAATGGGAAATGGAGAAAGAGGAGAAGAGATTGCTCTGGGAACAGCTGCAAGGCTTAGAGGTGAATCTGAGTCTGTTGGAGCTGGAATGCCAGAAGGCAGGGCAGATGTTCTACCTCTGTCTATAGTCCCACGGAGATGGCTGTGACATCACCATCTTGTGGGCTGATGGGGTGAGGGAGGCAGGAGGGCAGGGGAAGGCTTCTCCTTGTCCTTGCTAACAACAACCCTCCCATCCCTCATCCTTCCCTGCAGAGCTCAAAGCAGGCCGAAACATCCAGGCTGCAGGAGGAACTTGCTAAGGTGCGGCTGCTTGGCTCTTTCCCATTCTGCTCCCAATCTGCTGGATTCTTTCCCATTCCATTCCCAATCCTAGGGCAGAAGGGGCATTGTACCCCATCAAAGCCTAGGTTTCATCATCTGTGAAATGGAGAGACTCACACCTATGTCTCAGAGTTACTTTCAGTATGGAATGAGTTAATGTGGTCCCACTATATCTTGTGCATGATAAGTTTCATCCCATCCATCTCTCAGCTTTGCCCATTCACTCATTCATTCATTCATGCAAGCATTTACAGACTCCTGGCTCTTATCTTAGGACCTGGAGACCCAGGGGTGCGGCACCCAGTCATGATATCCTGCTTTCCAGGCCTCCCAGCCTAGCCAATCTATAACATGGCCATTGGCCACTATGTTGGGAGCATAAATACCGGGCTTTGGAACCTGAAGGATCTGGGTGGAGATAATATTGTTGTTGCTGACCCGCTGAGCAACCAAATTACTTAACCTTTCCAAGACTCTGTTTCCCCATTTGTAAAACTGGTACTACTCACTTGTCAGGGCTATTTTGAGGATTCCACAAGACAACATAAGTAAATCCTGGCTTCCAAAAATGACTTAATAAGAAGTGTCTATATTTATTAATTTTAGGTTTGTCTTTATATTATTCTCAATGTTATCACTTGTCTGTACCTCTCTCCCCAGCTCTCCGAGAAACTGAAAAAGAAACAAGAAAGGTAAATTTCTTTTTCCCAAGGGTACTGGGGGCCGAGGGGGGAATTAACTTACGGAACTGACCCATCTACATCTGTCCTTCTGTGCCCAGTTTTTGCCGTCTGCAGACAGAAAAGGAGACTCTGTTTAATGACAGCAGGTAACTGCCAGATTTGCGGGTATTGGTGGACAATTGGGACAGTGCCCAGTGAAGATTACAGGGGCAGAGCTAGGAGACTGGGCCTCAAGCCATGTCCAACACACCCCCTCCCCATCACTCCTAGGAACAAGATTGAGGAATTACAACAACGGAAGGAAGCTGATCACAAAGCCCAGTTGGCTCGAACCCAGAAGCTGCAGCAGGAACTTGAGGCTGCCAATCAGGTGATGGGGACTGGGTTCTGAGATCCCTGGGGTAGGGGCCAGGACTGGGAGCCTGGAGAGGTCTGAGGTCCATGGAGGCTGGCTGGGGAGTCTGAGATTTCCTGTGTTGGAAATGGGTTCTGGGGCCCCCCAGGAGCTAGGAAAATGGGAATTGGAGAGCCCTAGGAATTGTTATAGGAGTCTTCATGAGTGTAAGATCTCAGGGGGCTAAGGACTTAGGGGGCTGTGTGCTATAAGTTTGTGTAAATCTGAAACTCCTGGAGGTTTGAGACCACAGTCTGGATGAATCTGTGGTCACTAGGGCCTAGGACCAGGAACTGGGGTAAGTCTGAACTCCCTGGGTGCTGGGTGACTTTGAAATCTTTAGGGGCTGGGATGTCAGTAAATTTGGGACTCCCAAGGGCTGAGGACATGGCTGGGTAGATATACAACTTTCAAGGGTGAGATAGTTGGGGCTGAAGGCTGAGTGCATTTGAGATCCTCAGGATCTGGGCGCTGGCTTGGGCCTAAGACACCTAGGAAGTGGGATCATATGGGCTAGGTAGTCCTGAGATCCTTGAGGGCTGTGAACAAAAAGCTGGTCAGTCTGAGACCTCCAGGGGCTGGAGCAGAAGTTTAGGTGGGTCTGAGGCTCCTGAGGACTGGGGGCTGGATGGTTCTGAAGCCTCTGGGTTTCCTTCTAGAAAAGGTGAGTCTGAGGTCCCTTGGAATGGAGGATATGGTGGCTTGTGGTTCTGAAGTCCCTAGAAACTGGGAACATGGGGTCTGAGACGGGAGTCTGGGTAAAGCTGAGACCCCCAGGAACTGGTGGTTAACTGGGTCTGAAGATTCCAAGAGACTGGGGAGCAGAGTGACAGGTGAAGGGGTCAGTCTGAGAGTTCACCAGGACCTGGAAACTAGGAGGTTGTGAGTTTGAGACCTCTAGGATCTGGGACTATGAGTTTGGGTGGATCTCACCTGGGAAGTAGGGACGTGGGAGATGAGTGTGTCTGAAACCCCTGGTGGTTGGGATTGGGAGGCTGGGTGAAACTGTCATCCTTGGGTGCTGACTACATCTGAGATCCATGGGGCTGACTGTGTCTGAGAATCCTGGAGCTCCCAAGCTAGAATCTGGGTGAGCATGAGACTTCTTATGGATGGGAGCTGAGTGAGTTTGAACCGCGTAGCAGCTAGGGCCAGGAGTCTAGTCGTGCCTGAGATCTTGTACGCTGGGATAGAGGGGTTGACTGTGTCTGAGGCCCCTGAGGGTAGTGACCTGGCGTCTGGGTGAACCTGAGATTGCTGTTGGCTGGATAGTCTGAGACCCACAGGTGCTGAGAACATGCTGCTGGGTGGTCAAACAGAGAGTCTGTACGGTTATATGCACCCCAGGAGAGGCTGAGGTGTAAAATGGGCTCCCCTGGTCTCCACAGAGCTTGGCAGAGCTGAGAGATCAGCGGCAGGGGGAGCGCCTGGAACATGCAGCAGCTTTGCGGGCCCTACAAGATCAGGTATATTGTACTGCGTGGGCTCAGGGAGCTGGGGTTCAGGATGGGGGCAGCCTGAGTGGGTACTACATAGTCAGGCAAGGTCCCAGGGATCCTGCTTCCCCCAGGCCTTCGTGTGTGTGTGTGTGTGTGTGTGTGTGTGTGTGTGTGTGTGTGTGTGTGTGTGTGTCCTTTCTTTCTTGGTCGTGGGTAGGTCCTGTCCCCCTGTTCTGGACCCACTCTCACCTGCTGTGGACGTGGGGCCAGGTATCCATCCAGAGTGCAGATGCACAGGAACAAGTGGAAGGGCTTTTGGCTGAGAACAATGCCTTGAGGACTAGCCTGGCTGCCCTGGAGCAGGTAAAGAACACCTGGGGGCCCTTGCTGATCCCTCTCCAGTTCCCCCATCTCCATCTGCTTCTGGTCCACATCAGGGTAGGGTGGTCTGGACCCCATGCTGTTCTCCTGTCTTTGTTTCTGTTGCTCCTTTCTGTTGGCGTCCAGCCCTCTTCTCTCTGGCCATCCATCCCTACTTTTTTTTTTTTTTAACTTTTAAAAATTTTATTGGGGAGGCTGAGGCAGGAGAATTGCTTGAACCAGGACCCAGGAGGCAGAGGTTTCAGTGAGCCGAGATCGCACCACTGTACTCCAGCCTGGGCGACAGAGCAATACTCTGTCTCAAAAAAAAAAAAAAAAAAAAAAGGGCGTGGTGGCTCATGCCTGTAATCCTAGCACTTTGGGAGGCCAAAGATGTGTGGATGGCCTGAGCTCAGTTCAAGACCAGCCTGGGCAACACGGTGAAACCCCATCTCTACTAAAATACAAAAAATTAGCTGGGTGTGGCGGTGTGTGCCTGTAATCCCAGCTACTCGGGAGGCTGAGACAGGAGAATCTCTTGAACCCAGGAGGCGGAGGTTGCAGTAAGCCGAGATCGTGCCATTGCACTCCAGCCTGGGCAACAGAGCGAGACTCCGTCTAAAAAAAAAAAAAAAAAAAAAGCCGGGCATGGTGGCTCAATTCTGTAATCCTAGCACTTTGGGAGGCCGAGGAGGGCGGATCACCTGAGGTCAGGAGTTCGAGACCAGCCTGACCAACATAGAGAAACCCCGTCTCTACTAAAAATACAAAATTAGCTGGGTGTGGTGGTGGGCACCTGTAATCCAAGCTACTCGGGAGGCTGAGGTGGGAGAATTGCTTGAGCCCAGGAGGTGGAGTGTGCGGTGAGCCGAGATCGTGCCATTGCACTCAAGCCTGGGCAACAAGAGTGAAACTCTGTCTCAAAAAAACAAAAAACAAAACGAAAAAAAACTTATTGGCCGGGCATGATGGCTCACACCTGTAATCCCAGCACTTTGGGAGGCAGAGGTGGGCGGATCACCTGACATCAGGAGTTTGAGACCAGCCTAGCCAACATGGCAAAACCTTGTCTCTACTAAAAATACAAAAATTAGGCCAGGCGCAGTGGCTCACGCCTATAATCCCAGCACTTTGGAAGGCTGAGACGGGCGGATCACCTGGGGTTCGGAGTTCGAGACCAGCCTGGCCAATATGGTGAAACCCCGTCTCTACTAAAAATACAAAAAAAAATAGCTGGGCATGGTGGCGCACACCTGTAATCCCAGCTACTCGGGAGGCTGAGGCAGGAGAATTGCTTGAACCTGGGAGGTGGAGGTTATAGTGAGCCGAGATTGTGCCACTGCACCCCAGCCTGGGTGACAGAGTGAGACTCCATCTCAAAAAAGAGAAAACAAAATTATTTTGTAGAGACAGGGTCTCACTATGTTACCCAGACTGGCTTAAACTTCTGGCCTCAAGCTATCTTCCCACCTCGGCCTTCCAAAGTGCTGGGATTATAGGTGTGAGCCACTGTGCTTGGCCTATCTCTGCTTTTTTTTTTTTTTGTAGACGGAGTTTCGGTCTTGTTGTCCAGGCTGGAGTGCTATGGCACGATCTCGGCTCACTGCAACCTCCGCCTCCCAGGTTCAAGCGATTCTCCTGCCTCAGCCCTCCCAAATAGCTGGGACTACAGCCGTGTGCCACCATGCCCAGCTAATTTTTGTATTTTTAGTAGAGACGGGGTTTCACCATCTTGGCCAGGCTGGTCTCGAACTCCTGACCTCATGATCCACCCGCCTCGGCCTCCCAGAGTGCTGGGATTACAGGCATGAGCCACCGCGCCCGGCTTCTGCTTTTCTTTGTTTCTAGTTTCTCTCTAGTAAAGTGCATGAAATGTACTAATCTTAAGTGTACACTCAGTGAATCCTCTCTTCGTCTCTCTCTTTTTTTTCTCTCTCTCTCCCCGCCACCATAGCCACCACCCAGATCAAAGTATAAAGCACTTTTAGTACCCCAGAAGGTCCCCTTTACCCCTTCAAAGTCAGTACTCCCCCAGAAGTAACCATTATTCTGATCTCTAGCAACATAAGATTCATTTCGCTTGTTCTTTAACTTCATATAAATGGAATCAGCTGCTCTTTGTCTCTGACTTCTTTCTGGCAGCACTATGTAAGTTTATCCACGTGGCAGCACAGATCTGTTCTCTTACTGTTGTGTGGTATTCCATTGTATGAACATACCACATTTACCCATTCTCTTCATTGTTTTTCTGTTTGAAATTTCCTCTCTCTTCCTGGTTCTCTTCCCACCTCCCTCCCTGTTTCCCTGGAACTAGGGGGCTCATACCCTGTCCCTGGCCCCTGGGGTCCCTTTCACTCTACTTCTCATCACCACTACTTTCTCCAGATCCAAACAGCAAAGACCCAAGAACTGAATATGCTCCGGGAACAGACCACTGGGCTGGCAGCTGAGTTGCAGCAGCAGCAGGCTGAGTACGAGGACCTTATGGGACAGAAAGATGACCTCAACTCCCAGCTCCAGGTAACACCTTTGGCTCTGGCCTGTCTCTTCCTAGTTCCCTAGTAATGGCCCAGTGAAGTCCCCAGTAAGGTGGAGTGGGAAGACTGGAGTCAGGAGGACCTAGGTTCCAGTCTGGCTCCCTAACTTATTAGCACCTGTGTGTTCTGGGACAAGTCATTTCACTTCTCTGAAACTGAGCCTCTTCAGTTAGTTAGGATATCAATTCTTTTTCATTTTTTAAATTTTAATTTAATTTAATTTTTTTTTGAGATGGAGTCTTGCTCTGTCACCTAGTCTGGAGTGCAGTGGCGTGATCTCGGCTCACTGCAAGCTCCGCCTCCCGTGTTCTCGCCATTCTCCTGCCTCAGCCTCCCGAGTAGCTGGGACTATAGGCGCCTGCCACCATGCCCAGCTAATTTTTTGTATTTTTAGTAGAGACGGGGTTTCACCGTGTTAACCAGGATGGTTTCGATCTCCTGACCTCGTGATCTGCCCGCCTCGGCCTCCCGAAGTGCTGGTATTACAGGCGTGAGCCACCACGCCCGGCTCCTTTTTTTTTTTTTTTTTTTTTTTTGAGATGGAGTCTCACTCTGTTGCCCAGGCTGGAGTGCAGTAGCGCGATCTCAGCTCACTGCAACCTCCGCCTCCTGGGTTCAAGCGATTCTCCTGCCTCAGCCTCCGGAGTAGCTGGGATTACAGGCGCCTGGCACCACGCCCAGCTAATTTTGTATTTTTAGTAGAGACGGGGTTTTACCATGTTGGTCAGGCTTCTCAAACTCCTGACCTCAGGAGATCTACCCGGCTCAGCCTCCCAAGCAATATCCATTCTGATTCCATAATAGAAACCAGAATAATAGTAGATTAAATAAGATACAAATTTAGTTCCCTCTCATTAAAAGTCCAGGTAGGTTATTCAGGGATGGAATGATGGCTTTCCAGTCATCTGTGACCCAGGTTCTTTCTCCATTGCTGTTCCTCCACCTTCAACACAAGACTTTTATCTTGGCATCCAAGACGGTTGCTGAAACTCCCCGACCATCATGTTTGTATTCTATCTGGAAGGAAGGAGGAAAGGGGCAGGGAAGAGTGTGCCCCTTTCCTTTAAGAGCATAACCTAAATTACACTCACCACTTCCACATACAGAAATAAATCACATGGCCACACCTAACCATAAGGGAGGAGGGGAAACATCTGCTAGACAGCTGTATGCCCGATGATAAATTTTATTGCTAGGGAAGTAAGGAAGAATGAATACTGGGGAGCAACTAGCAGTCTCTGCTATATTTCCTATCCAGAAATTGAGATCACAATACCAACTTTACCAGGGAGAAGGGAGATGGTCTACCAGATGGTCCTGGGTGACTAGCACCTACTGGATGCTCTTTATCAAACTCTTTCCCTTTGGTGTCTGCATTAGGAGTCATTACGGGCCAATAGTCGACTGCTGGAACAACTTCAAGAAATAGGGCAGGAGAAGGAGCAGTTGACCCAGGAATTACAGGAGGCTCGGAAGGTAGGGGAACATGAGGGTTGAAGGGAGAGGATGGGGGGTAGGAATTGGCTCAGTCCATGGGGATGGGAGGAGGTGATATAACCAAACATGTGGGGATAGGAGGGAAAGGAAAATTGACTGGTTTCTGGTTGACCAGTTTCTTGGCCAAATCCATGAGAGTGGGAGGGGAAAGAAAGAAAGTGACCAGTTCTATAAGGATGGGTGAGTGCCTTAGCCAGTTCAGTGGGGATGGGAGGGAGTGGAGTTTGGCTAGTTCCTTGGGCATGGGAAGAGGGTTGGAGGCCTTTTTTCGATGTTGTGGAAGGAAGTTGACTGCCATCGTCCTGGCCCCCAGAGTGCGGAGAAGCGGAAGGCCATGCTGGATGAGCTAGCAATGGAAACGCTGCAAGAGAAGTCCCAGCACAAGGAAGAGCTGGGAGCAGTTCGTCTACGGCATGAGAAGGAGGTGCTGGGGGTGCGTGCCCGCTATGAGCGTGAGCTCCGAGAGCTGCATGAAGACAAGAAGCGTCAGGAGGAGGAGCTCCGTGGGCAGATCCGGGAGGAGAAGGTGGGTGGGTAGATGATGATGCCCTTCTTCCTCTAAAACCTGGGAACCACAGCGTTGCTGATAGGCCAGTGGGTGGCATGCATCAGGTGCCCGCTCCTCTGCCTTCCTGGCCCATGACAGTCTGCCCCATCCCAGGCCCGGACACGGGAGCTGGAGACTCTCCAGCAGACAGTGGAAGAACTTCAAGCTCAGGTACATTCCATGGATGGAGCCAAGGGCTGGTTTGAACGGCGCTTGAAGGAAGCCGAGGTGAGTTGGTGATGCCTGGTGAGGAACAGAGGCTGATTGGGGCCCTCATGTCAAACCACAGAAGCAGGAGTGGTCAGGCCCTGGAACTTCCCGAGATTTTCTGGACTTAGGGATATCCCCACAGTCCCCTGGCTCAATAGCAGCCCTCTGGAGTGGATCAGGGGATGGCCATCAGATAGGACAGACTGTCACGTGTTAAGGCTGCCCTGCCTTTGTGCAAATTTGGAAAGGCACCTCTTTCTCCTGAAACTGTACTTCTGTCAGGAAATTAATGCAATACACTGATGTTATTGAACAAGAACCTGCTGGGTGCGGTGGCTCACGCCTGTAATCTCAGCACTTTGGAAGGCCGAGGTGGGCGGATCACTTGAGGTCAGGAGTTCAAGACCAGCCTGGCCAACATGGTGAAACCCTGTCTCTACTAAAAATACAAAAATTAGCCGGGCATGGTGGCTGGCGCCTGTAATTCCAGCTACTCAGGAGGCTGAGGCAGAAGAATCACTTGAACCCAGGAGGCAGAGGTCGCAGTGAGCTGATATCGTGTACTGTACTCCAGCCTGGGTGACGGAGTGAGACTCTGTCTCGGAAAAAGAACCTTTGTTGCCATTTTCTGGAAATCTCATAATACACTGAAAGGCATTGTCATGTAGCAGTGAAGAGCACAGGCTGGAGCCAGTTGTTTGTCTAGGTTTGAATCCTGGCTGGGCCATTTCCTAGCTGTGTGACCTTGGGCAAGTTATCTGACCTCTCTGTGGCCTGTTTTCATCAATGGTAAAAAGGGGGTAACAATAATATCTACCATCTAGGTATTACGGGAGGATTATAGAAAATGAGTTAATATATGTAAAACCCTTAGAACATTCTTGGCATGTAGTAAGCGCTATGTTTTGTTAAATAAAATAAAATGTAAATGCAAATCTAAGTCAACCATGCGAATGGTGCAACTTTAGATGTGACACTTCAGCATATTGCCTAAGGGCGTGTGGGGTTCCCTGCAGGAGGGTCATTTCTGCATACCTCTGGGCCCCCATTGCAGTCCCTCATACCCCTAACTGGGCATGATACCTTCTGGGGGGCTGTGGCCAGACCTGGGACTTGTCTTGTAGGAATCCCTGCAGCAGCAGCAGCAGGAACAAGAGGAAGCCCTCAAGCAGTGTCGGGAGCAGCACGCTGCCGAGCTGAAGGTGCCTCTCGCATGATGGTGTTCCTCTCTCCAGACAGTGACGGGCCCTCCTGGGAGGACAGAGGCTTCCCAAGCCAATGCCTAAGCTGCTTTCTGCTTTGCAGGGCAAGGAGGAGGAGCTACAGGATGTACGGGATCAGCTCGAGCAGGCCCAGGAGGAGCGGGACTGCCACCTGAAGACCATTAGCAGCCTGAAGCAGGTCAGTGGTCACTGCACAGCCCCAGACACACCCCTGATCCTCAGCGTACAGGAGGGGCAGGGAGGGAGCATGCTTCAGGCAGCCCTTCCGGCATCTACCAGCCATGCCTGCTTTCTCCCACAGGAGGTGAAGGACACAGTGGATGGGCAGAGGATCCTGGAGAAGAAGGGCAGTGCTGCGGTAAGACAGAGCGGTGCCCAAGCACGGCTCCCTCCTACCTGTAGCCTCCCTCCTATGGGCCCACTGGGCCTCAGTCCTCATGTTACCCCTGTCCCCCACAGCTCAAGGACCTCAAGCGGCAGCTGCATTTGGAGCGGAAACGGGCAGATAAGCTGCAGGAGCGACTGCAGGACATCCTCACTAACAGCAAGAGCCGCTCAGGTGAGGGACTAGGACAGGGAGAGGAGGCTGAGGCATGGGGGAGGTAGGGCCTGGGCCTGCAGGCTGCAGGTTAGTCCTGCATCTTCCTCAGCTGTGCTTTCCTGCTTCTGTCGCTCTGGAACTCCATCTTTTACCTTTTCTCTGTCTCTCCTCTGATTCTTTCTCTGCATTCTCTCTTTATTTCTATCTTTCTCTCGTTTTTGCCCTGTCTCTTCTCTGTTTCTGTCTCTGCCTCTGTCTCAGTTTGTTCTCTCTCTTTCCTCTATGTTTGCCTTTATCTCCTTGCTTTCTTTCTCTAGTTTTCTCCTTTTCTCTCTCTTTTTTTTTTTTTGAGACAGAGTTTCGCTCTTGTTGCCCAGGCTGGAGTGCAATGGTGTGATCTCGGCTCACCGCAACCTCTGCCTCCTGGATTCAAGCAATTCTCCTGCCTCAGCCTCCTGAGTAGCTGGGATTACAGGCATGCACCACCACGCCCAGCTAATTTTGTATTTTTAGTAGAGACGGGGTTTCTCCATGTTGGTCAGGCTGGTCCCGAACTCCCGACCTCAGGTGATCCGCCCGCCTCAGCCTCCCAAAGTGTTGGGATTATAGGCATGAGCCACTGGGCCCGGCCCCCGCCCTTTCTTTTCTCTGTCCCTTTATCTCTTCCCGCCACTCTGTGTCCTCTTCGTCTCTTCTGTTTATATCTCTGTCTGTCTCCTCACTGTATGTACTACATTACACACTCCCACACCTCACTTGGCATTTCTAAATCTATTGTATACAATCTCTCATTCTATAAATCTCCCTGCTCAAGTACAGGGTCCCTGATATAAAACTCCCTGAGTCTCTGCCCTCTAGAAGCCCCCAGTTGAGCTACGGAGACAGACTTATACATAGTCAGCAACGCTGTGGTGTTTTCATTATACAGCTAATCCAATCTGTTATTTCTGCCACTTCAAGCAGAAGACACACACACACACACACACACACACACACACACACACACAACTTTAGTTGCTTCAGCCTTTTTTAAGACGGGGATGGCCTATAAATACATTTAAGTAAGTAAAATGCAGTGATGGCTCTGGTGCATCTCTTAGATTACAGACTCAGAGAAAACTTGGTCCCTTATTCCCCCACTCGGGATACCTACGGATCCCCACTCAGTCACCCCACCCTTGCCAGAGATCCTCGAGGGCTTTAAGTGATGTGGCAAAACAGATGTGTATCTCTCACCAAATCAATTTCTCTCTGAGGCACTCGGTCTCCTGAAGTAACCTTTCTTTAAAAAGGAGTTTTGTTTCTGTTTTATCACAGATGAATGTAAGAATCTTGGGAAAGGTGTAATCCCAGCACTTTGGGAGGCCAAGGTGGGTGGATCACCTGAGGTCAGGGGTTCAAGACCAGCCTGGCCAACACGGTGAAACCCCGTCTCAACTGAAAATACAAAAAATTAGCTGGGTGTGGTGGCGGGCGCCTGTAATCCCAGCTACTTCGGGAGGCTGAGTCAGGAGAATTGCCTGAACCCAGGAGGCAGGGGTTGCAGTGAGCCGAGATTGCGCCATTGTACTCCAGCCTGGGCGACAAGACTGAAACTCTGTCTAAAAAATAATAATAATAATAATCTTGGGAAACGTTACAATCGTATACCATACATTCAATACATTCACCTTGTCCATTAGATTAAACTGAGATTTAGGTGCGTGGGTACGAGAGCCTGCTTGCATTTCTTTTTTTTTTTTTTTTTTTTTTTTGTTAGACGGAGTCTCGCTCTGTCGCCCAGGCTGGAGTGCAGTGGCGCGATCTCGGCTCACTGCAACCTCCGCCTCCCGGGTTCACACCATTCTCCTGCCTCAGCCTCCCAAGTAGCTGGGACTACAGGCACCCGCCACCACGCCCACCTAATTTTTTGTATTTTTAGTAGAGACGGGGTTTCACCGTTTTAGCCAGGATGGTCTCGATCTCCTGACCTCGTGATCTGCCCGCCTCGGCCTCCCAAAGTGCTGGGATTACAGGCGTGAGCCACCGCGCCCGGCATCTTTTTTTCTCTCTGTCTCTGCTCTGGCTCACTTCTTTCACCAGGGTCTCAGTTTCTATCATCTGCTCTGGCTTTCCATCTCTGGCATTTTCTTTCTGCAAGTGGATGTGCCCTGTGCCCTCTCTAGCTGTCTTCCTTTCTCTGAACCCTGTGTCCAAGTGTGTCTGCCACTTGAGACCCATGTGTACCCATGTCGTTCTCTTTCTCCAACCTCTTCCATTTTCTCCCTCTCATTTTGTATGTGTTTCTCCAGAAAGGCAGCTCTTTCTTTTCTTTCTGTTTTTTTTTTTTTTTTTTTTGAGACAAGAGTCTCACTCTGTCACCCAGGCTGGAGTGCAATGGTGCGATTTCGGCTCACTGTAACCTCCGCCTCCTTGGGTTCAAGCGATTCTCCTGCCTCAGCCTCCTGAATCGCTGGAATTACAGGCACACACAACCACACCTGGCTAATTTTTGTATTTTTAGTAGAGACGGGGTTTCTTCATGTTGGCCAGGCTGTTCTCGAACTCCTGACATCAAGTGATCAGCCCACCTCAGCCTCCCAAAGTGCTGGGATTACAGGTGTGAGCCAGTGCGCCCAGCCTCAGCTCTTTTTTCTGTCTCTGTCTCTCCCTGTCCTCCTGTCTGCTTCTGCCTTTCCCCATGCCCAGGTGTCTCTCTTTCCATCTCTGTTAAATCTATTTCTGCCTCTTCCTGCTGGTTGCTGCCCTGGGACTCAGGGGTATTGGGGCTCAAGTTTCTCTTCCCTCCACCACCCAGGCCTTGAGGAGCTGGTTCTCTCAGAGATGAACTCACCAAGCCGGACCCAGACAGGGGACAGCAGTAGCATCTCCTCCTTCAGCTACCGGGAGATCTTGCGGGAAAAGGAGAGCTCGGCTGTTCCAGCCAGGGTAAGGGGAAAGGAAGAACCTACAGCTCCAGCTTCTCTCAACCCAAAAATCTGAGAACCCCTCCCCTTTTCTCCTCACCTAAACCCATCTCCTACTTTGGGCGCAGCACACATATTTTCTTGTCAACTTTTCCCCAAGCCCACCAACTTGGATTCAGATTGCGACATGCAGGACAGGCCAGTCATTCTCTCTCTCTGACTTTCTGTTTAATCATCTGTGGGCTAATTCCCCCTTCTCTGGTGCCATAAATTATGTGGCTCATAGTAGGTGCACCATCCAAGGAGAAGGTCCCTTTTTCCAACTTGTAATGATCACTAATTATTATTGCCGGCTGTCATGTCAGCCTCCTTACCAGCCACTTTCCTTTGGAAATAACTTTTTTATTGTTCCACAAATAGTATGTGCTCATTGTAGTACATTTTTTAAAAACCACAAATGAGCAAAGATTTTTTTAAAACCTTAAATGTCTGGCCGGGTGTGGTGGCTCATCCCTATAATCCTACACTTTGGGAGGCCAAGGTGGGCGGATCACTTGAGCTCAGGAGTTTAAGACCAGCCTGGGAAACGTGGTAAAACTCCGACTCTATTTAAAAAAAAAACAAAAACAAAAAAACCTTAAATGTCAAAAAAAAATAATATTTTCACCATCCAGACGTCACCATTATAAATTCTTAGTTCAGGGCTGGGCGCGGTGGCTCATGCCTGTAACCCTAGCACTTTGGGAGGCTGAGGCGGGCAGATCACTTGAGGTTAGGAGTTTGAGAACTGGCCTGGCCAACATAGCAAAACCTCATCTCTACTAAAATACAAAAATTAGCCGGGCGTGGTGGTGCGTGCCTGTAGTCCCAGCTACTCGAAAGGTTGAGGCAAGAGAATCGCTTGAACCTGGGAGGTGGAGGTTGCAATGAGCCGAGATCACACCACTGCACTCCAGCCTGGGCAACAGTGAAACTCCATCTCAAAAAATAAATAAATAAAATAAATTCTTAGTTCATACCCTTCCAGAATTCTCTCTCTTTTTAAAACCTAGATGAGATTAACCTGTTTTTTATTCAACTGTTGTCTCTACCTTCCCAATTTGATCAATTTTCATGTCATTGGCTGGGTGCGGTGGCTCCTGCCTATAATCCCAGTACTTTGGGAGGCCGAGGCGGGCAGATCACTTGAGGTCAGGAGTTCAAGACCAGCCTGGCCAACATGGTGAAACCCCATCTCTACTAAAAATACAAAAATTAGCTGGGCGTAGTGGCGCGTGCCTGTAATTCCATCTACTCGGGAGGCTGAGGCAGGAGAATCGCTTGATCCTGGGAGTTGGAGGTTGCAGTGAGCCAAGATCTTGCCATTGCACTCCAGCCTGGGCAACAAGAGTGAAATTCTGTCTCAAAAAAAAAAAAAAAATTCATGTCGTCTGATACTTTGACCTTAACCAGATTTCTCTAGTTGGCCCCAGAATGTCCTTTCTTGCTGGTTTTATGAAAACTAGCATTCAGATTCAGAGCACATGTTACATCTGGTTGTTTTATGGCCCTTAAATCTCTTTAGTGCGGTCCCTTTTTTCCTGAGACCAATTTGTTGAAGAGGCCAGCCCAGTCACCCCACAGGAAGTATGCTACCTTTTGGGTTTTTCTGCTGGCTTCCTGGTGGTATGATTTAACATGTCCCTCTCTTCCAGTTTTCCTGTCAGCTGAAAGTTAGATCTCATTTGCTTTGGGATCTTCCTTCAATCCTCTCCACAAGGCTCTGATGTGGTTACTCTCTACCCCCATTTAGGCAGAGGAGAAAACAGAGTCTGAGGGTACCAAGATGGGCCAACAGTCCCAGCTTCAGGGCCCATGTTCTCTCACCCACCTCTGGCCTGGTTCTCCTCCCCAGTCCCTGACACCTGTCTGGGGTCGGTGGTGCTGAGCCCGGGGCTGGCCTCTCCCCTTCTCTTTCCTGCAGTCCTTATCCAGCAGCCCTCAAGCCCAGCCCCCTCGGCCAGCAGAGCTGTCAGATGAGGAAGTGGCTGAGCTCTTTCAGCGGCTGGCAGAGACACAGCAGGAGAAATGGATGCTGGAGGAGAAGGTGCTGCCTGCCTGCCTGCCTGCCCATCCCCACTTGAAGTGCCCTTGTGGGTGTGGGGTCTGCCCGGGCCCGCCTCATGTGTGAACATGTACAGTAGAGGGGTCTCAGGTGGGCTGGGCCATCTTGCAGGTGAAGCACCTGGAAGTGAGCAGTGCTTCCATGGCAGAGGACCTCTGCCGGAAGAGCGCCATCATTGAGACCTACGTCATGGACAGCCGGATCGGTCAGTGTCCCCTCCCCGGCCCTCAGCCCTGGTCCAGCCTTCACCTGGCCCTCCCTCTCCATTCTGTGCTGCGGCTTCTCTCCTCTCCTCTCGGAACTCAGCGAAGCTACTGACAAGACCATGGCCTGTGGAGGGGAGAACAGGAAAGCACTGTCTCTTGATCTCGCCTCCTCCCTCTTCTCTCTTTCTCTGTCATCTCTCCACTCTCCATTCTCCATTGTGTCTCTCTGTCCACTTTCTCCTTTCCTCTCCCTGTGCCTCATCTTCCTCTCCTCTCTCTCTCCCTTCTCTCTTCTCCGTTTCTCTTTTTCACCCCACTCCTTCATCTTGTCTCGCTGTCTATATTGTTTTCCTTCTCTGTATCTTCATTGCTTTTGCTTTCTTTCAAACTTTCTCCTTCACAGATTTTTCTTTATTAATCAGAATCATACTGACCAACATGTGCTGAGGACTTTCTGTGTGCTCTGTGCTTCACATACAGTCATGTGCATCTTTCCAGTTCCACAAGTTAGTTATCCTCATTTCTCGGGGCCATAGAGCTAGTGAGTGACAGAGCTAGGTTTTGTATGTCAAAGCCTCTGTCCTACATGACATGGCTTTTCCTGCTGCCTTCTCCCCTGGTATTCGTCTCCCTCTTTTCTCCTCTGGCTCTGCCTGGCTCTCCTCTGGCTCTGCCGAGGGGGTGGTTTTCAGCCTGGGCCCTTGCAGATGTGTCTGTGGCAGCAGGCCACACAGACCGCAGCGGGCTGGGCAGCGTCCTGAGAGACCTAGTGAAGCCAGGTGACGAGAACCTTCGGGAGATGAACAAGAAGCTGCAGAACATGCTGGAGGAGCAGCTCACCAAGAATATGCACTTGCACAAGGCAAGTGTGGCCTGCCAGCCTACCCATCTGTTCACCCAGCCACCTGCCTACCCAGCCACATAGCCCCTGGGTCATCTGCCAGTCCCCTTGCCCACCCACCCAGCCTGTCCTCCCAGCTATCCTCCTACCCACTCATCAACTACTCCATCATGCTCTCATCTTCCACCCTCTCATCAACTTATTATCCATTCATTCCTTCCATGTACCCGCTCATCCATTTATCTACACATTCACCCAACCATTTGCCCATCTGTCCATCTACCCAATCTACTACTTACTTATCTCATTGTCTACCCCATGTCCTGCCACCCATTTCTTGACATATCATTCTCTTATCTACTCATCAATTGCCCCTTGTGTTACCTTTCACCCACCCAGTTACCTGCCTGCCCACCTGTTGATCTCCATCTGTCCTCTGGACAATTCATTCGTCCACCAATTTGTCTACCATAGATCCCCCATGCCCATGGGTCCACACACACATCTTTCTGCCCAAACTGCCACCCAAGGACTTTCCCCATCTCTGAGAGTTAGAAAGGGGTCAGACCCAGCTCCTGCCTTTGAGAAGCAAGCTCACACTTAGAAGAGCAGGTGGCCAGAGTGGTGGTGTATCCTGCAGCAGCACCATGCCACAGGAGGCATCCCACTCCCATTATCTGTAGCTCCCCACCCATCCTCATGACTTTTCTGAGCCCTGCCCACTGTTGGGGGTGCTGTGAGCTTCTCCAAGTACCTTCTCATCCCAGGCCAGACACAGCTGAGCATTGATTAATGAAAGGGTGTGAGGGAAATCACAGATGATACCCTACGTTTGGCAAGGGAGCAGCCTGTCCCCTTCTCTGGCCCCTGATGGTTCATTTGTTTCTTAGGATATGGAAGTTCTGTCCCAGGAAATTGTGCGGCTCAGCAAGGAGTGCGTGGGGCCTCCTGACCCAGACCTAGAGCCAGGAGAAACCAGCTAAAGACCTGCAGGCTGCACCCACCTCCTCCCCTTCCTACCCCCTAGGATGCTATTCCCTTGGGCTGTGGTGGAAAAATGAGGGCTGGAGCCAAAATCAAATAGCTTGGGAGACTGGACATTAAAGGGGCTAGAGGCCTGATGGTTAGTGTTAATGATCCTGTCTTAGGGCAGAGGCCACCAGGGAGTGGGGATCCTGAGGGAAGGGGCAGGGATTTCTCCTTCTTCTTGGTCCTGGCTCCCAAGGGCTTCTGTCTTCATCTCTGCATGAGCTCTCCTTCCCAGAGACCAACTCTTTTTATTTTATTTTATTTTATTTTTTAATTTATGTCTGGAGCCTGGCTACTCTGCATTTGGGATTGGGGATGCTGGGTGGGTGTGTGGTCCATGTTCAGCGTTCTAGCAACACGTGTGTGTGTGTGTGTGTAAAGGCTATGCAGCCAAAATACCATCTGGCCAGACGGGCCCACCCACTGACTGTCTCGTCTCGTTCTTTTCAACCAGGAGGAATATGCTGGGGGCGGGGAGGTTTACACCATTGGAATAGGGAGAGAGGTCTCTGGCTGCAACGTTACTCTCTTTTCCCCACCCTCATCCAGCCTGTCTCCATTTACTGCTGACCAGCCCCTCAAACTGAGTGGAGCTGAAATACCTGCAGATATGTACATGGGTAGACATGTATGGGATTGTGGGTATAGATGAGTAGACAGATGGGAGGATGGATAAGTGGTTGGATGGACCGATGGATGTATAAGTGAACGGTTGCATGGACTGATGATGGATAGATTGGGAAATAAATGGATGGATGGATAGGTGGTTAGATGAATAAATGGGTAGATAGATTGGTAGGTGGATAGAGGATGGATAGTAGAGATGTAAATGGACAGATGGATAATAGGTCTATGGACAAATGGGTGGATGATTTAGGTAGACAGGTGGATGGATGGGTTTATGGACAGGTTAGGAGTAAATGGACCAATGGTTGGGGGAATGGATGGATGGGTAGATGAGCTAATGAATGGGAAGGGTAAAGAGTGGGAGAAGAAATGACAAGTGGAGCTATGTATGGACAGAGATGGGCAGAGGATGTCACCCTGCATGTGTTCCGGGTGGGAAGAGATGGGCAGAGGATGGATACATACAGATAGATTGGCAAACAGCCAAATGGGGTGAACTTACAAATGGATGAATGAGTGGGTGGGTAGATTAACGACTAAGTGGACGGGTGGGTGGAGGGATGGATAGAGGAATTGATTGTGTGGGTGGGAGAATGGGTGGATGGGTAGGTGGAGGAATGGATGTAGAAATGGACAAATCAGGAGTGTGCCAAATGGGCAATTGGAAGTTTACACGGGTGGGTAAATCTTGGGTGAAAGGCTAGGCCTGGCCCTGCATTACAGTGCCCCTGTCATCACACTCCTTTAATTAAGATTAAGCATCCCTGGTGTGAGCTGTGTCCAGTGCTATCACCTTTCACATCATGTAATGCTCCAAATGACGCTATCAAGTTGGGATAAGTCTCTCCATCTGACAACTGAGGAAACAATGCAAGTCACTTGCTCAAGGATGCAGCAAGTCAGTGGCAAAGCTGGGGTTTGAACCCACCCATAGCCAGCCAGAGGCATTCCATAATCAGTGCTCCTGCCATCCAGAAGCAGAGCCCTCTAGCGGAGGAGGTGTGATTTGAGGCCACTGGATATGGACAGATAAGAGAGACTACCCCCTCGGAGTGGGGCCTGCCTGAGATGGTAGGGGGGTGGGACCTGGATTGTCCCCCTCTACATTCCCTTTACCCTCATTTCATATCTAAAAACAGGAAGTCCCGTGCTCCAATCCCACAGCCGAAGTCTTAGAGCTGGGGCTGTAACCCATGCTGCGCCCCTCAAGGGGGCGGCTTCGGAAGCTTGGCCATCTAGAGAAACACTCCCCAGCAATTACCCCCGACTCCTGGCTCTCCTGCCTTTCCACAGTCTGGGGGGCAGGGAGGGGACAGCGCTGCATCATTCCCTGTGGCACTCCGCTCTGGGGCCATTAACAGACGCCTTCCCATCGATCGGATCTGCTAAGTGCTGCTGATTCAGGCGAGTGGGGGTGGGGGCCCCTGGGGGCAGAGCGGGTAGGAGCTGGGCAGGAAGAGAGGGGAGTCCAGGAAGGAGGTGGAGAGAATTGGCGAAGTTCCCTGCCACCCCCATTTTCCAGATGACGCGACTGAGGCCCAACCAGCTTTGTAGGAGGCGGAGTCTCCCCAGGGTCCCTCTCTGGCTGTCCTAGGGGAGGGGGCTCAGGGAGCCACGAGGCCCCTCCCTGCCTCTCCATCTCCCGGCAAGCTCAGAGGGGCGGGGAGAGAGAGCCAGAGGAGGAGGAGAACTCAGGCAGCTCTGCAGAGGGGGCCAGGAGCTCGGGTGTTTGGTACCCCCAGCCCCACCGCTGTTGCTGCTCCTGCAGCGGGGACACAGGTGAGGACGCCCCGAGAGAGAGGGGGAGGGGGACCACCACTAGCGCTGTCCTCATCCTTCCCTGGTCCAGCCCCCACGCCCTAACCCATCCTGGGATAGTCCCCAGGGGTCCCACTGGACCTTGCCCTTCCCAGGCCTCCTTCCAGGGACCCCGCACCCTCCCCCTGCCTATGCCACCTTCTCTCCTATGCCTGGCTGTGGTTGCTTCTCTTCCTCCTGCTGCCGCTGCTGCTACTGCCACTGCCCAGTACACACCGCCAGCCCCTCGGGGTGTGGTTTCCCCAGACCTGCCCCCAACGGTGGGACCCAGCCTTCTCCCGGCGTCTCCTGCCAGCTTCCTGCAAAGCCCAGGAGCCCCCCTCCCTGGAGACACACCCAACTCCCTTTCAACACCCCACCCCCCTCTTAATCCCATTTTGGGGTTAACCCCCTTCCTCTTATTTAGTCTTCATAGATCCCCTGGGTGCTCTGGGATTGTGCCCAACTTCCTAACATTTGAGTCCCGGCCCTTGGAATTCCCCAGGCCCCTTTTTCCTCCCTGTAGAACTCCTGAGAGTGTCGACCAGGCTTTGTTGGCCCGTCTAGATACCCACCTCCCCCAGATAACTCTCAGCCTCTCAAAAAATAACCCAGCCCCCTGTCTACCCCTTTAGATAACCCCTTCCCCTCTCCAGCCCTACTAGGAGGCTCTGGCCTCTCCTTTCTTCCCCAGAACTCCTGTAGAGTATAGACACCCCCCCGGGCTATTCTTGGCAACTCTAGGCAGTCCCAAGACACCTTTCAGCCTCTTTACAACCTCCTGGATCCACAGCCACCCCTCAAGATGCACCAGCTCCCTTTCCAGATCCATGAGGGGGGTCTAACCCTCTTATGCTTCCCCTAGAAGTCTTGAGGGTGTGGACAACCCTCCTCACCTGTCTCAGCCCCTCTAGAACCCCCACTTCCAGGCACTCTCAGTCTCTTTCAAGCACCTCTGGTCCCATTTCTACCCCTCTGGATGCCCCAGTCTCCTCTCCACCACTGCAAAGGAATTCCAGGCTCTTCTGCCTTCCCTGAGACTCTTGAGAGTGCAGAGAATTCCCCACGTGTTTCTTGGCCCCTCTAGACGCCCCCAGACACCTCTCAGGCACAGGCTGACTCCTTTAGAATCATCTCAGTCTCTCTAAACCCTCCCTCAGCTCCTTCTTGGCCCCATCCCCACACCCCTTTTCTGCTCTTCTCCATGTCCCCAAGGCCCTTCTCAGTCCCTCAGAACATTGCCCAGGCCCCTCCTAGGTTCTGTAAATGTCCCCCAGACTCCTTCCCATCTCTTTAGTTCTTCCTCCTGGTTCCTCTTGGCCTCTCTAGACACCCCCAGTTTCCTTGTTTGGGTGGCTCAAGGTGTCTCCAAGCCCCCACCATCCTGGAGACAGCCACATTCTCCTAAACGCCACCCTCACTAAGTCTCCCTGGGCTTGGGGAGTGGCACGATGGCGGCAGGCCTGGCCACGTGGCTGCCTTTTGCTCGGGCAGCAGCAGTGGGCTGGCTGCCCCTGGCCCAGCAACCCCTGCCCCCGGCACCGGGGGTGAAGGCATCTCGAGGAGATGAGGTTCTGGTGGTGAACGTGAGCGGACGGCGCTTTGAGACTTGGAAGAATACGCTGGACCGCTACCCAGACACCTTGCTGGGCAGCTCGGAGAAGGAATTCTTCTACGATGCTGACTCAGGCGAGTACTTCTTCGATCGCGACCCTGACATGTTCCGCCATGTGCTGAACTTCTACCGAACGGGGCGGCTGCATTGCCCACGGCAGGAGTGCATCCAGGCCTTCGACGAAGAGCTGGCTTTCTACGGCCTGGTTCCCGAGCTAGTCGGTGACTGCTGCCTTGAAGAGTATCGGGACCGAAAGAAGGAGAATGCCGAGCGCCTGGCAGAGGATGAGGAGGCAGAGCAGGCCGGGGACGGCCCAGCCCTGCCAGCAGGCAGCTCCCTGCGGCAGCGGCTCTGGCGGGCCTTCGAGAATCCACACACGAGCACCGCAGCCCTCGTTTTCTACTATGTGACCGGCTTCTTCATCGCCGTGTCGGTCATCGCCAATGTGGTGGAGACCATCCCATGCCGCGGCTCTGCACGCAGGTCCTCAAGGGAGCAGCCCTGTGGCGAACGCTTCCCACAGGCCTTTTTCTGCATGGACACAGCCTGTGTACTCATATTCACAGGTGAATACCTCCTGCGGCTGTTTGCCGCCCCCAGCCGTTGCCGCTTCCTGCGGAGTGTCATGAGCCTCATCGACGTGGTGGCCATCCTGCCCTACTACATTGGGCTTTTGGTGCCCAAGAACGACGATGTCTCTGGCGCCTTTGTCACCCTGCGTGTGTTCCGGGTGTTTCGCATCTTCAAGTTCTCCAGGCACTCACAGGGCTTGAGGATTCTGGGCTACACACTCAAGAGCTGTGCCTCTGAGCTGGGCTTTCTCCTCTTTTCCCTAACCATGGCCATCATCATCTTTGCCACTGTCATGTTTTATGCTGAGAAGGGCACAAACAAGACCAACTTTACAAGCATCCCTGCGGCCTTCTGGTATACCATTGTCACCATGACCACGCTTGGGTGAGTGTGGACTCTGCGTTGGGGGCTGCCCGATTACACTCACCCTTTCTGTAAAATTAGGAAGTTTAAAGGAATGATCTCTTTCTTTCTTTCTTTTTAAATGGAGTCTTACTCTGTCGCCCAGGCTGGAGTACAGTGGCAAGATCTCAGCTCACTACAACCTCTGCTTCCTGGGTTCAAGTGATTCTCCAGCCTCAGACTCCCAAGTAGCTGGGATTACAGGTACACGCCACCATGCCCAGCTAATTTTTGTATTTTTAGTAGAGACGGGGTTTCACCGCGTTGGCCAGGCTGGTCTCAAACTCCTGACCTCAGGTGATCCGCCCGCCTTGGCCGCCCAAAGTGCCGGGATTACAGGTGTGAGCCACCGCGCCTGGCCTCTTTCTCTTTTTGAGCTTCAGTTTGCTCATCTGTACAAACTGAGGGAGCTGGACTTAATTCTTCAGATCCCTCCCAGCTCTGACAATGCCTTGATTTTCTAGGTCAGGAGACTTGGGTTCAAGGATTGTCTTAGCTGCTCTCTTTCTGTTGATGTCGTTTTCTCATGGCCTCAGTTTTCCCCTCTGTAAAATGGGAAATGCTGATCCCTTCATCATCTAGAGAGGATTCAATGACATCATAGTTGTGAAAGTTCTCTGAATGTTTCTGGTGCAGGATACATAGGTGTTGGCTTTCTAGCACCTTTTTCTGTTTTGGGGACCCATGTCTCCCAACCTTCTAGAATTGTCTGCTGTGTGGGGCACTACTTCTGAGCCTTTGTGATTCCTTGATGTTTCCCAGAACAAGATGTTTTCAGCATTTTTATTATTATTATTTTTTTGTCGATCCCTGCAGAAGAAACAGAGTTGGGATAAAAGTATCAAATGGAATCATCGAACTCATGAGCTTTCCAAAGATACTGTCTAGGGCAGATGCTGTGATCCTTCTCTAAGTTTCCATCACTGGGATTGGGTATACAGTTGGTGCTCAGTATCTGTTGAAGGAATGACTGAATGAATTGGGTTTGCTCAGTTTCTTCATAGAGGTACAAAAAAAAGTTGATTTGGGGTTTCTAAAGCGTAGAAACCCCAATTCTGGTTGGAGGTCCAGGATCAGACTGACAAACAAATACTGAGCGCTGACAGTGGGCTGGAACTGAGTATTTTGATGGCTTTTACTCTATTCAAGTCCTCACAACAACTCTGTGATGGTGGATGGCTGCCCATGTCTCACAGTTGAGGACACGCTCTGAGATGACACATCACAGAGCCAGCAATGGCCAAGTTGGAAAGACTTTTGAGCAGAGTCCTGAATGCTTAAAATGAGTGAAAATACCGAAATAAGGAACAGCCATCCTAGGGCACAGCCTGAGAAAAGGCTTAGAGGCTGAAGACTGCAGAGGCTGTGTTTCTCTGGAGGAGTTCTGATTGGTTCTGCGGTCAGAACAAGAGTATGCAGTGTGATCTTGGGCGAGTCAGTTACAGAATCTCCCTGATCTTCAGGGGAGCTCTCTGTGAACAAGTTAGTAAGGTTGGCTCTGCTCTGTCTCTGTGGGAGGTGGGTGGCATGGAGAAAGGCAGGAGGGTTTCAAGGCTCCTCCCTGTTTTGTCATATGTGGACAGTTTTCAAGGATTCCCCTATAGGGGAATGAAAAGGGGTCCTACCTAGAGCAGGTAAGACAGAGGCAGCCAAAACCAACAAAACACTCCTCCCGGGACTTGAAGCCCTTCGGCTGGCCTGTGGTGCTGGGACTCTCTCCCCAGGAGGCTGTGTTCACTGCCTGTGACTTCCTCATGCTCCCCTCTGCTTGGTTTTCATAGATTTCTAGCTGACTCAGGTGCTTGGTATGTAGCTTGGACAGGGGCAGCAGATGGTAGGGGTTGAGGGCCAGGCCCATTTCTCACTTGGCCACCCAGCATTTTACAGAGCAAGAAACTGAGGGACTCAGAAGGTTTGAGTGCCTGGCCAGGGTCACAGAGCTAGTCCGGATTAGATGGGATGGAGTGGGGGACTGAAAGGTAGGTGGGCACTTTTCCTGACCTTGGCCTACCTCCCCTCGCTCCAGCTACGGAGACATGGTGCCCAGCACCATTGCTGGCAAGATTTTCGGGTCCATCTGCTCACTCAGTGGCGTCTTGGTCATTGCCCTGCCTGTGCCAGTCATTGTGTCCAACTTTAGCCGCATCTACCACCAGAACCAGCGGGCTGACAAGCGCCGAGCACAGCAGGTAACCGCACTTTCCATCCGAGCACCTCCTACTCCCCACACCCCAAGCCAGTCTACTTTGGGGCTTACCCACCTGACCTTTTATCTCCTCTCTCTGCAGAAGGTGCGCTTGGCAAGGATCCGATTGGCAAAGAGTGGTACCACCAATGCCTTCCTGCAGTACAAGCAGAATGGGGGCCTTGAGGTGGGTCGGGGCCTGGATAGGGTTGGGGTGAGCCATAACGGGGAGGAAGGTGCTGCCCTTATCGCTCTGCTCCATCTACTCCAGGACAGCGGCAGTGGCGAGGAACAGGCTCTTTGTGTCAGGAACCGTTCTGCCTTTGAACAGCAACATCACCACTTGCTGCACTGTCTAGAGAAGACAACGGTGAGGCCTAATGTGAGGTGATATAGCAGAATAGAGGGGGTCCCTCTGCGGCCATGCCAGCTCTCTCCCTTGGATGGGAGGCTCACTACAAATTGTGGAAATCACACAGAGCTTCCTGGAAGAGGCTACAGGAGAGCCAAGCCTTGAAGAATGGGCAAGGGAAGGGAAGAGGGAACAATGTCCAGAAAGGAGAAAACAGCCTGAGCAAAGGCTTGAGGGTGGGATCAGCTCCCATGGGATGCCCCGTGACCCTGCCTCCCTTCTGCCCATAGTGCCATGAGTTCACAGATGAGCTCACCTTCAGTGAAGCCCTGGGAGCCGTCTCGCCGGGTGGCCGCACCAGCCGTAGCACCTCTGTGTCTTCCCAGCCAGTGGGACCCGGAAGCCTGCTGTCTTCTTGCTGCCCTCGCAGGGCCAAGCGCCGCGCCATCCGCCTTGCCAACTCCACTGCCTCAGTCAGCCGTGGCAGCATGCAGGAGCTGGACATGCTGGCAGGGCTGCGCAGGAGCCATGCCCCTCAGAGGTAAGCAGCCCTCCTACCTGCTAGCCACACCTGGGGAAGCTCAGAGCTTAGACCAGTAGCTCTGAGATTTCATAACTCCAGGCCTAGCAAGTCAAGCTCGAACCCAAACCCCTCCATGCTGGAAGCTTGGGCTTATCTTGTCTGGAACTCATTCTTCATCCATTCTTTTTTTTTTTTTTTTGAGACGGAGTCTCACTGTCACCCAGGCTGGAGTGCAATGGCGGGATCTCAGCTCGCTGCAGCCTCCACCTCCTGGGTTCAAGCGATTCTCCTGCCTCAGCCTCACAAGTAGCTGGTATTACAGGCACACACCACCACGCCCAGCTAATTGTTGTATTTTTAGTAGAGATGAGGTTTTGCCATGTTACCCAGGCTAGTCTCGAACTCCTGACCTCAAGTGATCCACCTGCCTCAGCCTCCCAGAGTGCTGGAATTACAGACATGAGCCACCTCGCCTGGCCTCTTCATCCATTCTTTCACCAAATATTTATTGAGCACCTACTGTGTGGCAGGCACAGTTGTAGGCAACTTGGATGTGGCAGTGAATGAACAGACAGAAGCCCCTGTATCCCAGTCCTCTGGAACTTCTATTCTAGTGGGATAAGACAGTTAATAAACAAATACACAGATTATATAGCATATCAACAGCTGTAAACACCAAGGAGAAAAGTCAGTCAGGGATGGGGGCTAGAAAGCATAGAGCAGGCCGGGCGCAGTGGCTCATGCCTATTATCCCACCACTTTGGGAGGCCAAGGCGAGTGGATAACAGGTCAGGAGTTCGAGACCAGCCTGACTAACATGGTGAAACCCTGTTTCTATTAAAAATATAAAAAACTAGCTGGGTGTGGTGGCGCGCACCTGTAATCCCAGCTACTTGGGAGACTGAGGCAGGAGAATTGCCTGAACCCGGGAGGTGGAGGTTCCAGTGAACTGAGATCACATCATTGCACTCCAGCTTGGGCAACAAGAGTGAAACGCTGTCTAAAAAAAAAAAAAAAAAGCATACAGCAGGGTGGTGATGCAGTTTTTTTTTTTTTTTAGACGGAGTCTTGTTGCTAGGCTGCAGTGCAGTGGCGCGATCTCGGCCCACTGCAACCTCCGCCTCCCGGGTTCAAGCGATTCTCCTGCCTCAGCCTCCCAAGTAGCTGGGACTACAGGCACGTGCCACCATACCCGGCTAATTTTTGTATTTTTAGTAGAGACGGGGTTTCACCATGTTGGCCAGGATGGTATCGATCTCCTGACCTCATGATCCACCTGCCTTGGCCTCCTAAAGTGCTGGGATTACAGGCGTGAGCCACCGCGCCTGGCTGCATTTTTTTTTTTTTTTTTTGAGACGAAGTTTTGCTCTTGTTGCCCAGGCTAGAGTGCAGTGGCGTGATCTCGGCTCACTGCTGCAACCTCTGCCTCCCGGGTTCAGACGATTCTCCTGCCTCAGCCTCCTAAGTGGCTGGGATTACAGGTGTCCGCCACCATACCCAGCTAGTTTTTTATATTTTTATTTTTTTATGTTTATTTTTATTTATTTATTTATTTTTGAGACAGAGTCCTGCTCTGTCGCCCAGACTGGAGTGCGGTGGCGCGATCTTGGCTCACTGGAACCTCCGCCTCCCGGGTTCAAGCAATTCTCTGCCTTAGCCTCCCAAGTAGCTGAGACTACAGGTGCGCGCCACCACGCCCAGCTAATTTTTGTATTTTTAGTAGAGACAGGGTTTCGCCATGTTGGCCAGGCTGGTCTCAATCTCTTGACCTTGTGATCTGCCCACTTTGACCTCCCAAAGTGCTGGGATTACAGGCATGAGCCACCACACCCAGCCAATTTTTTATATTTTTAGTAGAGATGGGGTTTTACCATGTTGGCCAGGCTGGCCTCAAACTCCTGACCTTCAGGTGGTCCACCTGCCTCGGCCTCCCAGAGTGCTGGGATTACAGGTGTGAGCCACCACTCTTGGCTGGTGATGCAGTTTTAGTAGTGTGGTCAGAGAAGGCTTTACTGAGGTGACAACTGAGCCAAGACCTGAAGGAGGCAAAGGAGTGGGCCATGCAGATAACTAGAGGAAGAGCTTTCTAAGCAGAGTGAACAGCCTGTGCAAAGGCCTTGAGGCAGATGTGGGTCCACATTAGAGACATAGCAAGGAAGCTATCATGGGTGGAGGAGAGTGAGCTGGGGGAGACTGGTAAGAGGCAAACTCAGAAAGGAGCGAGGGTCCCACCTTAGATCCTACTATGGACAGTTTGTAAGGACTTGGACACTGTTAGGAGTAACCATGAGAGATAGCATTTTCATATGTATGCACATTGTGTTCCAGACACTGCTCTGAGCACTTCGTATCATTTTTAATCTCATTTAATCTCCACAGCAACCCTATGAGGTGGGAGATAGTGTTCGTCCCATGCTACAGATGAGAGAAGAGAGAGGTTTGGAGTGGTTAAAGTGGGACCAGGATTTGAACCCAGGACTATCTGACTCTAGAGTCCTCACTCTTTACCACCATAATTGGGGATGCAGGAGAAGTACTTAAGTACTTAGCACAGTGCCAGGGACCCAGTAGGTGCTCAATAAATGCCATGATTGCTGTGGCAAGTATTAATTTTTTTTTTTTTTTTGAGACAGAGTCTCACTCTGTCACCCAGGCTGGAGTGCAGTGGTGCAATCTCAGCTCACTGCAAGCTCCGCCTCCTGGGTTCACGCCATTCTCCTGCCTCAGCTTCCTGAGTAGCTGGGACTACAGGTGCCTGCCACCACGCCTGGCTAATTTTTTGTATTTTTAGTAGAGATGGGGCTTTACCGCGTTAGCCAGGATGGTCTCAATCTCCTGATCTCGTGATCCGCCCGCCTCGGCCTCCCAAAGTGCTGGGATTACAGGCATGAGCCACAGCACCCGGCTGATAACTTTTTTTCTTTTTTTTTTTTTGTTGAGACAGAGTCTCATTCCGTCACCCAGGCTGGAGTGCAGTGGTGCAATCTCAGCTCACTGCAACCTCTGCCTGCCGGGTTCAAGCAATTCTCCCGCCTCAACCTCCCGAGTAGCTGGGATTACAGGCATGCGCCACCATGCCCAGCTAATTTTTTGTATTTAGTAGAGACGGGGTTTCATCATGTTGGTCAGGCTGGTCTCGAACTCTTGACCTCAGATGATCCACTCACCTCGGCCTCCCAAAGTGCTGGGATTACAGGCATGAGCCACCGCACCCGGCCTAAGATAACTTTTTAAGAGCCTTCCATCTTCTCCACCCTTGTCCACAGCCGTTCCAGCCTCAATGCCAAGCCCCATGACAGCCTTGACCTGAACTGCGACAGCCGGGACTTCGTGGCTGCCATTATCAGCATCCCTACCCCTCCTGCCAACACCCCAGATGAGAGCCAACCTTCCTCCCCTGGCGGCGGTGGCAGGGCCGGCAGCACCCTCAGGAACTCCAGCCTGGGTACCCCTTGCCTCTTCCCCGAGACTGTCAAGATCTCATCCCTGTGAGGGGTAGGCCTGCTGATTCAGAGGGTCCTCTTCATTTTTGGGAACTCCTTTCCAAAGCCATATTTTTGGGAGGCAGAGAGGGGCAGGCTTGGGCACCCCTTCTGCCCCCCCCACTGAGAACTATGCAATGGAGTTTCATGAAATGGTCCACATAGTGGGGAAGTAGCCAGGAAATGAGAAACTTCCTCCCACCCCAGACATTTTTCCTGGTGGGAGCTGAAGCACTGGGCTTCCACAGGCCCCTGGCCTCCTTGCCCTAGCACACTGGGACTGGCCCCACTCTCCCAGCTGGACTCCTGCATGCTCCTCCCCTTGGGCTCTCAGATGAAGGCAAAGCTTTGATCCGACATCTGAGCTCTAGCCTAAGAAGGAGAGTTGAGATTTCCTCCTCCCTCTGGCTGGGATATGGAGCTTTGGAGGTTCAGAGAAGAGAACCCTCACCTCTGATCTGGCCTCTACGAGAGGTCCTCATCTCCATCTGGCCCAACAATTCCCAGATTCTGAAGCTTGGAATGCAAACACAGGCTTCATGGGCTGTGGCCTCTGCAGCGACCTGCCATCCCCAGGCCTTGCCTGAGGGGTCAGGCTGCCTCTCCCAACACACACTCAGATAGCACAAATTCTACCATCCCCTTCCCTGGCTGCTGGAAATGGACCCCGCAACCCTGTCCTCTGCTGGGCCCCCAGCAAACTCTAGCAATAGCAGCTGCTGCCGTGTCATTATGCAAAGCCTCTGACCAGTTTGCTGCAGCATTTACATCTGCCCTAATCAGAGGGGCCACCTCTAACTCCTCCTCCTCCTCTCTTCTCCTCTGGTTTGCGTCCTTCCTGGGTTGGGCTGGAGTCTGGACTGGCTGAGATAAGAGCCTGGCAACCAGCAAGAGCTGGGCTGTATTTGGAGATCATGGGCTGATTCCATGTTCTTGGGCAACAGTCCAGAAGCATCAGGGGCTCCGGCCTGGGATGTTTCTGAACTTTGGGAGTTATAGGAGACAGGAGGAACTTCTCCTCCTCCTCCTCCCCTACAATTCCTTTTCACATATTCCTTTCTTCTCCCTCTTGGGTGACCTTCCAAAACTCTGCTCTCAGGCTGAAATCTGGCATCATCTCAGGTTCCCTGTCCCCAGCACTGTCCCCATGGAGCTGGTGGCTGACAAAGATGTAGTTTCCATCAGTCAATAAAACCTGAGAGGAGAGATGAGGACTGAGAGTATCTCCTGGCTCTGTGGGTTTGGGGGCTGGGTTGGGCTTGGGGGTTGAAAACACTCTGATTTCAATCCCTTTTGGCTAGGAGAAGGGCTGGTATGGGTCAAGGTATGGGAGATGGATGGTTGGTGATGTATTCTGGAAGATGGGGATCCAGGAGAAATGAAAGAGTGTGGTTTGAGGAGTTCATCTACAGCCAGTGAGACAGGCCAGGGGGTCCTGAGACATTCCTCCTTGGATATCATCTGCGCCAGCTTCCTGATTCACAGATCGGGAAACTGAGACCCAGAGAAACACATAGTTAGTTAGAGGAGGCTTAAACCCAGGCTTCCTGACAGCAAACAACCCTGAATTTAACCCTAATAAAAGCATCACTTTGTTTGGTGAATTTCCCTTCCTTGTGGACGCCCCCTACATTCTCTCTTCTGGGCTACTGGCTACACTAGGCTAGTGTGTGGCTGAGTTCTATAGAGCACTGAGCAGACAGACCATGGATTCAGGTTGATCTGGGTTCCAATCCCTGGGTGAGAGAATCACTTACCTTCTCTTGCCTCAGGTTGCTAGTCTGTGAAATAGGGATAATTCATTTAGTCACCAAATATTTATTAACTTCCATCATGTGCCAGCCCTAGGGATACAAAGGTGGGCAAAGTAGACATTGTCTCTGATGTATAGTTGAGCATGGAAGGCAGACAAGTAATTACAACATGGTGTGGCAGAACTAAGATCCATGTGTTATAGAGGCATGCAGATGGCAGGAGAACTTAACCTGGCCAACACACAGGGAATGAGTTGGAGTTAGCCAGGCAGCAAATGAAAGGATGCAATGTTCTGGGCAGAGGGAACAGCATGTGCAATGACCTGGAGGTTGGAGAGTGAGCTCAGGCCTTTGGGGAACTGAAAGTAGTTCAGTCCAGCTGGGGAGGAGAGTGTGAGGCTGTGAGGAGAGGAAGGATGGAGAGGTAGGCTAGATAATAAAAAGCTTTGAAGCTATGACGCGAATTTTAAACTTCATCCTAAAGATAGTGGGGACCTCTAAAGACTTAAACAGAAAACTCATGATGAAGTTTGTGTTTCAGAATGATCATTCTGGCTGTGGAGAGTGGATATAGAGAAACAGTCCTGGAAGGAAGAAAAGTAGGGTGGAGGCTTTTATAATAGTCCAGGTGGTAGGGGACAGTGGCTTGGACCAGAGTAGTGGCAGTAGAATTGGAGAGTCTAGAGATTTGGGAGGCAGAATTGGCAGGACTTGGGATTGACAGGCATGTGGGAGTTGAGGAAGAGGGAGCAGTCAAAGTTGACTCCCAGTTTCTGGCTTGGACGACGGCTGGATGGGAGTGCTATTCCCTGGTAAAGGGAACATCAGAGCTGTCAGCACTCAGTGCTAGGTACATAGTAAGTACTTGGTGAAGGGTAGCCATGATTGCTATCATGAGTTCAGTTTTAGATGTGTAGTGAGTGAAATATATGGGGCTGGAGTGAGATGATCATGAGAAGATTCAATGTGATAATGTGCATAGGCATTTGGCACAGAGCCCTGAACACAACAGGCCCGGTAAACGTGAAAGTCCCCTCCTATTAAGTCTCATGAGCAGAAAACACTACTTAGAGCCCATTTATTACTTACACCTTTCAGGGAAGAATTTCAACTAGGGTTAGTATCTCAAGGGAGGCAAGGCTATACTCAAAACAGCTTTCCCATGGTCTCTTTCAGTCAACCTGTTGTATGGTTTGTCTCCTAAGACTGGAAGTGAACTCCAAATACCTTCTTGGTTCATCAGCTCATCTGAACCCCATAACCATTCCCTGAGGTAGTCTGGGCAGGTATTATCATTCCTGTTTTACACATGGGTAATCTCAAAAGTGACACAATGACTTGCTCAAGGTCATACAGTTGGTAATGGTCCATCTGTGCCTGGAACTGAGGTCTTTCTGGCTCCAAAGCCTGGGATCCTTCCACTGCACCACCATGCAGACTACTTTATTGAACACTTCCTATGTGCTGGGCACAGCACCAGGCCCTTCACAAGCATTAATCTCTGATCCTCGGATTAGAATTATTGCCAATTTATAGAATAGAAATTAAGGATGGGTGCTCACTTCGCACCACATATACTAAAATTAGAACGATACAGAGATTAGCATGGCACTATGCGAAAGGATGACACGCAAATACGTGAAGCGTTCTATAAAAAAGTAAACAACAACAACAAAAATTGAGGACGGGGTGGGTTTTAAATGACTGACAAAGATCACTCAGACAGGAAGGGCAGAGCTAGGATTAGCGTGTAGCTCTCCAGCTACTCAATAGCAGGGATTCTGCCAACCCCATTTTGAGACGCTGACTGGTGACAGAGCTTTCATAAACCTCGATCGACCCAAGCAAACTCAGTTTTAGAAAAAGGCTGGGCTTGGCCAGGCGCGGTGACTAACGCCTGTAATCCCAGCACTCTGGGAAGCCGAGGCGGGAGGATCGCTTGAGCCCGGGAGCTGGAGATCAGCCTGGGCAACATAGTGAGACTTTGTCCCTACAAAAAAGTGAAAAAAAAATTAGCCGGTCGTAGTGGTGCGCGCCTGTGGTCCCAGCTATTCGGGAGGCTGAGGCGGGAGGATCGCTTGAACCTGGGAGTTGGAGTTTGCAGTGAGCTATGATCGCGCCACTGCATTCCAACCTGGGCGACAGAGTGAGACCCCTGTCTCAATTAGGAAAAAAAAAAAAAAAAAAAAAAAAAAAGGCTGGGCCGCGCCTGCGCACTAGCCATAGGGGCGGGGAGGTCAACGCGAGGCCGAGAGTGCTGTGGTGCCAGAGAAGGCGTGTCTGTTTCCCAAACAACCACTGTCCCCACGGCGCCTGTCTGTCCCAAGGTTGGTCGGTATGCCGCGAGTGACGGCGTCTCTTAACCAATCACCGCAGAACTCAGGCTGTTGCCGGGGCGAAGCGGTGTCCGCCTCCCCCGGAAGGGTATTTGTAGGTGGGTGGGACCGGAAGTGACGCTACAGGGGCCAGCTATGCTCCCGGGAGTGTTGATGTTTTCCAGTCATTCCGGCTGACAGCGTTCAAGTTGGAATCCTGGAGGGGAGGTGTTTTTCCTGTCGTACGTGGGACAGGCCACGCTGTCCGTCCGCAGTACCGACGCCTGCAGGTCAGAGCTTCGGGGAGAAAAGTGAAGAGCAAGACGGAACTGACGGGGAGAAAGGCTGGGAACCAGGGTGTCGACTTTGACTGAAATTTGAGACGGAGGGCACCGGAGGGCGAGCACTCGCCTGTGATTGGCCCGTGGGCGTCGTCGAGGTCCCACGCAGCTGCTCAATTGGTTGGTGTTGCAATTGTTGTGGCGGCGGCGGCGGCGATTTTGCCCACGTACTTCCGAGTAAGGGGCGGGGCTGTGCCCTGGCGCGCGTGCGCAGCGCCCCGGGGCCCCACCCGGTAGTGCAAGAACCTGCGAGGGGGCGGAGCGAAGAGGTGCTTGTTTTGGTTCTGTTTCCTTTGAAGCAGAAGGCCGGAACAAGCGTAGCAATAAACTTGCTGGACTTGGAGAGAAGGCTAAGACAAACTCGCCGCACTGCCTTCATCTTGGACTTTACATCCGGGTTCTCCTCTCGGCGTGACCCGCGCGCCGCCACCGCCGCCGCCGCCGCCGCCGCCTCCTCCGCCGCCGAGGGTTCTCGAACCGGTGCCGCGATCCCTTTATCCGGGTCTCGCCGTTCCCGTCGTGCCTCGCGCACTACACTAGCCCCCTCATCCGGGTTCTCTCCCGGCGTGCCCCGCGCCGGGTTTGTTGGGGGGTACTCGGCAGTGCAGCCATGACTATACTCCCCAAAAAGAAGCCGCCGCCTCCCGACGCCGACCCCGCCAACGAGCCGCCGCCGCCCGGGCCGATGCCCCCGGCGCCGCGGCGCGGCGGAGGTGTGGGCGTGGGCGGCGGCGGCACGGGCGTGGGCGGCGGCGATCGCGACCGTGACTCCGGCGTCGTGGGGGCCCGTCCGCGAGCTTCGCCACCGCCTCAAGGCCCGCTACCAGGACCGCCGGGCGCTCTTCATCGCTGGGCGCTGGCCGTGCCGCCTGGTGCAGTGGCGGGTCCCCGGCCACAACAGGCTTCTCCACCTCCTTGCGGGGGCCCAGGTGGTCCCGGCGGCGGTCCCGGCGACGCGCTGGGCGCAGCGGCGGCGGGTGTGGGTGCCGCGGGCGTGGTGGTGGGTGTGGGTGGTGCCGTAGGCGTGGGCGGCTGCTGCTCCGGGCCTGGGCACAGCAAGCGGCGACGTCAAGCTCCCGGGGTTGGCGCGGTTGGCGGGGGCAGTCCCGAGCGTGAGGAGGTCGGCGCAGGCTACAACAGTGAGGACGAGTATGAGGCGGCTGCAGCACGCATCGAGGCTATGGACCCTGCCACTGTCGAGCAGGTAAGAGCTGTGGGGTGAGGGGTGAGCGGCCACGGCAGATGGGACCCCCAGACTGTGAAGGGACTCAAGGAAGGCTGTTTGAGATCGCCCCAAGGGATCTAGGCGTTTTCACTGGGCCTGACAGTCTTCTCTGGCGGTAGGGATGTGAGACACCTTCTTTCCTCCCCTCCAGGATTTTGGGGCTAGAGGCCTACGGTAAGGTGTCAGACTTAAAGATCCGAGGTCTCTTTTAAGGTCTATAGTCGTCATTCCAGTCCCTGGGACCTCATCATATAGGGCCAATAGGTGGGAATTCTCCAAGAGATACAGGTAGGATCGCGCCCCTCTTGAGTAGGAGTCTCAGGTCTCCCAAGAGACTTAGGTATGTGTTCAGTGGCTTAAGAGCTCTTTTCCTCTGGGATAGAAGTTTGAGATTCCCCTTCCAGGAAAGTCAAATAAGGTGGAGACCTCGGAGATCGGGGCTGAACATCCCCAAGGAGCCTAAGCCCTTTCAAGAGTCTGAGACACTCTGCATATAGGACAATCCTCTCCCGCTTCGCTGGGTAACACTGCACAGGACCACTGAATAGCCAGACCTGAGACCTCAAGGGTCCTAAGTCTGTCTTCAGGGGCCTGAGAGTCCTGCTTCTAGAATCAAGGTCCTGACACACACACACACACACACGCCCCCTTTAAGGATAGGGATCTTCTAAGCTTTTTCCAGGGATGTAAGACTTTTCACAGGGAGATATGATTCCCTTGCCCTTGGGGACAGGGACCAAAACCAACACCCAATGACCAGCAGCTTTACTTATCTCCTTTCTGAGTGACAAAGGTCTGCATTTCCTATCAGTGGCCTGAGACCTACCTCTTGGGAGACAAGGGCCTGAACCGCTTCAGGATCTTAAGCTTCTTGTAAGAAGAGATGGGCCCTCAGCACCCCCACCAGGGGCCTGAACCTTTCTTCAGGAAAATGAGACTCACAGCGTTGGATCCTAGGGCCTAAGATCCACCTGCTTATGGACTGAGGTTTTTAGAGACCGAGTCTGAGGCCTCTTCAGGGGCCTGGTGTCCTGCTGCAAAGGTCTCAGACAAGGTGAAGTCTTTAGGAGATCCTTCTTCTCAAGGCTGGTGTCTGAGTGGTTTTGGGGATCTGAGACTCCCCACCCCACGAGCATATGTGACCCTTTTACCCCAATTATAAGGAACTGAAACATACCTTGGGGATACAGTATCCCATTTTCCCCTCTGTAACAGGGGTTTGAGGCCCTCCCACCTTGGGCCTAAGCTTTTTGTCAGGGACATACGACCCATGCCTTGGGAACTTGAGCCTGAGACGACTACTCAGGGGACATGGGCAACATGGGATCCCAGAGATGATGTCTGGGGCCTCCCTACAGATCTTTGCCTACTTTTAAGGGCCTGAGACCCACTCTGCCAAGGACACTTGAGCTTTCCTTCAGGGACAGGAGACTCATACATACCTTGGTGACTTGTGTGTCTAGAGGTAAGGTCTGAGCTTCCTCCTCAAGGAACTTAAGATGTACACCTGAGAAACAGGAGGACTCCTCCCCCCAGACCTGAGCCCTGAGACTCTTCCCTTGGGGCATGGATAAAGGATCCCTGTGGAACAGGGTCCTGAGTCTACCTCCAAGGGTTTGAATCATAACTCAGGTGTGTGAAGGCCTGTTCCCCACCTTAGGACCTGATTTCTGAACCTGCCCTGAGGGTACTGTCACCTCACCTCAGACAACTTACATACACCCTAGTCTTAGGGGTCATTTAGGGACATAAGACTTCCTGCCTCGGGGACTTGGGCCTTAGACTCCCAACTCCTTTTGGGGACATGAATAGGGTAGGATTCTGAGGAAAAGAGTCTGGGCCCAAGCTTTCTCTCTGGGACAAGATACCGTTTGCCTTAGGGACTGGGGGCCTGGCTCCCACTTGGGCATGAGGCTCTCCTCCTACCACACCAGGCAATCCTTTCTGTCCAGGGAGAGGAACGTGAGGTCATCCTCTCCCATTGGACAGAAGGACCTGGATGCTCTTCAGGGTCATATGAACCCCTTATCCAGAGCTCCCTCGTGGCCAGGGCCAAGAAGGTCCTCCTACTTTCTATGAGAAGATTGTCAGGTCCTGGGGACATGGAGTCTGGAGCCTCCCTTCTGAAACCAAGAGCGATTCCGAGTCTCTCCCTGACCTAGCTATGCTTGCTTCTCACCTCTAGGTCATATAATAAGTTTTGAACTGCTTTTGACAAGCTTTTTTCTTCCCAGGGACAGGAAAGGGGTTTGGGACATCGCCACTCTGGGGAAATTCTCCTCCCACATTCCTTTTCCCCTTGGCTCAGGTAAATCTTTCTGTACTTCACAGGGGCCCCAAGCCTTGTCTTGAGCTCCTTGTTCTTGGTCCCTTCCTCCCATCATTAATTCTGGCACGATAAGCCATTTGTACTCAAGGGTCAGGACCAGTTATTTCTTCTCTCTCTGGTTGGGTAGTTTCTTTCCTCCTCTAGAAGCAGGGAGCCATACATCACTGGTCCTAGGGACAGAGGAAAAACATCCTATGCAGCCATGATAATTCAAAAACACCTCCTTACTCCCCTCCCTTGCGATACATCCCTGGTCCCAGGGACAGAGAGAAAGAACATCCTATGCTGCCATGGTAACTCAAAAACACTTCCTTATGCCCCTTGCAGTCCCTCCCTTATACTTGTCCCCATAAGAACATAAGAGTAAGCCGGGCATAGTGGCGCATGCCTGTAGTCCCAGCTACTCGGGAGGCTGAGGCGGGAGGATCACTTGAGCCCTGGAGTTCAAGACCTGCTTGGCAACATAGCGAGACCTCATCTTTACTAATAAAAAAAAAAGAATATGAAAATCAAGTTTTGTGGGTTCATGAAACCTGCCCTTCCCAATGACAGGAGAGGCTTTCTGTCCCCACACTTCTTAGGACAAAGAAGGTGATCCTCTTCTCCCTGCCTCACCTGGTCCAACTTGAGAGCTTTTGGGGATGAGAAGAGGGAAGATTCCTCCTGCCACCCCAGTCTTGGTCCTAAACTGTCACTAGGGGTGGTTGTAGCCTGGAGGTCAGTTGGATCCCTTGGGAAGAGAGGCGTCGTTGAGGGGGAGTCTAGATGGCGATTCTGGGGTTCTGACTACTTGGGCTTCCTCTTTGTCCTGATTCTCTTGTATCCCTACTTCCTTTAGGAGTCTTTTTGGCACTCTGGGGTCCAGGTGCTGGGTGGGTGGTGATGTCAGGGGTTCCCAGGCATGGCTGCCTTGCTGAGAGTCTGCTCTATGAAAAGGTTGGCCTGTAAGCATCCTGAGTTTGGAGACCCCACAGAGCTCTTTGAGAAGGGGCATGTGAACTGAGGTGGTGGAAAAAGCTGGGTGTGGCACGGTAGTTGGTGCCTGGGTTCCAACTCTGGGTCTTTCAAGGCTTTGCTGGATGAACCAGGGTAGGTTCTACCTATGCTCTCTGGGCCTCAGTTTCCTCACTGGCCAGGCAAAATGCTGGTGAGGTGTTGTTTAGCTTTGGGATTTTAGGGAACTCAGTCCAAAGTTCTCTGGACCTGGAGGTGGCAAAGAATGGTGGATGTCTTTTGAGGAGGAACTGGGTTTCTCCCCTCTCTTCCTGGCTCCTCTGTTCCCTCTCAGCCATCCAAGCTTGGTGGGCAGGACAAGCAGCCTGTTTTGTGTGAGGCTCAGGGTTGATGAACAGCCATTTTTTGTGGGCAGCCATGTTGTAATGAACAAGCTCGATGGGATTTCCTGTCAGGAGGCCTGTTGGATAGTGGTGTAGAGAGGTAGAGTTGTGTGTGGAGTTTGGGCTTTGGAGCAAGGCAAGCTTTGAGCCATCATCCCTCAATTCTCTCATCACCTCCAGACCTCAGCATCTCCTCCTTACCTGCTTTATAGCTTTAGGCAAACTACTTGCCCCCTCAGCTGCCCATTTTGCAAAAGTTTGTCCATGCCCAGGTGTGTCTGACCTTGCACACCTTGGACCTTGGCCGGTTCTTCCTCTTGCCCAGAATGGGCAGTTTGCCCCAGGGTCATCTTGGTTCTTCCTAGGAGCCTTTGTCCACTCCTAGTAACCTATCTTTGATAGCAAAGGCCCTTCATTTGGCATCTAGGAACCTGCTGATTTCTTGGGCTCTTCTTACCCCAACTGGAATTGGGTAGCTAGCTGGTGGGGAAGCAGGAAGGGGTCTCTGCCCAGGCAACGTGGATTTGAGTCCTGTTTCTGCAGTAAGCTTTTCTGTGGTCTTCAGGCAGTTCTCTTTTCTGGTTCTTGGTTTCTCCCTCCATGAAATGGGTAGTGTTGAGGAGGGAGGTTGGACTCATTGCTCTGAAGCAAGTTATAGTCTCCTCCCTGCTCCCACTCCCCTCACCCTTCATGAAAGTTTTAAGTGGGACCCCTTGGCCTTTGGGGATTGTGCTAGGACATTTCAAGCAGTGTTCAGCGTCCTTGGCTGGTGCTGAGCCCTTGGGTGTGTTTCTTTTAACAACTTTAATGAGATGTAATTCATGTACCATACTATTCACCTCTTTGAAGTGTACAGTTCAGTGGCTTTTAGTATATTCACAGATTTGTGCGTCCATCACATCACTACAGTCCATTTTAGAACATTTTCATCACCTTAAAGAGAAATCCAGCACTCTTTAGCTATGATCCCCCAATTTCCTCATCCCTTTCCAGCCTCTGGCAACCACTAATCTACTTTCTGGCTTGATTGATTTGTCTGTTCTGGATGTTTCATGTAAATGGAATAATAGAATATGCAGTTGTTTGTTACTTGGCTTTTTTCACTTAGCATAATATGTTCAAGGCTTATCCATGTTGTAGCATACATCAGTGCTTCATTCCTTTCTATTACTGAATAACAGGACCTTGGGTTTTTTTGTTTTTTGGTTTTTGTTTTTGTTTTTGTTTTTTTTTTAAGGTGGAGTCTTGCTCTGCTGCCCAGGCTGGAGTGCAGTGGCGCAATCTCAGGTCGCTGCAACCTCCGGCTTCCGGGTTCAAGTGATTCTCCTGCCTCAGCCTCCCAAGTAGCTGGGGCTACAGGCATCTGCCACCACACCCGGCTAATTTTTGTATATTTAGTAGAGATGGGGTTTCACCATGTTGGCAAAGCTGGTCTCCTGAACTCCTGACCTCAGGTGATCTGCCTGCCTTGGCCTCCCAAAGTGCTGGGATTACAGGTGTGAGTCACCGCACCCTGCCAATCTTAGAGGTTTTTAATCCCCCTGCCCTCAGTGGCCTAGCCAAATGTTGGGGCCTTGCTCTTCTCCCCTTCTGCCCTGGAGGGCTTGTGTTGGTCCTTAGAGAGTAGTGTGTCTATGTTCCTCGTTGGATGGGTTGCCTGTGTGTGTTTTTTTTTGAGATGGAGTCTCACTCTGTCCCCCAGGCTGGAGTGTAGTGGCGCGATCTTGGCTCACTGCAACCTCCACCTCCCAGGTTCACACCATTCTCCTGCCTCAGCCTCCCGAGTAGCTGGAACTACAGGTGCCTGCCACCTCGTCTGGCTAATATTTTTGTATTTTTAGTAGAGACAGGGATTCACTGTGTTAGCCAGGATGATCTCGATCTCCTGACTTCGTGATCCGCCCACCTCGGCCTCCCAAAGTGCTGGGATTACAGGCGTGAGCCACCACGCCTGGCCCCCTGTGTTTTGTCCATGGAGCCAGGCTAGTGTTCCTGGGTGCTTTGCTGGAGGGGGTGGTCTTGGCACCAGGGCTGCTGGGACAGAGCTGTGAGTCACAGAATGCTAAACACCTTTTGACCATAGGCTCTGGGAAGACATCTGTCCATGAACTGCCACTGCTGCTGCCATCTTTTGCCCCCCCACCCCACCCCCACTTCAGTGGCAGCTCATCCATCCATAGGCAGGGTCAGTAGTTTCCCAGGGTGAGAAGGGAGATTCCAGGCCCCTGCTGCCTTAATTCTAACCTCCCACCCTGGAGGATGGTAGGCAGGTGGACCTTGCAGAGCGGGATCCATGCCATATTGTCTCACACCTGTGAGGCACTAGGGAACAGACACCAAGGAGTGCTACCAAGGGGGGTGTGTTAGTTTCCTGTGGCTGTTGTGACAAATGTTACCACAGACTGGGTGGTTTAAAACAACAGAAGTTGGCCGGGTGCGGTGGCTCACCCCTGTAATCCCAGCACTTTGGGAGGCCGAGGCGGGTGGATCACGAGGTCAGGAGTTCAAGACCAGCCTGGCCAAGATAGTAAAACCCCATCTCTACTAAAAATATAAAAATTAGCTGGGTGTGGTGGTGGGTGCCTGTAATCCCAGCTACTCGGGAGGCTGAGGCAGAGAATTGCTTGAACCCAGGAGACGGATTGGAGGTTGCAGTGAGGTGGGGGTTGCAGTAAGCTGAGATTGCGCCACTGCACTCCAGCCTGGGTGACAGAGCGAGACTCCATCTCAAAAAAAAAAAAAAAAAAAAAAAGAGAGAGAGAAGTTTATTCTGTCACAATTCTGGAGGCCAGAAGTCCACAATCAGTTTCACTGCATCCAAATCAAAGTGTTGGCAGGGCCACACTCCTTCTGGAAGCTCTCAGGGAGAATTTAGACCTTCTCTAGCCTCTCGTGGCTGCCAACATTCCTTGGTTTATGACTGCATCATTCTAATCTCTGCCTCCATCTTCACCATCGCCTTCTCTGTATATGTGGTTTCCTTTTCTGTCTGTATCAAATTTCCCTCTGTCTCTCTTTTATAAGGACACTTGTGATTGCATTTAGGTCCTACCTGATACTCTAAGATAACCCCCCATCTCCAGATTTAATAATGTAAGTTAATTACATCTGCAAACACTTTTTTTCTTTTCTCTTCTCTTTTTTTTTTTTTTTTTGAGGTGGAATCTCACTCTGTCACCCAGGCGCAGTCTCGGCTCACCGCAACCTCCGCCTCCTGGGTTCAAGCTATTCTCCTGCCTCACCCTCCTGAGTAGCTGGGATTGCAGGCGCCCACCACCACACCTGGCTAATTTTTGTATTTTTAGTAGAGATGGGGTTTTGCCATGTTGGCCAGGCTGGTTTCAAACTCCTGACCTTAGTTGATCCACCCGCCTCGGCCTCCCAAAGTGCTGGGATTACAGGCATGAGCCACTGTGCCCGGGCTTTTCTTTTCTTTTCAGACAGTGCTGGCCTCTGTCACCCAGGCTGGAGTGCAGTGGCGTAATCTTGGCTCACTGCACCCTCCACTTCCTGGACTCAAGTGATCCTCCAGCCTCAGCCTCCTGAGTAGCTGGGACCACAGGTGCGAGCCACCATGCCCGGTTAATTTTTGGTGTTTATTTATTTGTTTTTGAGATGGAGTCTCGCTGTGTCACCCAGGCTGGAGTGCAGTGGTGCTATCTCGGCTCACTGCAACCTTCGCCTCCCAGGTTCCAGCGATTCTCCTGCCTCAGCCTCCTGAGTAGTTGGGATTACAGGCGCCTGCTACCATGACCAGCTAATTTTTGTATTTTTAGTAGAGATAGGGTTTCACCATGTTGGCCAGGCTGGTCTCGAACTCCTGACCTCAGGTGATCCACCCGCCTCGGCCTCCCAGAGTGCCGCGATTACAGGCGTGAATCACCGTACCTGGCCTGTATTTTTTGTAGAGATGAGATTTCACCATGTTGCCCAGGCTAGTCTTGAACTCTTGAGCTCAAAGCGATCTGCCTGCCTTAGCCTCCCAAAGTGCTGGGATTGCAGGCATGAGCCACGACGCCTGGCCCTACCTTTTTCATTATAAGGTAACATTTACAAGTTCCAGGGGGGTTAGGGTTTGATATCTTTGCGTGGCTATTAATCAGCCTACTAGAGAGGCTTTTTTCCCTCCTGGGGAAGGGAAGGGAACTCATTAAGTGGTCTCTTACTGGGCAAAGCCCTGTAATATTTGAGTCTGCCCAGCATCCCTATTATTGGGAGGCTTGGTATCCCCATTCACAGATTGGAAAACTGTGGCTCAGAGCAGTTCATCATCACATGGCTAATAATTGGTGGAGCTAGATTGGAACCTAAGTCAGTTGGGTTCCACAGCCTGCTCCAACTTCACTTGGGCCCTTAGACCACTAGGTTACAGAATCTTGCCTCAGCTCCTGGGATCCTCTGGTGTTAGGGAGCTTTACTCAGCCTTTTTGTGGAGGCTCAAAGATATGGAGGGATTTTCCCATAGGCTCAGCGATGAGTTTGCAAGGTTCACAATCTCCTCAGGCCAGGGCATTGTTGGAGCTTAAACTTATCTATGGCTGAGCTATCCCCTACCCCCCACCCCTACTAGCCCTTCCTGAGCAACATTTTCTCCCCAAAAGGAGAAAGAGAAGGGCCAGAGCCCAAACTCCTCAGGCTGCTGATGACAAAGCCAGTGGGTGGCTAGCAGTCCAGCCTCTAGATCCAAGCCTGGATGCCAGTTTGACTGCCCCAGGACCCAAACCCTGCAGTGCGAGGGGCCTATTCAGGTCTCTTTCATGTTTAGAGACAAACCAGGATATTCTGTGGATGGGCTGCAAGGTATGTCCTCCATGCTGTGGCTCGTGGGGGCCTTCCCTGTTGCCTCTACACTAGGCTTTGCTGGTATCCAAACTCCAGCTCCTTTCTCTTTCTGCCTTTGTTTTTTTGTTTTTTGTTTTGTTTTTGTTTTTGTTTTTGAGACATAGTCTTGCTCTGTTGCCCAGGCTGGCTGGGGTGCAATGGTGCCATCTCGGCTCACTGCAACCTCCACCTCCCGAGTTCAAGCGATTCTCCTGTCTCAGCCTCCCAAGTAACTGGGATTACAGGCACACGCCACCACGCCCTGCTAATTTTTTGTATTTTCAGTAGAGACAAGGCTTCGCCATGTCGGCCAGGCTGGTCTTAAACTCCTAACCTCAGATGATCCTTCCGCCTTGGCCTCCCAAAGTGCTGGGATTACAGGCGTGAGCCACCGTGTCTGGCCTCCTTTCTGCCTTTGTAAAGTGAGGGTAATGTTTCCTGCCACCTGGGCTGTGGTCAGGAAAATTAAACGAGGTCACCCTTTGCATCTGGCATGGGGCAGGTATTCAGTTAATATGAGTTCATCTTTCTTCCTGGTCCTCCCTGCTTACCTGCCTAGTACTACCCAGAACTTTAGCTCTACTGAATTCATTGCTGGGCTCCAGGCATTCCTGGTACTTCGTGGCAGAAGTGACTTCATTTCTCATCCAGTTAACAAGCATTTTTGGAGGTCTTGGTGTTTTAATCCTTTGGTCAGGTGGCACCTCCTCTCAGGTGCTAGCCTTAATGACTGTGTTTCTTTTTTTCTTTTTTTTTTTTTTCCTTGAGACAGAGTTTTGCTCTTATTGCCCAGGCTGGAGTGCAATGGTGCGATCTTGGCTCACCACAACCTCCGCCTCCCGGGTTCAAGCGATTCTCCTGCCTCAGCCTCCCGAGTAGCTGGGATTACAGGCATGCACCACCACACCTGGCTAATTTTGTATTTTTCAGTAGAGACGGGGTTTCTCCATGTTGGTCAGGCTGGTCTCAAACTCCCGACCTCAGGTGATCCGCCCACCTCAGCCTCCCAAAGTTCTGGGATTACAGGTGTGAACCACCGTGCCTGGCCCAATGACTGTGTTTCTTTTCTTTTCTTCTTTTTTTTGAGACAGAGTCTCACTCTGTCGCCTAGGCTAGAATACAGTGGTATGATCCCGGCTCACTGCAACTTCTGTCTCCCAGGTTCAAGCGATTCTTCTCCCTCAGCCTCCTGATTTAGCTGGGATTACAGGCATGCACCACCATGCCCAGTTAATTTTTTTTTGTATTTTTTAGTAGAAACAAGGTTTTACCATGTTGGCCAGGCTGGTCTTGAACTCTTGATCTCAAGTGATCCACCTGCCTCGGCCTCCCAAAGTGCTGGGATTACAGGCGAGAGCCACTTCGCCCAGCCTCTTTCTGTTTCACAACACCTGGCATTTACATTTTTCACAGCCTTGTTCATACCTTGTGGTGGTTACCTGTTTCCCTACCCCTCTGCTAAGTAGTTTGTGAGCTTATCAAGAGTGGAGACTAAGTCTGATTCATTTCACTGTCCTCACTGCCCAGCCCAGTATCTTACTTAGTAGCTACCTGGTAAGTCTTTCTTGAATGGATAAGTAGGAGCCCCTCTCCTGTTTGATCTCCTTTTCTCCTCTCTTTTTCCCCTCTCTCCAAAGCCAGGAAGTCGCTGTGTTCCCTTCTTTTTAAGAACCTATTCTTGTGTCAGGTTTGGGACTATAGTTGTGGTTGCACCATCCCTGCTGGAGACCCCTGGCTGGGGCAGGCCCATGACTCTGGGAGATGGCTGACCATGTGTGGCCAGGATGGACTTGGGCATAACTGGCTGGAGTGTGTTAATCCACAGGCTTGGGGGCAAGGAGGGACACCTGGACCACTGGAATGTTGTGCACAAACAGGAGTCCTTGTGCTGCGCATGGAAGCTCATTAAGGGCTTCCAGGTGTCTTTGTCATCTCTAGAAATCCAGCCACATTTTCCTGGGGTGTGGGCCCTGATGATGGGACTGGCTGGGTATTCCCTTGTCACCTCTTCCTCCCCTCCTGTCCCGCTACTCACCTGGGACTTTCTGAGGGTCTCTCAGTTGTGCATAATCTCTGTGCTGATCTCCTCCCCTTCTGTGATTGGCGACAACTTCCCCTAGTATATGGTACGTTATTTACAAAGCTTCTTTAGGTCCTGAAACTCCTCACAGCTCTGTCCGGTAGATCAACATATCCCCCATTCTATAGGAAACTGAGAGTGATAACAGACAGCAAGTGTGTGGCAAAGCTGGGGTTGGAACCCAGAGCTCTTGCGTTCCAAACCTTGTGCTTACAACTTTGCCAGAGATGCTTCTCCTCTGGCTTTCTTAGGGGATGGGTTCCACCCCTTGCTTGAGCTGGGGAAAAATGGCCTTACGGATAGGTGGGCCCCTATGTCTGGTCTCTAATACCCCAGATCCTATAAATCCCTGGGCAGGCCTGTGTCCACAAGGAGCAGGCTTGGGATCCTGTAGTTTGCAGCCTTGTTGCTAGGTCAGGCTGGCTGCTTCTGGTAGCCAGCAGAGGGCGTGAGGGGCCCAGGAAAGGTCTGCTGCTTCTGGTTGGTTTTGTTTTGAAATGAAAATTATGTTTTAAGAGGTTATATGGTCATTATTTTTTTAATTAAAAAATAGGCATTTGTACAGGTTCATTTAAGTTGAACCTTCGTGGTGCCAGGTGTGCTTTGGAATTTAGGAAAAAAACAATTTATAAAACTTACCTGGTGTGTATACTTTGTGTTACATAACACCTCCAGCAGGGTCTGAGGCAGCACCTCATAATCAAACACCTGAATGTTTTCTGCATTGAAATATTTGAATATTTACCCCAAGTGGGATAAATAGATTCTTGTCAGTTCTGGTCAGGTTATGATGCCAAATGAATTAGATAAAGACTTTTGGGCCGGGCACAGTGGCTCATGTCTGTAATCCCAGCACTTTGGGAGGCCGAGGTGGGTGGATCACGAGATCAGGAGATCGAGACCATCCTGGCTAACATGGTGAAACCCCGTCTCTACTAAAAATACAAAAAATTAGCCAGGCATGGTGGCAGGCGCCTGTAGTCCCAGCTAGTCGGGAGGCTGAGGCAGGAGAATGGCATGAACCCGGGAGGCAGAGCTTGCAGTGAGCCGAGATAGTGCCACTGCACTCCGGCCTGGGCAAAAGAGTGAGACTGCATCTCAAAAAAAAAAAAAAAAAAAAAAGACTTGATTTTCAAAGCTTTTTGGGTTTAGTGTAACTTTATAAAAGGGAAAGTGCAATAAAATCGCTGATAACACCAGGACTTAGGGATATTTTGCTGTCTAGCCTTCCCAATTTTGTGTACGTGTGTTTGTATACATACATATGTATATATGTGTAGATATCTGTTAAATGTGTTCAGTCACAGATGAGAACATTGTTTGCACACTTTTGCCTTCTAGAGTATATCTCTTTTTTTTTTTTTTGAGACAGAGTTTCGCTCTTGTTGCCCAGGCTGGAACGCAATGGGGTGATCTTAGCTCACCGCAACCTCTTACCTCCTGGGTTCGAACGATTCTCCTGCCTAAGCCTCCCATGTAGCTGGGATTACAGGCATGCACCACCACGCCTGACTACTTTTGTATTTTTATTAGAGACGGGGTTTCTCCATGTTGGTCAGGCTGGTCTCGAACTCCCGACCTCAGGTGATCCACCCACCTTGGCCTCCCAAAGTGCTGGGATTACAGGTGTGAGCCACCATGCCCGGCCTACAGCATATCTTGGAATCCTCTAGCCCTTTGTCAGGTTCAGGATCTAGGCTCTTGCTAGTTACCCCCTCTTCACCACCTTTCCTAGATGAAACTCCTTGAGGTAGAGCCACATTCTCCACCCAGGCACTTGCTGGGTCTGAGTCTCTGGCTGCCTGAGGCAGTGTGGCTCCCTGGGCCAGGCCCTGCAAGGTCAACAGAAGCCATAAGGCATATGGGGCCACTGTTCTCAGGGCACCTAGGACCCTTTTGGAAGTAAGTCTTAGTTTCACTCAGCAACTAATTCCCTAAAAGAGTCTCCTACTTCACATGCATGGAGTGGTCAAACAGGGCTGAGAACTTTACCTTGGCCAGCGTCCTCTCTGTCAATGATCTAGGCCTCTCGGGAGCTTGAGGTCGGGGCCCTGGGGAGGGAGTACAGGTTTTCCCTGTTGCTGACCCCCACCTCTTCCCTCCAGCAGGAGCATTGGTTTGAAAAGGCCCTACGAGACAAGAAGGGCTTCATCATCAAGCAGATGAAGGAGGATGGCGCCTGTCTCTTCCGGGCTGTAGGTGAGTCTCTGCCTTAGTCCTTAAGGGCCTAGGGCTGCCCCTAAGCTGTGTCCCAGTTATCAGGAATAGCCCCTGAGACAGGGTTGAGGCAGAGCTAGCTAATCTTTTAGGGACTCTAGGCTCCAGCCTCAAGTTGGTATCTGACCTCTAGCCGTGGGTCTTGAGACATTGTAGTGGTGCAAGATTAATATGCATAATAACAGCAAGAAGAATGATAAAGAAAATAATATCCTTTGGGACACATTGTCAGGTGCTACAGGAAACCTCTTTGATTCCCCTCTAAGCTAGGTGAGTGTAGGGACTACTGTTGCTTCCATTTGTCAGATGAGAAAAGTGGCTCAGAGATGGTGGGTGACTTGTCTGGAGTGAAATAATAAGTGGTAGAGTTGGGATTCAGTGTCTGGGTTAGATTAGTCTGAGGCCCATGCTCTTAACCATAGCATACTGCTGCCACCCTGGGCTGTATGACCCCTAGGTTTATACCCAGATCCCATCTCTGGTGTGTTGCGGGTCTCTGTTCCTCAATCTGTGTGTATGGGGGCTATCAGACTAGATCTTTACAAATTTCTTATATCATAGAATTTTTTTTCAACTTATATAAAAGTAGAGAGAATGATGAACCCTCATGTACCCATCATCCAGCTTCAAAATAGTCAATACGTGGCCAGCCTTGTTTCATCACTATCCCGCCCACTCTTTCTCACTCCCCTGAAAGAAGAGTATTTTTAAAGCAAAACCCCGACATTGGATCATTTCATTCATAAATATTTCTGTATGTTTCTCTGACAGATACAGACTTACTCTCTTCTTTTTAACATAATCAAAATGCCATTACTGCACCTAACAGAATTAATAATGCCTTAATACCATCTGTTATCCAGTCTGAGTTAGATCTTTGAGGCCATTTTGGCTCTGAATCTGTGACCCAACAAGTAGTTGTGAGGTCCTGTGCTAGGGTGAAGGGGAAGCTGGGAATGTGACCTGATCCTCCCTGTGGTTCTCTGATATCTACCAAGGAAAAGTGCCCTCTGATAGGAGCTTTGAGCTGGGAGTCAGAAGACCTACCTTCTAGTTCTGGCCCTGACTCATAACTGCTGTGACACTTGGCCTTGGTCTTCCCGTCTGTGAAATGGTGTTGATTCTCAATGCCTCTTTGAGTTCCTTCTTGGTCTGCTATTCTCTCCGTCTGTGGGTACCCCCCATGTCTACTGGTGGGCTGGGGTGTTTTAGGCTCCATCCCTGGCTGCACAACTGATTCTTGGTATGACCTTAGGCAAGCAGCTCTTCTTTCCTGAGGCTGTTTCCTCATCTGTAAAATGGGGCTAAAAGACCCTAATGCTGTAACGATTTAATGAAGTTGCTTTGGTAAATCCCTTTAGTGCCTGACACATATAGTAGACCCTCATGGAACAGTAGCATTTGTAAAACCCAGATGCCATTTTCACTGGTGCCTCAGAGTCACATGTGTTTGTTGAAAGGGTGGAGTGAATGGTCTCCTCTCTATTCTGCCAAGCAGAAGAGGCTCAGGCAATGGGCTCTATTGGACTGGGAAAAAACTTATCCCTCCTACCCCTCTGGCTCAAGTTTGTGTTTTCCCTGGGATGTTTCCCAGAGGAAGAGCTGGGTTTCGGGGCATCTTGGACAAAAGAAAGGCAAAGAAAGAATAGGTGGGGGCCTGTTAGGTGCTAGGCCCTGTGTTGAGACCTCAGGCTAGATGTGGGGTAAGCAGGGCTTCTGGTGGAGTTAGGATTAGAGAATGCAGCGGGCATCTGAGTCTTGGGCAGTCATTGAGGGTAAGCCTTGGGACTGGCTAGTGAGGACCTGGCTTGTGTAGTAACTCATATCAAGAGCCGTGTGTGTGTGTGTGTGTGTGTGTGTGTGTGTGTGTGTATCTAGCTAGCTGTTCTCTGTGTGTGTGTGTGTGTGTGTGTGTGTGTGTGTGTGTATGTGTGTGTGTATCTAGCTAGCTGTTCTCCCCAAATACCCCCGACCCTTGGGGCTAGCTAGTGAGGACCTGGCTTGTTGTAGTAACTCGTATCAAGAGCAGTATTTGTGTGTGTGTGTGTGTCTATATGTATCTAGCTGTTCTCCCCAAATACTCCCGACCCTTCCTCCCACTGGGGCCTTCAGTAAGGGGCCTCTACTTACAGGAAGAGCTGACCAGGGCAGGTTGAAGGCCTTTCCTTATCGGCACTATGGCTACACATTTCCCCTGACTGGGCTGCCTTTGGCTTTTCTCTGTAAAACCTCAGAAGTCCTCTGGCCTCTCCCCCGAAGTACATGGCCCTTGGTCTCTAGACCTTATCTGGAGGTTTCCTTGGTGCAGAGTGCATAATACATGTGCCTGGGAAGGGGACTTTGTCCCTGGGCTTTTTGCTGCCCCCGTTTCCAGCCTCGCCTGGATGGGGACAGATGGCAGTCAGCTTAGACTGTAGTGTGAAGCCCTACAGGCTGACTTCCTGCCATGTGTTGAATAGTGGAAGGAACGTGGAGCAGAGAGTTGGAGTTGGGCGGGGGCTGCAAACATAGAGGGCACTGTTTCCTTGACCCCTGCTGTGTGCTAGGCATTCAGCTGGGTGCTTCAGGCTCACTGCAAAACTTGGATCATTATCCCATGAGACAGGTGAAAAGATTGAAGCATAGAAAGGGAAATGACATGCTCAGGGCCATTAGCCAGAGCTGGCCTGGGAACCCAGAGGTGTCCAAAGGACACGCATTCTTTTTTTTTTTTTTTTTTTTTTTTTTTTTTTTTTTTTTGAGATGGAGTCTCCCTCTGTCGCCCAGGCTGGAATGTGCAGTGGCGTGATCTCGGCTCACTGCAACCTCTGCCTCCCGGGTTCAAGTGATTCTTCTGCCTCAGCCTCCTGAGTAGCTAGGATTACAGGCGTGCACCACCACACCTGGTTAATTTTTGTGTTTTTAGCAGAGATGGGGTTTCACCATGTTGGTCAGGCTGGTCTCAAACTCCTGACTTTGTGATCCACCCGCTTTGGCCTCCCAAAGTGTTGGGATTATAGGCATGAGCCACCGCATCCGGCCAGGACACATTCTTTTTATGATCCTAGGATCCTTAGCTTCTTAGCTTGGTTGTCAACTGGCTGGATGACCTTGGCTGTGTTCCTTGACTTCTCTGGACCTTACCTCCTCCAAGTAGGAGCACGTGGCCCTCTGTTGTTGGGAGTCTTGAGGCAGGTGGCTTTCTGCCTTCTGTTCCCCTGGATTATCTTCCTATAGGGTCCTACCATTTGCTTTAGAGACTTCTGAGAATTGCCTACTCCCCAGGTAGCTGCCTGCCTGCCATTGGTTCCCCTGAGTTAAGCAATATCCATTGCTTGCGCTCAGTTCTCTCCCACCTCCTCTTATTGGGGATTCATGAGCATCATTGAAGGCTTGGGTGGAGTGGAGGTGGGAACCTGAGCCTCAGAGGTATCCTGTGGCCCACCCTGTCCCTGTTATGCTCAGATAACCTCCTCCTGGAAACATGACTCTGCATCTCTCCCTTGCTCCCTCCCTCCATGTGGCTTTGACTCAGCAGAAACCTCTAACCCTGACCAGGGTCCTGGTGCTAGCTTCTGTGGGCAGAGTGAAGGCCACATGGTTGTTTCTACATGGGCCATGGGGGAGTGGCAAGGGCTGTGCATGTTACCACGATGAGGCCCAGAAACATTAGCTAGGCCCACTCTTCTGGGCCTTTTGGTCTTGGAACATCAGCACTAGGAGGGATGGATCTGAGATCAATTTTGATTGTTTTATAAATGGGGAAACTGAGGCCTCAAGAGAAAGCCAAGACCCTACCCTATCTAGGTCATACAACCAGTGTCAGAACATTGGTATTTGAGGTTGAACCAGGCCACAGAAAGAAGATTCCCACGGGCCATTTCCTGTACACCAGCTTCCTTCAGCCTCTCCCGTGTATCCTTCAGGTTTCTCATCCTTGCAGTGGGAATCCTTGAGCAGAGGAGCACACATCTCAGGAACCAGACTATCCAGTGGGATGAGTTCTGTCTCTCCCACTGAGGGTATGCTAGTTGGGGTAGTTGGGGCTACAGACCAGGTCACACCACAGCTGCTTGACAGGCAAGTGAGACCTTTGTCCTGGCTCATCTCCTCAGGAGATTGGTTCTCAGTGGGGCCAGGGTTCCCACTGGACCAGGAGGGTAGTGGGGAGCAGACCAGGTCCCTGTCTCCCTCTGCAGCTGTGTGTACACACGTTAGTGTGGTTTGTTTTTAGGTTCCCTGTAGACACCTAGCTTCCTTTTTTGCCCTTAGCGGAACTTGCTGTGGCTCTTCTGGGAGGCAGGCAGCTACCTGGGGAGTAGGCAGTTCTCAGATGTCTCTAAAGCAAATGGTAGGACCCTATAGGAAGATAATCCAGGCTCTCATGTCTTGCTTCTTAACATAAATCTGGGTACATTATTGGTTACATTACATTAGTTACATAAGGACTTCCCCCGGGCAACAGAGGAGAGAGGTTGAGGCTAGTCTGTTAGAGCTCTTGGTTATTTCCCCTGCCCTCCACCTACCCTGCCAGAGGCCAGGAAGGAGGTTGGTGGGGTAGGGGGTCCCTCAGTTTATAGAGCCTCACATCTTCAGTCTTTCCTGAAGTGGCAAGGGCATCTACTCATTGAATGTGATAGTTCTCTGTTGTGGGATTTGTTGGGTGAGCATTTGGCCTCAGGGAGCATCTTTGGCAGTCTCTGCTGTATGTGTATACACATGTGCATTTCTATACTGGTGTCTCTGTGTGTCCAGAAAAAGGAAAGAAGTGGGGTGTGTATGGGGAGGGTAAGGTTCATATTGGCCTCTGTGGCCCTAGGGAGAGATGCAGCCCCTGATATCTATAATCTCTGCCCTCTCCCATGCCTTTCCTGGGTTCTAGCTGATTCCTGCTTGTGCTGGTGTGGAAACTGAGGCACACAAGATCAGGTCCTGCCCCAGGGAGTAAGGTGACTAAGATGGTGGCTGGATTGGGGTGAAGGTGGTAATATCAGCTGGGGCCAGCAGTTACCCTTTGAGAGCCTGGCCTCCCCTTCACTCCCCCTAAATCTGTGATCCCAGGCAAGCTTTGCCACATTTCTGTGTCTCCTGGGTAAAGTAAGAGTGTTTTGGTAAGGATAGAATGAGTTGGAGTGTGAAAAGTCTTTGGTGTGGGACCAATTGTAGTATTGTACTGAGGATTTCTGAGCCCTGTTTGAGATGGGAACAGAGGTAGAATGGTGGGGGACCCCCTTCCAGCTGGCCTCTGGGAGGGGAGAACAGGTGCAGATTGCCCACAAGTGCAGCGTCAGCAAGAGGAGGAGTTTCAGTTTCTATCAAAACAAGTTCTCTGAATTCCCCTACCTCTGCAGGTCATCCCCCCAACCTCAGACCCCTCCACAGGGAAGTCAAGCCTGGCCCCCAGCCCTGTGTGCCAGCCTTCTGGGAAGAGGAGGGCTTTCTGGAGGACAGAGGTGGAGCTAGGAAAGTCAGAAAAACGAATTCTTTTTTTTTTTTTTGAGACAGAGTTTCGCTCTTGTTGCCTAGGCTGTAGTGCAGTGGTGTGATCTTGGCTCATTGCAACCTCCACCTCCCGGGTTCAAGCGATTTTTCTGCCTCAGCCTCCCAAATAGCTGGGATTACAGGCATCCACCACCCTGCCTGGCTAATTTTTTGTATTTTTAGTAGAGATAGGGTTTCACCATGTTGGCTCGGCTGGTCTTGAACTCCTGACCTCAGGTGATCCACCTGCGTCGGCCTCCCAAATTGCTGGGATTACAGGCGTGAGCCACCACACCTGGCCAAAAATGAATTCTTGTTGAGTACTTCCTATGTGTTTAGCTCTGTGCTTAGATGCTTTTCCTGCCTTATATTATTGGAGAAATCCTTCTATTCTCCCTTGTTGGGGTAGTACTATTGCTGTTTTCCTTGGTTTGGAGATGTATATTTTCTTCCACGTTAATGATTCCAAACTTAGGGTATACCTTATAATCAGTGTGGTGTGTTTCCCCCCTCAAAAGCTGTGATTAGGTACATGTTATACCATATCACCTATCAGTGCCATCATAGGATTGAGGAGAGAAGGTGGTATTTTACATTTTACAGATAAGTAAAGAAGTGTCATAACTCGTCCATACTTTAGGACCCTGTTTTATGAAGCCTGTATTGTTAATTCGATATTAATTTAACTGCTGAAGTTTTGTTAGAACTAACGGCCTAGAGGTAGACTTGTGGACCTTTGGTTTCGCTAAAGGTAGAGAGCCAGGAGAGGACATGCATCCTAGGTCTGCATTTGGGGCTTTCCTCTGGCTGAGGAATTGCAACAGAAATGAGGAAGGGCTTCATAAGTGGTTATGGCAACATTCTGGCTGACTCGTGGGTAACTAGCATATGAAGGAATCATTGTCGTCATGACAAATTGTGTTCCTGTTTCTTGACCACCTACTGTGCCTTAGGTGCTTGGCAAACCTCCTGTGTAGTTTTGACAACACCCAGCAGATGGAAGAGGAGTTACTGTCTCCACCTTATGCATGAGGACATTTCAGCTTAGAGAGGTTAAAGGCCTTATCCATTGCTACACAGCTAGGAGGCAGCAGAGCCTTTCTGCCAGGCAAAGGGGTCAGTGGCAGAGAAATGGGACCCTCAGGGGGTTTTCCCCCAGATCCCTTCCCTGTTCCACAGTCTCCTCTCTTTCCCCATTTTCCTGCATCTGGCATCTAGCTCTTGAAGATAGAACTCCCAGGCCTGGAAATGACCGTTGACCTTTCCATAGGAGATGGGCTTTCTCCAGCACCTCAGCCTATCTCTCTGAGCCTGGCCAGCCAACCCCTATTTAACCCCTTCATTCTCATCTTTGTTCCTGTTTACTGCAGCTGCCAACAGCACTGCCTCCCAGTACCCCAAGCTCAGTCTACAGAAATAGCTCCCCAAGTAGCTCACTGTGCGGGCTCTGTGGTCCTGGCTTCTAAGAAAGGCAGCAGCAGGGGGCCCCCAGCCTGTGCGCAGGACATGTGACTTGCTGGAAATGCCGCTGGGGAGGGCGGGGGAGAGTGTGGCCGCAGAACCCACATCCTTGTTTACATTGGTGAAGGGGCTACCCCCCTTCCCGCCTTCACAACCTCCACACCCCCTTACCCTTCAGGTCTCTTCACCTCCAAGAGGACTGGAGACAAACATGGGCCCTATTTTCTATCTCAGAGTAGCCTTTCTCACAGAACACTCCAGGGTAGGAAGGGGAAGGCAGGGAAGGTGTTCTTCTGACAGTTCTTCAGAGAGGTAGACTGACAGGGAAGAACTCAGGAGTGTTCCTGTGTGACCTGACCCTAGCCCCATGCCCCAGGGAGATCCCATCAGAGCAGTGGTCCTCTGGGGAAACAAAGGGAAATTCCCAAAACCAGTGGAAATCAGACTTGCATGATCTTCAGGCCCACTTTAATTTCACAGGGAGAAGAGCTCCCTGGCTTACCCAGCCTATCCATTTGCTCAGTAAACTTTTCCTGATTTCCTTTACTGTATCGGGCCCTGAGCTGGGGGTGGACTTTGGTGTGAACTGCCCTTTGCCTTCTGTGGGAGCCCAGTGTGGTCGGGCAGAAGTCTATGCACACCTTTGATAAATCTGGTGATAGAGGTGTCCTGGGTAGTGGGGAACTGTATTAAAGAACATGTTGGGCCAGGCGCGGTGGCTCACACCTGTAATCCAGGCACTTTGGGAGTCTGAGGCGAGAGGATCGCTTGAGCCCAGGAGGTCAAGGCTGCAGTGAACTATGATCGCGCCACTGCACTCCAGCCTGGGCGACAGAGCGAGACCTTGTCTCAAATAAATAAATAAATAAAGAACACATTGGTGTTTGAGAAGTAGGCAGCTGACGAGGATGGAAGGAGCGTCCTGAAGAGAAGGAACGGCATGTGTGAAGATCCTCAAGCGAAGCAGAGGGAGTGTGTTTCCTTCTCGCCTTAGTTTGACCAAATCTCACGACGCCTGGACTATTCGGGCCACAGGCTGCCCATCCTGAGTTAAGCTAAAGTTAGTTGCATGTGTGTCTTATCTCTTTTACTAGACTGTGTGCTCCCCGAAGGTAGGGGCAGGATTTTACTCACCTCTGTCACCTTCACAGTACCCCACATTCAGGCCTCCCTACGGAGGAAGGAATTCTGATTTACTCTGTGGCTACTCTGTCCCAAGCCCAGTGGTAGTTATTTTATACCCGTTATCTCATTTAATCCCCACAAAAGGCCTGCCATTTGGTTATCCCTTTTTTTTTTTTTTTTTTTTTTTGAGACAGAGTCTTACTCTGTCGCCCAGGCTGGAGTGCAGTGGCATGATCTCGGCTCACTGCAACCTCTGCCTCCTGGGTTCAAGCGATTCTCCTGCTTCAGCCTCCCAAGTAGCTGGGATTATAGGCGCCCGCCACCATGCCCGGCTAATTTTTGTATTTTTGGTAGAGACGGGGTTTTACCACGTTGGCCAGGCTGGTCTCGAACTCGTGACCTCAAGTGATCTGCCCACCTTGGCCTCCCAAAGTGCTGGGATAACAGGTGTGAGCCTCCACGCCTGGCCTGTTATCCCTCTTTTTCCCATTTTACAGATGAGGTATATGAGGCTCAGAACACTTGGGTCACTTGCCTCTGGTCACTCAACTCTCTAGTATCTGGCAGAACTGGGCTTGGAGCCCATTTTTTTTTCTTTCCTTTTTTTGTCTTTGTTCCCTTTTTTTTCAGCCTACAAAGGCCATGTTGACTTGTAGGAGTCAGGAAAACTGAATTCAGAGTTGACTCTGTCACAGACTGACTCTTTGTGACCTTGGACAAACCACAAACTCCCCCTGAACCTCAGTTTCCTCATGTGGAAAGCAAAGGGGGTGTGGGAATCAATAGCATTTGAGGCCAACCTGTGGAACTTAGAATGTTGTTGATTTCTCTGAGTGGCCACGTGTACCCTAGACAAAGTCATCTGCCCAAGAGGCCTGTGGATGTGTTCCTCTCACCTGCACTCTCTTGTTCTTCAAGTCTGGCCCTGCCTGCCATATTTTTCCATGACCCCGTTCTAGCCTACAAGGGCAAGAACTCTCCAGGCCTTGGGGTAGAAAAGGGAATTTCCCTGGTCCCCCAGTTCCTCCTCCCCAAAGGATGTTCTATGATTCAGAGCTCTTCTCTGGCATCTCTGACCCTAGCTGCTGCTTTCTTCTGCCCCCACAGCTGACCAGGTGTATGGAGACCAGGACATGCATGAGGTTGTGCGAAAGCATTGCATGGACTATCTGGTGAGAAAATGGAGGCCTTTGGGGAAGGGGCAGGGTGGGAGGATTTCTTCTCCACACAGACCTTAACCTTCCAATCTATTCTGCAGATGAAGAATGCCGACTACTTCTCCAACTATGTCACAGAGGACTTTACCACCTACATTAACAGGAAGCGGAAAAACAATTGCCATGGCAACCACATTGAGATGCAGGCCATGGCAGAGATGTACAACCGTCCTGTGGAGGTGTACCAGTACAGCACAGGTACTTCTGCAGTGGGTAGGTGAGGGAAAGATGGTGCCTCATTCGAGCCTGCCCAACCTGGCCTGCTGTGGATGCTCCCTCCTTCTCTTTCTCTGCAGAACCCATCAACACATTCCATGGGATACATCAAAACGAGGACGAACCCATTCGTGTTAGCTACCATCGGAATATCCACTATAATTCAGTGGTGAATCCTAACAAGGCCACCATTGGTGTGGGGCTGGGCCTGCCATCATTCAAACCAGGGGTGAGTGGGTCCCTGTGCCCAGAATGGCTGCTGGATATAGAGGTCAGAAACCTCTGTTGGAGTCTGTTTTGCCCCTAACTCACAAAAATATCCTGTCTCCTCTCTCCCCTGAGGTCTCACCCTTACAAAAAAAAAAAAAAAAATAGGGAGTTACTTAAGGTGATCTCTCAGGGCTTGTTCTTTGGTCTTGGTTTGCCTGTCTGAGTTGGCTTACCTATCTTTTGTGCCCGTTGAGGGCTGGCATTTTAGGATGTGGAGTCCTATTTTGGAGCAGTGAGCCAGGGCTTGCTCTGGGCATCTTGGCATGGATCTTTCTCCTGGGATCATAGTGGTTACAGACAGCCATGGTCACAGAGACATGGGGTACAGGCCTGGCCCCACCACTCACTGGCTGTGTGATCTAGGCAGATTCTGTAAGTATTCCAGGCTGGCAGCTTGGCTGATACAGAAAGCACCTCCCACTGGGCCTGGGGCCTAGTAGGTGTTCAGAAGGTGGCAGTGCATTTTCCCAGCACATACCGATAGATTCTCATTCATTTCTCTCTCTCTCTCTTACAGTCATTTGCTGAGGATTTTGGTATCTTCTATTCAGGTTTCACTTCTACAAACACAAAGTACTCCTGCTTCATTTTCGGAAACACATAGCCTAACACCAACACACCCTCCAACATAGGGTTCTTTTTTGTTTTGTTTTTAAATAAACTTAATTTTAGAGCAGGTTTAGATTTACAGAATTACTGCAAAGAGGCTGGGCACGGTGGCCCACACCTGTAATCCCAGCATTTTGGGAAGCCGAGGCTGGCAGATCACCTGAGGTCAGGGGTTCAAGACCAGCCTGGCTAACATGGTGAAACCCTGTCTCTACTAAAAATACAAAAATTAGCTGGGTGTGGCAGTGGGTGCCTGTAATCCCAACTACTCTTGGGAGGCTGAGGCAGGAGAATCACTTGAAACTGGGAGGCAGAGGTTGCAGTGAGCCAAGATTGTGCCACTGCACTCCAGCTTGGGCGACAGAATGAGACTCTGTCTCAAAAAAAAAAAAAAAAAGTTACAAATATATTACAGAGTTCCCATATGCCTCGCTATGATTAATGTATTAACATAGTACATTTGTCATAGTTAATGAGCCAATATCGACATATTATTAACTAAAGACCATACTTGACTCAGATTACCTTAGTTTTTCCCTAATGACCTTTATCTGTTCCAGGATCCCATCCAGGGTGCCATATTATATTTAGTTGTTGTGTCCCCTTTATCTCCTCTTGGCTGTGACAGTTTCTCAGAATTTTCTTGTTTTTTGTATTCGATCTGTTTACTGACTCTCGTTTTGCCTTTTCTAGAATGTCATATAATTGGAAATGTACAGTATGTAGCTTTTTCAGACTGGCTTTTTTCACTTAACACTATGCATTTAAGATTCATCTGTGACTTGTCCTGGTTTAATGGCTCATTTTCTTTTTTGGTGGGCGGGTGGAGAGACAGGGTCTCACTCTCTCACCCAGGCTGGAGTGCAGTGGGGCAATCTAGGCTCACTGTAGCTAGCCTCCACTTCCCTGGCTCAAGCAAGCCTCTCACCTCAGCCTCCCGAGTAGCTGGGAGACTACAGGTGCTCGCCACCATGCCCGGCCAGTGTTTTAAAAAAACTTTTTGTAAAAAAATGAAAAAAAATTTTTTTTTTTTGTAGAGACAAGGTCTCACTATATTGCCGAGGCTGACCTTGAACTCTTGGGCTCAAGTGATCCTTGTGCCTCGGCCTCCCAAAGTGCTGGAATTACAGGCATGAGCCACTGCACCCAGCTTCCTCTTTTTCTTTCTTCAAAAATATGAATGTTCTGGCCAGGTGCGGTGGCTCACGCCTGTAATCCCAACACTGGGAGGCTGAGATGGGAGGATCTCCTGAGGTCAGGAGTTCGAGACCAGCCTGGCCAACATGATGAAACCCTGTTTCTACTAAAAATACAAAAAAAAATTAGCCGGGTGTGGTGGCACACACCTGTAATCCGAGCTACTTGGGAGGCCGAGGCAGGAGAATCACTTGAACCTAGGAGGCAGAGGTTGCAGTGAGCTGAGATTTGACCCCTGCACTGCAGCCTGGGTGACGGAGCGAGACTCTGTCTGAAAGAAAAAATAAAAATGAATGTTTTAAGTTTTTGTATTTAATAGACTTAATTGTTTAGAGCAGTTTTAGATTTACAGAACAATTGAGGAGATAATACAGAATTCCCACATATCCTTCTCTTCCCAAACACAGTTCTGCTATTATTATTATTATTATTATTATTATTATTATTATTATTATCATCTTTTTTTTGAGACGAAGTTTCTCTCTCATCACCCAGGCTGGAGTGCAATGGCGCAATCTTGGCTCACTGCAACCTCTGCCTCCCGGGTTCAAGCAATTCTCTTGCCTCAGCCTCCCGAGTAGCTGGGATTACAGGCACCCGCCACCACGCCCAGCTAATTTTTGTGTTTTTAGTAGAGACGGGGTTTCACCATGTCAAAGGCTGGTCTCGAACTCCTGACCTCAGGTGATCCACCCATCTCGGCCTCCCAAAATGCTGGGATTACAGGCGTGAGCCAACGCGCCCAGCCCAGTTCTGCTGTTATTAACAGTTCAAATCATTATGGTACATTTGTTACAATGTGCGAACCAACATTAATACTTTTTTTTTTTTTTTTTTTAAGGCAGAGTTTCTCTCTGTTACCCAGGCTGGAGTGCAATGAGGCGATCTCGGCTCACTGCAGCCTCCGCCTTCTGGGTTCAAGCGATTTTTCTGCCTCAGCCTCCCAAGTAGCTGGGATTACAGGTGCCCACCACCACACCTGGCTAATTTTTCTATTTTTAGTAGAGACGGGGTTTCACCATGTTGGCCACGCTGGTCTCAAACTCCTGACCTCAGGTGATCCACCCGCCTCGGCCTCCCAAAGTGCTGGGATTACAGGCGTGAGCCACCATGCCCAGCCTAATACGTTACTATTAAATGAAATCTGCATGCCTCCTTAGGCCCCTTTATCTTTGATAGTTTCTCAGTTTTGTTTTGATGACCTTGACAGTTTTAAGGAGTACTGATCAAATATTTTGTAGGAAATGTCTCTTTTGGACTTTTTCTCATGTTTAAACTAGGGTTGTGGGTCTTAGGGAGGAAGATCACAGAGGTAAAGTGCCATTGTCATTACATCATTTCAAGGGTTTATACTATGAGTGTCATTTATGCCTGTTGGTGTTACCCTTGATCAACTGGCAGAAGTAGTGTTTGTTAGGTTTCTCCACCTAAGGTTACTCTTTCCCACCTTTTCCATACTGTACTGTGTGGAAGGAAGTCACTATGTGCAGCCCACGCCTAAGAAATGGTTATGCCCCATCCCCTTGAGGGTAGAGTATCTACATAGATTATTTGGAAATCTTTAAGGAGGATCTGTGTCTCATCCTTAACTCATCCTTAATTTATTAATTTTTCCAGTTATTACGTACATCAATATGGTCTTTTTTTTTTTTTTGAGAGGGAGTTTCGCTCTTGTTGCCCAGGCTGGAGTGTAAGGGCGCCATCTCAGCTCACTGCAACCTCTGCCTCCCAGGTTCAAGCGATTCTCCTGCCTCAGCCTCCCGAGTAGCTGGGATTACAGGCATGCGCCACCACACCCAGCTGTTTTTTGTATTGTTTAGTAGAGATGGGGTTTCACCATGTTGGGCAGGCTGAAGTCTCGAACTCCTGACCTCAGGTGATCCACCCTCCTCGGTCTCCCAAAGTGCAGGGATTACAGGTGTGAGCTACTGCGCCCAGCTCAATCAGCCATTTCTTTAGAGAGCCCTGGCATGTATTGGAGACTGTTAACAGAAATCAAGACCTAGGTGTTGAATGTGCTCTTCGATATCAGGTTGTCCATGCTTCTAGGCCCTGTCAGCTGATAGAGCAAGGAGCTACATGTATGTATAGTGGCCTTTGTACACATATCTATAAATATTTCTACCTGTAACCATCTGTATTTATATTAAACATGAATCCTTACTGATGTCTCCAACTCAGATCCATTATCACATGCTTCATTCTAGCCTTCTCCCCTTGTTCATCTGCAAATTCCCTCTCCAACAGTAGATACGCCATCAGATGTATATGCACTGGTTCCTACCATCCATTTATGTAACTGCTCATTTCCATATACACGCGTAGCAGAATCACACTTGTTCACCCGTACCCCCGTGGGAAACAACTTTATCACTATAGCTCAATGCTACATATAGTTCTTTTTTGCCTTTGGTGTTACAGACTCCATTCATTTTGAAAGTGACCTACTTGTACCCCCACCCCCTTCAAATGAGGGTGTTTATTTTTATTTTATTTTATTATTATTATTTTTTGAGACAGAGTCTCGCTCTGTCGCCCAGGCTGGAGTGCAGTGGCGTGATCTCGGCTCACAGCAAGCTCCACCTCCCAGGTTCACACCATTCTCCTGCCTCAGCCTCCCGAGAAGCTGGTACTACAGGTGCCTGCCACCACACCTGGCTAATTTTTTGTATTTTTAGTAAGAGACGGGGTTTCACCGTCTTAGCCAGGATGGTCTCAATCTCCTGACCTCGTGATCCGCCCGCCTCGGCCTCCCAAAGTGCTGGGATTACAGGCGTGAGCCACCGCGCCCGGCCAAGGTTGTTTCATGTTTGTAATACATTTGTATTATTTTGTCACATTTTTGCATTCTATGCTGGGATCTCAGATCTCCTAATTTTTTATTTATTTATTTTTGAGACAGAGTCTCACTGTCGCCCAGGCTGGAGTGCAGTGGTGCGATGATCTCAACTCACCGCAGCCTCTACCTCCTGGGTTCAAGCAATTCTCGTGCCTCAGCCTCCCGAGTAGCTGGAATTACAGGCATGCACTACCACACCTGGCTAATTTTTGTATTTTTAGTAGAGACGGGGTTTCATCATGTTGCCCAGGCTGGTCTCGAACTCCTGACTTCAGGTGATCTGCCTGCCTCGGCCTCCCAAAGTGCTGGGATTACAGGCATGAGCCACCGCGCTGGCCATAGATCTCCTAATTTTTATTTTATTTTATTTTATTTATTTATTTATTTTTTGAGACAGAGTCTTGCTCTGTCACCCAGGCTGGAGTACAGTGGTGCGATCTCGGCTCACTGCAACCTCAGCCTCCGTGGTTCAAGTGATTCTCTTGCCTCTGCCTCCCGAGTAGCTGGGATTACAGGCACGCGCCACCACGCCCAGCTAATTTTTTTGATTTTTAGTAGAGACAGGTTTCACCATATTGGCCAGGCTGGTCTCGAACTCCTGACCTCAGGAGATCCACCCACCTTGGCCTCCCAAAGTGCTGGAATTACAGGCATGAGCCACCGTGCCCAGCCTTCCTAATTTTTTTTTAAATAGCATATATTAAGGTCCACTCTTTGTGTTGTACATTCTATGGGTTTTGACAAATGTGTAATGTTATGTATCTACTATTACAGTATTATTCAGAATAGTTTGACCACCCTTAAAATTCCTCATACTCCATATGCTTACCCCTCCCTTCCTCCCTCTTCCTGCAAACACTATTGTCTTTGTGGGTTGCCTTTTTCAGAATGTCATATAATTGTAATCATACAGTATGTAGCCTTTTCATACTGTTTTTTTTTTTTTTTTTTGAGACAGTGTATCACTGTTGCCCAGGCTGGAGTGCAGTGGCACAATATCACTGCAGCCTTTACCTCCTGGGTTTAAGCAATCCTCCCACCTCAGCCTCCCAAGTAGCTGGGACCACAGGCACACACCACCATGCCTGGCTAACTTTAAAAATATTTTTATTTTGTAGAGACAGGATCTCACTGTGTTGCTCAGGCCAATCTCAAATTCCTGGGGACAAGTGATCCTCCCGCCTTGGCCTCTCAAAGTGCTGGTATTGCAGGGGTGAGCCACCTGCAGCCAATTTGCTTTTTTCCCCCCTGAAATTAAAATGGTCAATGTGACAGACTGCTTCTTTTCACTTAGCAGTATGCATTAAGGTTTCTCCATGTTCTTTCATGGCTTGTTAGCTGGTTTCTTTCTTATCACTTAATGTTCCTTTTATGGAGGTACCAGTTTAATTATTCACCTATTAAAAGACATTCTTGGTTGCTTCCAGTTTTTGATGATTATGAATAAAGCTTCTGTAATGTGCATGCAGGTTTTTTTGTGGACGTAATTTTTTAGATCAGTTGTATACATACCTGGGAGCAAGATTGCTGGATTGCGTTGTAAGATTATGTTTTGATTTATGAGGAACTGAGAAACTGTCTTCCCAAGTGGCTGTATTATTTGCATGCCCACCATAATGATTTGGAAGTTCCTGTTGTCAGCATTACCAGCAATTGATACTGTCATTGTGTTGGATTTTAGCCATTCTCTTAGGTGTGTAGTGGTATCTCATTATTTTAACTTGCAGTTGCCTATTGGCAAATGCTGTTGAGCATCTTTTCATATGCTTATTTGCCATCTGTATAGCTTCTTTGGTGAATTGTGTTTGTGACTTCCTGACATACAATTCCTAAAATCCTTAGAATCTGCAAAGTGTTGCCTTTTTGTATGCTAATGAGGTGACTGATGGCTGGCAGCCTCTAGGTAGCTTCAGGATGGGGGCTGGTGACCTGAAAGACCAAGGCAGGATTAGAGGTTTGCAACTTTAAGCCCATCCCCCAGCCTTTGGGGAGGGGAGAGAGGCTGAAGATTAGGTTGATCACTAGTGTCCAATGGCATAATCAATAATGCCTGCATAATGAAGCTTCCAAAGAATCCCAAAAGGATTGGGTTCTGGGAGCTTTTGGGTAGCTGAATACATGGAAGTTTCTAGAGGGTGGCACCCCAGGGAGGGCATGGAAGCTCCACGTCCCTTCCCCCATATCTCACTCTGTGCATCTCATCTGTATCCTTTGTAATTTTCTCTATAATAAACTGGCAGACGTGTTTCCTGGGTTTTGTGAGCTGCTCTAGCAAGTTAGTTGAACCCCCAAAAAAGTATTGTGGGAATCCCAATTTATAGCTGGTCAGTCAGAAATTCTGGAGGCCCAGACTTTCGACTGGTGTTCGAAGGGGGTTGGGGGGAGTCTTGTGGGACTGAGCCCTCAACCTGTGGGATCCCAGGCTGTCTCTGGGTATTGAATTGCATTGGAGGATGGACACCAGGTGTCCGCTGCTTGCTGTGTGGGAAAACACCCTCCCCCCAGCCCGCACACTTGGTCACAGAAGTCTCCTGTGTTGATTGTTGTTGAGTGAGAGTAGAAAAAACACTTGGAGTGTGTTTAACACTGCCAGAGTGGTTAGATTTTTTGACTATTTTTTTAATTGGCTTGTTCTAACATAGTTTTACGAATTGTTTTTAACTATTCACAGTAAAAAATTACATTTTATCTGAATGCAAGGTCTGCAGGAAAAAGAAAAGAATACATTTTACATGATTACTTAGCATATATGCATTTGTGTGTGATGTGTATATGTGCATTAAAATAATGTTAACTAAAGCTTCATGAAACAACATTTGCACTTATTCCCTGGGATATATTCTGATATTTTCTATTTTTTAAAAATGCTGTTGGATCTCAGCCTGAAAAACAGTACTCTGATGTAGTGTCCTGTAACTCATAGCACCCCACACCATGTTGATACTGCCCCCTTATTCCCTCACACACCCACTACTTCCCCCAACCCCTCACATGCTTGAATACTCCCTCCACCCGGTGCACACATAGCTAATTTTTGTATGTGTCTCATCTGCTCATGTGTGTGAAAGTCCTCAACATTATGAAACAGTCATCACTGGATGGGGCTTCTTTAAATTAAGGCCCAGGGCCAGGTGCAGTGGCTCACACCTATAATCCCAGCACTTTGGGAGGCCGAGTCGGGTGGATCACCTGAGGTCAGGAGTTCAAGGCCAGCCTGGCCAACATGGTGAAACCCCATTTCTACTAAAAATACAAAAAAGTTAGCCGGGGGTGGTGGCACTCACCTGTAATCCCAGCTACTTGGGAGGCTGAGGCTGGAGAATCCCTTGAACCTGGGAGGCGGAGGTTGCAGTGAGCCGAGATTACCCCACTGCACTCCAGCCTGGGCGACAGAGCGATACTTCGTCTCAGAAAAAAAAAAAAAAATAAGTCCCAGGTTGGAAGGCACCTGACTGCTCCAGTCTCAGTGCCTCAGTTGAGGTGGTTTGGGGGTTAGAGTCAGGTCTTACAAGCATAGGAGTTTGGAATGACAGGTCCCACATCCCAAGCCTGCTTTCCCTTGGTCCCCAATCAAGAGGTAGTCTGTGGAGTGTTGCTCTTTGGGAGTACCTGCTTTCCTGTCTCCTTTTTTTTCTGGGGCCTGTGGGCCTACCTCGCTGAGCCTGTTCTGGCTCTTGGGCAGGTTCAGTGTGTTATTGCACATCCCTGTTCCTCTCCCTCCTTGCAGTTTGCAGAGCAGTCTCTGATGAAGAATGCCATAAAAACATCGGAGGAGTCATGGATTGAACAGCAGATGCTAGAAGACAAGAAACGGGCCACAGACTGGGAGGCCACAAATGAAGCCATCGAGGAGCAGGTGGCTCGGGAATCCTACCTGCAGTGGTTGCGGGATCAGGAGAAACAGGCTCGCCAGGTCCGAGGCCCCAGCCAGGTGGGTCATGGACTCTGTCACAGGCTTGGCCAAAAACTCATTACTTCTCATGCTTTGCCCTCAAGCGAGCAGAAAAAAATTAAGCAGTTTTGACATCTGGGAGGGAAGGAAGCATCCAGCACCATCTGTAACTCATCTTGGTCTTAGTTTTGGCATTGTACCTTGGAACTTTAAATACTTGTGCAGAACAGGCACTTAAGGAGTGAGAGGAGGGCAGCCATGCTGCTGGTGACACGAGAATAATGGATAGCTTCAGAGACACAAGCTTTTGTTGACTGCCCTTGTGTGCCAGGTCTCTACTGAGAATGTAACATCAGATCTGGACTACTCTGCCCTCAACGATCTCGTCTGTTGGCAGAGACAACTCAATGGTGGGGTCCTTGACCCTGACTGGGAGATCAGTGGAGGTGGGGGCTCCGGTTAGTCTTCACAGAGGAAGGTTGAATTGTTAGGGGAGCGGGGAGGGGCGGGGCAGACAAGCATCTGAGGAATTGTAAAATCGCAAGGAGTTTGGAGTGATTGTAGATGTTGGCTGGCAGGAGCTGAGTTTTTTTTTTTTTTTTTTTTTGGAGACAGAGTCTTGCTCTGTCGCCCAGGCTGGAGTGCAGTGGCGCAGTCTCGGCTCACTGCAAGCTCCGCCTCCCAGGTTGATGCCATTCTCCTGCCTCAGCCTGCGGAGTAACTAGGACTACAGGCGCCCACCACCACGCCTGGCTAATTTTTTGTATTTTTAGTAGAGACGGGGTTTCACCGTGTTAGCCAGGATGGTCTCCATCTCCTGACCTCGTGATCCGACCACCTCGGCCTCCCAAAGTGCTGGGATTACAGGCGTGAGCCACCGCACCCGGCTGAAGGAGCTGAGTTTTATTCCACAAATACCTACTACCAGTCTGTGGCAGGCCCTGTTTTCAGTATATGGGGATACATAGGTGAGCCCAGCAGACCAAGATCCCCGTCCTTGTGATGTTCACAGTTTTGCAGAGTGAAATAAAATAATAAATATAATGAATAAATTAGTTGGGAAGTGCTATGGATGGAAAGTGTAGAGCCAGGATAAAGGGGCTGAGCAGGAATGTGCGTTCACGGTATGAAATAGCGCAGTCAGGGTAGGCCTCAGAGCAGGTGAGATTTGAGCCTTGCAGAAGGTGAGAGTTAGCTGAGCGCACATGGAGGGGAGGACAGCAGGCCCACACACCTGGTACAACTCAGGCACAGCCCAGAGGGAGGCCGGTGTATCCGAACAGAATGTAGTAGTAGATGAAGTCAGAGAGGTTGTGGGTCCAATTGGGTAGGGGCTTGTGGGCTGTGGCGAGGACTTTGGCATTTACTCTCAGAGAGGCAGAAACCATGGGAGGATTGTGAGCAGAGGACGGACAGGATGTGGTTGGGGATTTAATAAGATCGCCTTGCCTGCTAGTCATCCAGTGGAGTCTGGTGAGTGAGGGCAGAAGCAGGGGCCAGTGAGGAGGAGGCTACTGCAGTAGGCCAGGTGACTGGTGGCCAGTGCTGGCAGTGGAGTTGGTGAGAAGGGGTTGGATTTGAGATCTATTTTCAAGATAGAGGTAACAGGGTTTCCTGTCAGATTGGCTGTAGGGGTGTGAGAGAAAGGGTAAGGAGCTCCACCTCTGTCCTGTGAGGAGTCTTGTGGTCCACCGTGTGAGTGGGGATGATGTTGACCTACATAGAAGCTGTATCATAGCCAAGGTCCTGGGAAGGGAGCCAGCATTCAGGGATGGGTCACAAGAAGGTCATGGCTGCTGGTGGTCCTTAACGCATTTACCTTCCCCGCTGCAGCCCCGGAAAGCCAGCGCCACATGCAGTTCGGCCACAGCAGCAGCCTCCAGTGGCCTGGAGGAGTGGACTAGCCGGTCCCCGCGGCAGCGGAGTTCAGCCTCGTCACCTGAGCACCCTGAGCTGCATGCTGAATTGGGCATGAAGCCCCCTTCCCCAGGCACTGTTTTAGCTCTTGCCAAACCTCCTTCGCCCTGTGCGCCAGGTCAGTGACTTGCCCACAGGGAATGTGCTGGGAGTTAGGAGGCACGTCCTGGGTCCTGGGTCCTGGATCCTGGGTCCCTACCTTTGACTGTCCGTCTGCTTCAGGTACAAGCAGTCAGTTCTCGGCAGGGGCCGACCGGGCAACTTCCCCCCTTGTGTCCCTCTACCCTGCTTTGGAGTGCCGGGCCCTCATTCAGCAGATGTCCCCCTCTGCCTTTGGTAAGCCTCCTTTGTCTGGGGGGATGGAGGCTGCTAGGAGCTGGGAGAGACTGGAAGAAGTGGCAAGTCCTGAGAGGGGCTTTCTGGAGCCTCTGGCCATCTCCCCAAGAAAAGAAGGGAGAGGCACTGGAGGGGATTTTTCAGATCCAAGGAATTTGCCCCAGAAGGGTCTGGGGTCTAAGTGGGGTTTCACAGGCCTAGCAGATCCTTCTGTTTTGAGAAAGGAGTGAGAAGGGCCCTATGGGATTTCTCCAGAGCCCCAGATGTCGGCACAGGGTGAGGAGAAGGCAGGCTGAGAGCGCTCCATCATCCTTTTCCTCTTCCTCTCGCCCAGCAGGTCTGAATGACTGGGATGATGATGAGATCCTAGCTTCGGTGCTGGCAGTGTCCCAACAGGAATACCTAGACAGTATGAAGAAAAACAAAGTGCACAGAGACCCGCCCCCAGACAAGAGTTGATGGAGACCCAGGGATTGGACACCATCTCCCAACCCCAGTACTCCTGCTCTCCGGTGCCACCTCACCTTCTTTGGCTTCTTCCCTCTTGCCTCCTTCTGTTCTTTCTGCTCTCCCCTCTTTTCCCTCCTCCTCACTTCCCTCTGGCTAGCCCACCCCTGCACTCTCTCTCATTGCCGCTGCCACTATCACCTGTCTCTCTGCCAGCTGATGTGCCCTGTTGCCCCCCACCCCATCCCGCACAGAACCATCCCTGCATTCCACAGGGGACTCGGGCAAGGGTGCCGAAGATAGACAAGAGGCACACAGAGACAGACCAACTGGCAGCCAGGCAGCCCCAGAGGAGAGAGACATTCAGACAGAGGAAAGTCTCCCTGCCCCTCATTCCTTCCAAGATGAGAAAAACTTGCCGCCACCCCCCGACACTGATGCCAGGGAGGTGGGAGGAAGAAGTGGGAAATTTCCCTTCCCAGTACCCCCAAGAACGTCTGAGCCTTCAATGTTGAATTTTTTCTTTATTAAAATTACTTTTATCTTATAAAATCAACTAATCAAAAATGATATAGACGACAGCACTGGCTCTGTGAAGGTGGCATCTTTCTGGGCAGGCAGGCCATGGGGCATGGAGGAGGGTGCAAAGATATGGGTTGCTGTCTTCTGGCCTCCAGCTGCATGGAGGCCGGCCCAGGGTCTAGGGTGTGCACTGGGCAAGGGCAGGGCGGCAGGTGTCAGGCCGGCTTGGACAATGAAACCCTGACCTTGCTGCATTCCTTTTGCTTCCACCACCACTAGCTTCTTTGGAATCTTGGGGTGGGGGTCATCTTTGGGGATTATGGCTGCCACCCGGGATTTGAGTGTAGGGAGTGTGGGAGCAGCCTTGGCAGATGGGGCACCCGTGCCCTGCAGGTGTTGACAAGATCCGCCATCTGTAATGTCCTTGGCACAATAAAACCAAATGTCAGTTTCCCTGAGCGACTCTGTTCTGTGTGGGGCAGGGGTTGGGCGGGCCTCTGGGCAGAGGATGCAATGGCACGGACCTTGGCTTGACCTCAGAGGTGTGAATGCTCTCCAGCAGGGTCTGTCTGGGGGCCTGGAGTTTGTATTTGATTTGCTGCTTATTAAACCTCCTTCTGGACCTATTGCCACTGGAAAAGCTGCGTCTTTGCCTGCTGACCCCACCCCTGCCTACCCTATTTCCTGGGGGGGGGGGGGTGATGGTAGCAGAGGACTGTGAGCTTGAACTTCCTGCCTGAATTCCAGCTTCTCCGCCTGCCTCTCACCATGAATGCTGCTCTTTCCTTATCATGATCTGATGAAGAAAAGCCTTGGAAAAGTGCAACTGATACTTTGTAGCAACATGAGTTTAGTGGAAGTAACCAGAGGGGCCTCACCCACTAGGTTTTAGAAGGTGAAGGACGGCTAAACCCTTTTTTGTTCTTGTCCCCCAGTCTGACACCTCTTTGCCTGTCCTCCCTAGGGGTAAATCCAAGGTAAAGAAGGCTGGCTGGCCCCCAGGTTTTCTCAAGCAGCTTTTTCACCATGCCATGATAATGGAGACCCTCTGACAGGATGTGTGTCTGGTTCTGCAGTTGAGGGCATGGCTAGCTGAGTGGCTGTCTGCGGAGTGTGTCTGGAACCCAGTGGCCAAGCATCTATTTGTTGTAGAGTTGCTTTGAAACCTTCCTGGCCCTGGTCAATTGCTTCTCTGTTTCAAGTGTCTCATCTGTACAAGAGGTGATTAGGCTGGGTGCAGTGACTCACACCTATAATCCCAGCACTTTGGAAGGCTGAGGTGGGTGAATCACCTGAGATCAGGAGTTCGAGACCAGCCTGGCCAACATGGAGAAACCCCATCTCTACTAAAAATACAAAAATTAGCCGTTCATGGTTGTACGTGCCTGTAATCCCAGCTACTTGGGTGGCTGAGGCATGAGAATCGCTTGAACCCAGGAGGTGGAGGTTGCAGTGAGCCGAGATTGCGCCACCACACTCCAGCCTGGGTGACAGAGCGAGACTCAGTCTTAAAAAAAAAAAAAAAAAGTGATATCTACTCCCTCATGCTTCTGCTGTGATCATCTAGAGGGAATATGTATGATCAAAGTAACGTACTACCTGGGCACAGTGCTTGGCACATTGAGAGAGCACAAATGTTAGTAGTATTCTTTTTGTAGAAGTTTCTGCACCATTTGGCCCCTGCCAATCTCTCGCCGCTCTGTCCAGTGTTCTTGGCCTTTGCCTGCAATTTGCCCTCCCCTGTCCTGAGCCACCAACCTTCTTTGTCTTTCAAGACAGAGGGTCACCTGCTGAGAAGCCCATTCACATTCTCACTTCTATCTAAAAATCTCCCCAGTAGCTGTACTACAGATAAACTTCATGGCACGGGTTTGATGCCTGACTTATCTGTACATCTCTGATACCAACATCCCCATCAAGGCCTGGCAGGCTTATAGCAAACCACCCCCAATAACGTTGGGTGAACAAAGGAGAGTACATGTGTGCTTTTTTGGTGTTGTCTGTGTGTGTGTGACTGTGGTGAGTCCAAGTCTTCATGTGCAGCTCACAGAGTGTCCCCAGTTGTGTGTGTGATGAAGGGCTTGTTTCCAGGTGTGTCAGATGGTGACTGAGTGTGGGACTCTTATCTCTGACAGTTTGTGTCTAAATCCAAGATGCGTGCATGCCTGCGTGGGTCTGTCTGTGACAGTGCATCTGTGGTTTCTGTCTGATGGGGTGGATGTCCGTTTGTGTTCCTGCAACAGATTCTGGGTAGCTATTTCTGGACAGTTTGTTCCATTGATAAACTGCATGTGTCATGGTGTATGTATGTCTGTGTCTGAACAGGTCTATCCATGTCTGTTTTTGTGACACTGCCACAAAATGTGATTCTATCACATCAGTACATGTCTGCCTTCAGAGCAGTGCATGTGTGTCCCTGGAGCATCTGTGCATCTTCCTGTGACAGACTCTGCGTCTCTCATTTCTGGGACAGTACAAGTCTTGCTGTGACAGTGCATATCTGATGGTGACAGTGTGTTTGTGACAAGTTCTGCCAGTGTGACGGGACATTTCTGTGTCATCACATGGCAAATGTAGGTCTGCGTGAGTGCCTTTCTGTAACAGTGTATCTCTGGGTGTCATTCTAGGACATAACTATTTTTCTGACAGTGTGCTTGCCTGAAAGTGTATGTCAGTCTCTGGCTGCATGTGTATCTAGGTCGTTTCTGTGAATGTGTCTGACAGTATGTGTTTGTGTATATCTTGGCATTCATGTGTCTTTGGAGTGCATTTTTCTTCCTGGGGTGTGGCGCCTTTTCTGGCTGTTTTTCACAAATTTGTGTCTGAGAGTTGCCACTTCTCTAGCAGCCTCTATCATGTCTCTCAGTCCTTGCCTCTCTCAACTCCAAGAGCAGCCCCATGCCACCACCACTCTGGGCTCACCCCCATCCCCCAAGAACCACCCCCTGCTGTTCTAGATTCTAGACTTGCTGACTGGGCCCAGGGCTCAGGGTTAAAAGCTCCAATAAACACTCACCAGGCAATGCTGCCTTTGACCAATGCACACCCGTGGCGTTGATGGTAGGGGTTCCCCCTCCCTGGCTACCAGATATTTCCAGGGCCCTGGCCTCAGCTTTCCAGTGAAGGCCGCCAGTCGCCTGGAGGACTCCGGTGAAGGAGTCCGACAAGCACCTTTCGAGACGGAGTCTTGGATAGCCACAAGCGCGAATTCTTAGAAGCCCGGCCTGGCGCTATCTCTGTGCTAATATCCAGGCAGCGGCGGCAAACCAACTTCCCAGGAAAGGATACTGCGCAGTTATTTTTTAAGTGTAAATACACACACACACCGCCACCACTACCAACAACAACCCCGCGCAACAACCAAAACAAGCGCGGTGCTGCAAAGGGATTCCCAGAACCGGTTTCCTCTTGGTGTGAGCCCCACCTCAAGCCCCCTCATTTACATGCAGGCCCCGCCTCCTCGGAAGAACCGAGCGTGTATTTGCATAAGGGGGCCCTTGAAACGATGAGGGTGGTATGCAAATAAGAACTGGCTCCGATTGGCTGTGGTACAGCAGGTGCCGCGTCCGGATTGATCAAAGCCAGGTGGGCGGGGCTGTCGCCCAGGGTGACTCTCCCGGGAGGCGCGTGCCCAGGCTCAGTAGCATTGGGGCTGGCGCGCGCGGCGAATCTCAACGCTGCGCCGTCTGCGGGCGCTTCCGGGCCACCAGTTTCTCTGCTTTCCACCCTGGCGCCCCCCAGCCCTGGCTCCCCAGCTGCGCTGCCCCGGGCGTCCACGCCCTGCGGGCTTAGCGGGTTCAGTGGGCTCAATCTGCGCAGCGCCACCTCCATGTTGACCAAGCCTCTACAGGGGCCTCCCGCGCCCCCCGGGACCCCCACGCCGCCGCCAGGTGAGTACATCCTCCCCTACTGCAACCAGACGGGGTGGGCTGGAATGATGGGTTGCAGCGCGGGGGGAGGGAGTCGTGGCTGGGCTCAGCACGCCGCCACCCTGACTTCCTCGCCTCCGCCTGCGTAGGAGGCAAGGATCGGGAAGCGTTCGAGGCCGAGTATCGACTCGGCCCCCTCCTGGGTAAGGGGGGCTTTGGCACCGTCTTCGCAGGACACCGCCTCACAGATCGACTCCAGGTATCCGTCATGAGGGTCTTGGGAGGGTCAGGTGCGTGTGGCGGGGGCGGGGGTCCTGGCCCTGGAATGCTGGTTGACCGAGGAGTGAGCCTGCAGAGTGTGTAGAGGACCAGGTGTGTGTGTGTGTGTGTCCGTGTCCGTGTCCGAGGAGTGAGCCTGCAGTGTGTGTAGAGGGCCAGGTGTGTGTGCGTGCGCGTGTGTGTGTCGGTCTAGGAGGTTATGGGCGGGGGGGGGGGGCAGGGGGCTTCAGATTCCGGAGTTCCTTGACCCCGGGGTCCAGGCTGTGTATGTGTGGGAAAGCAGGGACCTAGATGTGAGATTTGTGGGACTTTTGGAGGTAGGTGTCCAGTGTGGAGTCATGCGGACCAGGACCCTGGTACAGAGTTGGGGTGTCGTAGAGCTAAATAGGAAGATTGTGGGCCTGGGGTATCAGGAAATCTAGAACTCAGGACTTGGAGTGATGAGTCCTGATGCCTGAGAACGGAGAGCCCAGGGCTAAGGAAGGTGGGAGAGATAAACTTGGTTCCGAGGACCTGGAGGGCAGGGGAGACGCCCTGGTACGCGTTCTGTGGGGTGCTGTGGTTGGGGACCAGAAAGACTAGAGTGCTGGTAGATGGAGGAATACTGGAGGTAGGCAGAAGGTCTAGACTGGGAGGGGTCTGGGGATCACCTGCTGGCCTCCTTATCACGGCCTTCTTCTCCAGGTGGCCATCAAAGTGATTCCCCGGAATCGTGTGCTGGGCTGGTCCCCCTTGGTGAGTACCTTCGGAGCCCTTCCTAACCTACCTACTCCATCACTGATGTATTCACCTCCTTGCTTTTCCAGGGGATGTATGACTCCCTGGGCCCTGTAACAGTGAGAATACTGCCAGCCCATTTATACTCCCTTGGGGTGACATACAGTTCTGATTCACCCCAATTCCCCTAGAGCCCTGGATTCTCCCCTCCAACAAACCTTTACCATCCTTCCTCCAAACACTGCTGGGGGACTGCCCGCAGGGCGTGCTGGTGGGGAACAAGGGGCAGAGGTCACTGGTTGCCATGGTGATGGTGGCTGCTTCTCTCTTGCCGTTATAACGCTAACGGACATCAGGGCGGGTCTGGGCAAGTTGTAGAGTTGGGAGCGCCCCCTGGCGGGCTCTAGGGGAAACTGCGCCTGCGCAGTCCATGGGACCCAAAGGGAGAGGGTGCGCCTGCGCAATATCGGTATTTTTGCATCTCGGTGAGAAAACGTCTGCTGCCGTGCAAGTCAGCAGCCTGGCCAGGAGAGGGCTCTACCTCATCCCAGAAGGTTGCTGCTCGAAGTGTACCTGCGCAGGGCTTGGGGAGGCAGTGGGGGGCGGATTTTGTGGCCCCCAGCGTTTATACTTTTTTTTTTTTGGAGACACAGTCTCCCTCTGTTGCCCAGGCTGGAGTGAGGTGACGCGATCTCGGCTCACTGCAACCTCCGTCTCCTGGGTTCAAGTGATTCTCCTGCCTCAGCCTCCCAAGTAGCTGGGACTACAGGAGCGCACAACCATGCCCGGCTAATTTTTGTATTTTTAGTAGAGACAGGGTTTCACCATGTTGGCCAGGCGGGTTTTGAACTGCTGACCTCAGGTGATCCGCCTGCCTCGGCCACTCAAAGTGCTGGGATTACAGGCATGAGCCACCACGCCCGGCTGCATTTATGACTTTTTTTTTTCCTTGAGACGGAGTTTCGCTCTGCTGCCTGGGCTGGAGTGCAGTGGCGTGATCTCAGCTCACTGCAGCCTCCACCTCCTGGGTTCAAGCGATTCTCCTGCCTCAGGCTCCTGAGTAGCTGGAATTACAGGCACCCGCTGCCATGCCCGGCTAAGTTTTACGTTTTTAGTAGAGACCGTGTTTCACCATGTTGGCCAGGCTGGTCTCGAACCCCTGACCTAGTGATCTGCCCGCCTTGGGCCTCCCAAAGTGCTGGGATTACAGGCGTGAGCCACCGCGCCCGGCCTCTAATTTTGTATTTTTAGTAGAGACGGGGTTTCTCCATGTTGGTCAGGCTGGTCTCGAACTCCCGACCTCAGGTGATCTGCCCGTCTCGGCCTCCCAAAGTGCTGGGATTACAGGCGTGAGCCACTGCGCAGGGCCACATTTAGGCTTTTTATTGGCTGGTTCTAGGTGCTTGGTGATGCTGACAAAACACATGATAACACTAAGTCCTTTTGTGCTAGGTCCTTTGTAATAAATCACTCAGCTGTTTAACAAATTAGGTATATTGACCACCTACTATATGACAGACATAATTCTAGACACTCAGCAAAGTATTACATAAGTATTGAGAGCTCATTTTGTGCTAGGTCCTTTTTTACTAATTGTTTTCACCTGTTTAACAAATATTTATTCAGCCCTACTCTGTTAGCAGCCACTGTTCTAGTGCTTCATATACGTCCGTGAACAAAACAAACCATTACACAATAAGTGTTTATTGAGTGCTAACTGCTTGTCAGAGCCCATGCTATTAAGTGCTGTCATCTGTTTAACATTTATTGATCACCTGTGTAAGGTACTATTCTAATCTGGGATATGTCAGGGAACAAAACAAAACACATAATGGTGGTGCTGCTTCTGCTGAAAGCCTTCAGTTGATAACCAGATTTTTCTTTGTATTTTTGCTTGTTTGTTTTGAGACAGCTGGAGTGCAGTGGTGTGATCTTCACTGCAACCTCTGCCTTCTTGGCTCAAGCGACCCTCCCACCTGAGCCTCCCAAGTAGCTGGGACTACAGGTGCATGCCACCAAGCCTGGCTAATTTTTGTGTTTGTGCCATTTTGCCCAGGCTGATCTTGAACTCTTGGGCTCAAGCAATCCACCCACATCAGCCTCCCAAAGTGCTGGGATTGCAGGGATGAGCCACTGTGCCTGGCCGAACTTCTTTCGTTTATTCAAATGTTTATTGATCTACGACATGCGAGATTTGTGCAGGCTCTTTGCTGGTTTCACCCTCTCAATCGCTGTGTGAGTTTGTGTCTTTAGGGAAAGTGAGGCCCAGGAAGGGAAGTGAGTTGCTTAGCGACACACTGTCAGGAAAAGGGGCCCTGAGTTGAGCTTAGGTAAAAAGCCTCAGAGCTGTTGCCCTGACATCTGTCTTTTTTCTCTCCCTGCTTCCCACCCCACCTGTGCCCCCAGTCAGACTCAGTCACATGCCCACTCGAAGTCGCACTGCTATGGAAAGTGGGTGCAGGTGGTGGGCACCCTGGCGTGATCCGCCTGCTTGACTGGTTTGAGACACAGGAGGGCTTCATGCTGGTCCTCGAGCGGCCTTTGCCCGCCCAGGATCTCTTTGACTATATCACAGAGAAGGGCCCACTGGGTGAAGGCCCAAGCCGCTGCTTCTTTGGCCAAGTAGTGGCAGCCATCCAGCACTGCCATTCCCGTGGAGTTGTCCATCGTGACATCAAGGATGAGAACATCCTGATAGACCTACGCCGTGGCTGTGCCAAACTCATTGATTTTGGTTCTGGTGCCCTGCTTCATGATGAACCCTACACTGACTTTGATGGTAAGGCTTCTCTAAATCTCCCTGGAGGGATTGTTTTTACTTGATGGCCTTGTGACCTTTGGCCTCCAGTGGTGGGGTGTCCTGTAATCCTTGACCCATACTGCATTATATAAGATGATCGATTGCTAATACTGGGGATTCTCAGCCTTGCCCTCTGATAAAGTCCATCTTTTAATGGTGTGCTAACCTTATTCTGGGCTCCTATTCTGGTGAGGGGATCCTGTTACCATCCTGAGTATTCTTTCTCTGGTAAGGGGATCCTGTTACTTTTCAGTGCTTTTATTCTGTTGAGGGGACTCTGTTATTTTAGCTGCTTTTTATCTAGTGAGGGGACTCTGCTTTTATCTTGAGTGCTCTTAATTGTGGTGAGGCCATCCTTCCTGGAGAGTTTGGGGTTGGAGAAGGGCATCATGAGATTGAGTTGGTCTAACCCCTGGCTTGTGTGCAGGGACAAGGGTGTACAGCCCCCCAGAGTGGATCTCTCGACACCAGTACCATGCACTCCCGGCCACTGTCTGGTCACTGGGCATCCTCCTCTATGACATGGTGTGTGGGGACATTCCCTTTGAGAGGGACCAGGAGATTCTGGAAGCTGAGCTCCACTTCCCAGCCCATGTCTCCCCAGGTGAGGCCTCACTGACCCCAGCCCAGAAGACTCCATCCTTCTCAGGGACCAGTACCCCCTACTGACTGCTAATCTTCCCTCTCTGCTTCTTGGCCTACAGACTGCTGTGCCCTAATCCGCCGGTGCCTGGCCCCCAAACCTTCTTCCCGACCCTCACTGGAAGAGATCCTGCTGGACCCCTGGATGCAAACACCAGCCGAGGATGTACCCCTCAACCCCTCCAAAGGAGGCCCTGCCCCTTTGGCCTGGTCCTTGCTACCCTAAGCCTGGCCTGGCCTGGCCTGGCCCCCAATGGTCAGAAGAGCCATCCCATGGCCATGTCACAGGGATAGATGGACATTTGTTGACTTGGTTTTACAGGTCATTACCAGTCATTAAAGTCCAGTATTACTAAGGTAAGGGATTGAGGATCAGGGGTTAGAAGACATAAACCAAGTCTGCCCAGTTCCCTTCCCAATCCTACAAAGGAGCCTTCCTCCCAGAACCTGTGGTCCCTGATTCTGGAGGGGGAACTTCTTGCTTCTCATTTTGCTAAGGAAGTTTATTTTGGTGAAGTTGTTCCCATTCTGAGCCCCGGGACTCTTATTCTGATGATGTGTCACCCCACATTGGCACCTCCTACTACCACCACACAAACTTAGTTCATATGCTCTTACTTGGGCAAGGGTGCTTTCCTTCCAATACCCCAGTAGCTTTTATTTTAGTAAAGGGACCCTTTCCCCTAGCCTAGGGTCCCATATTGGGTCAAGCTGCTTACCTGCCTCAGCCCAGGATTCTTTATTCTGGGGGAGGTAATGCCCTGTTGTTACCCCAAGGCTTCTTTTTTTTTTTTTTTTTTTTGGGTGAGGGGACCCTACTCTGTTATCCCAAGTGCTCTTATTCTGGTGAGAAGAACCTTACTTCCATAATTTGGGAAGGAATGGAAGATGGACACCACCGGACACCACCAGACACTAGGATGGGATGGATGGTTTTTTGGGGGATGGGCTAGGGGAAATAAGGCTTGCTGTTTGTTCTCCTGGGGCGCTCCCTCCAACTTTTGCAGATTCTTGCAACCTCCTCCTGAGCCGGGATTGTCCAATTACTAAAATGTAAATAATCACGTATTGTGGGGAGGGGAGTTCCAAGTGTGCCCTCCTCTCTTCTCCTGCCTGGATTATTTAAAAAGCCATGTGTGGAAACCCACTATTTAATAAAAGTAATAGAATCAGAAGCGGCTGGCCATTTGTAGGTGTGAGGCTTTTATGGAGCATCTACTGTGCACTGAGACAGACTGTCCCTCTGCTTTGTCCTCAGGAAGCCACAGTCTTATGTTGCCATCCTAAAGAGCTTTAAGGATTCTTGAAGCTGCACCACACACACACAAAAAAATCTTGATTCCCCTGCCCCTGATCTTATGCAGTGCCCAGTATGTGCAGAAGGGTTCTCTGTTGGAGATACTGTGCATATTGAAGGTGTTTAGGGCACATCCCCAATCAAGATGGCTATCTCAGAAGCAGAAAAACTACCTTCCCTGGCACCCCAGGGGAATGAAGAAGCCCTTTCCCCTGTTGCAGAAGAAAAGCCCTGTCAGGGTACTGGCCAGGGCGGGGCTGGGGTTGGGCGCTGACTGGAATCTGTCCAGGGTGTAGTCACCTGTTTTGCTCTTTATCTTTAGCCTCTTCCCCCATCTTTACCCTTACATACCCATCCCTCTAATTTCTCCTTCAACACTTGACTTACCTGGCCTACCCTATTCCATGTTGGTTTCACTTGTTCCGACCTGAGTTGTTCCCTCTCTTGCCCTGCTTATTTGTCTCGGTTCAGTATAAACTCCGCCTTCCGGGTTCCAGCGGTTCTCCTGCCTCAGCCTCCAGAGTAGCTGGGTACAGGTGCATACCACTAAGCCCGGGTAATTTTTTTTTTTTATTTGAGACGGGGTTTTGTCGTTTTGCCCAGGCTGGAACTCCTGAGCTCAGGTGATCGCCCGGCTCAGCCTCCCAAAGTGCTGGGATTACAGGCGTGAGCCACCGCCTCTGGCCCGGACTCTTGCCCTGCTTCCAAATGCTAGCTAACCTGTGAGCCTTTCGCCTGTCCCCTTTGCCATCCTCAGTGGTGACTCACTTGTCTTCCCTTATGTGCGTCAACTTTCCTTTGCATTTTCACTTGTTTATCCTCACCTGCTCTGCTTTTATCTGCTAGCTTAACATTCCTGACTCGCACCTGATGCCAGTACGCCCTCACCCCGACCCCGCCAGGTCAAAGTTTCTTCGTCCCCAGATTCCCGTGTGCTCTCCAGGGGGCGAGGCCTCTCTGGAAGACGGGAAAGCGGAATTTCAGTCCAACCATGAAGCACCTGGTAGTTTCTGATACGGAAAGGGCGGCGCCTTATGGAGAAGCTGCCAATAAAGAGCCGAGATGAAAGGGGTGGCTGAACCAATGAGTCTAGGAGACAAGATCGGGGGATGATCTGGAAAGCGCGATCAGTGAAGCGGACGAACGGCAGGATAAGGCGGGTCTAGTGACAGGAATGGGCCGATGAAGCTCTGTAGGGATGGTGGGTAGGCCGATCGGGCCGTGTCCCCGGCCTCCCGATCCGACGGAATTTGGAAATCCCGGGGCTATTCATACATTGAGCTTTTAGGAGCGGAGGAGAAAAGCCACCACCCTGACGATCCCGGCTCTCGCTCCACCTTCACTCAGGTGGCCCGGCAGCGGAAGTGACGAACGCGGAAGTGGTTTTTCTGTTGCCGAGGGGACGGGCCGGGCAGATGCCAACATGGCAGCGGTTGGGGCTGGTGGTTCCACCGCGGCGCCCGGGCCAGGGGCGGTTTCCGCGGGTGCATTGGAGCCGGGGACCGCCAGTGCGGGTGAGACAGTCTGCCCGAGCAGTCGCATGGGAGGCGGAGGTCGGGATCGCTGGGAGTCGGGAATGTTCCTCACTAAAGTGAGAGGGAGCATCCCGTGTGGACCGACGTGTGTGTGTGTGTGTGTGTGCACATTGTCAGTGTGTTGGGGGCGGGGAAGAGAACATTCTGAGAGTGATTGTGGGATCCTTCCGCATATGGAGAGTAGAGACCATTGTGAGTGTGGTGGGTAATTCTTTTTGGGAAGGCTAAGGCCACCGAAACCATTCTGAATATGTGGAGTCCTTCCGTGTGGAAGAGACCATTCTGCGGGTGTGGGAGTTCCTCACTGAAGAAGGGGGAGACTATTCTGAGGGTGGTGGTTCCTTCCTTATAAAGGGACAGAGACTATTGTGAGTTAGGGTGGGGCGAGTCCTTCTTTATGTGACTAGAGAGGGTCCATTTTGAGGATGGGGGTGTCTTTCATTATGTGCGGAGGAGACCGTTCTGGGGGCTCCCTCCTAATGGAGGTAGAGTTCATTGTACATTCGGGTGGGAGGGCTCATCGTTATATGGTGGAGAAAGAACGTTCTGAGAGTGCCGGGTCCTTCCTTATAGCAGAGAGAGCTCATTGTGAGTGTGGGTAGAGCAAGGAAAAATTCATTAGCTAGAGGGTCCGTGTGCGGTGGTGGGAGGGCAGACCATGTGGAGTGCAGGGAAGTATTTCCTCATCTGGTTGAGGGAGCCAGACCTTTCTTGGTGGGATAACCATTCCTGATACAGGATTCAGTCCCTGGGAGCATGTGGGAATCATTTCTTGTATTTAGTAGACTATTCTGGTTCGAGAGGAACCAGTTGTCACAGGAGTGAGGGGTTGGAGAGACCATTCTGGGTATGAGGAGGATCATTCCATATGGGATGTAGGCCATTCTCAGTGTGAGGGAATCGAATCATTTCTTAGATAGGAGAAAGACCGTTCTTAGGGGGTGAACATACCTCATACAGTGGCCTCATTCCCTGCATTGATGTGTTATTCTTTACATGAGACAGTCCCTCATTAAACAGGAGCATCATTTCATATAAATTCTCAGTTTGCTAATCCATAAATGGGAATCCTCGCAGTTCTTTTGGAGATGACAGTGATATGAGTCTATTGAGGTAATCCATAGAAATCCCTTAACCCAGTGATAGGCATACAGTAAACACTCAATAAACGTGGAGAATGTAGTTGTCGGTATTCTTTCTGGGGAAGAGTTGCTTCTCACTTGGGAGGAAGCCGAGGCGCGTGGCCAGGGTTTGCCTCAGCCATTACCTGACACCTCAGTAAGGATTCCAGGTATGGACTGGGACAGGGTGGGGCCCATTTCTCCCTTCTGGCTCTTCCTGCTCATGGCTGAGGCAGTAAGCCGGTAGGAGTCAGACCCTTATTGGGTGAGGGCAGGCAGGCTGAGGGAGCAAGTAGCCATGGCTAGGAGGGTCCTGGGTGAGAAAGAAAGGGGGTGGGTGGTGGTGTGGCTATGCCCCAGCGGCTTCTGACCCCGTCCTTCCCCCTTGCCCCTTCCGTTCCCCACAGCTCACAGGCGCCTGAAGTACATATCCCTAGCTGTGCTGGTGGTCCAGAATGCCTCCCTCATCCTCAGCATCCGCTACGCCCGCACGTTGCCAGGGGACCGCTTCTTTGCCACCACTGCTGTGGTCATGGCGGAAGTGCTCAAAGGTCTCACCTGCCTGCTGCTGCTCTTCGCACAGAAGAGGGGTACGAACCAGGGATGGGGCTGCACTGGGGTCGGTGGGTGAGACTCCACATGTATGTGTGTGTGTTCACACAGATGGTTTGCTTCAGGAGTGTCTCCAAATCTCAACCTGCCTGGAGCGCCACTCCAGCTATGCGTAGCGGCATCTTACACTTTTCTAGCCCTAACAGCCGGGTAGCCGGCCTGTGTGGGCTGTAGGAGTGAGATTGCCAATGCTTATAAAGTAGCAGGGATCTCTCACATGTGATTTAGCTTCATATTATGGAGAATTCCGAATACATGCAAAATCAGAGAGAATAATCAAATAGTAAAATATCCATGTACCCATCCCCCAGAGTCAGCAATTAGCAACTCATGGCCGCTTTAAACAACATCAGTGATTGTTCACTCACTGCCAATCTATATGTCTACCTACGTCCTTATCCTCTTATTATTTTTAAGTAAATCCCACACGAAGTAATATTGTATGGAAGTAAATTCCCCTGAATTATCTTGAATAAATGTAGCTGGGATTACAGGCACGTGCCACCACGCCCAGCTAATTTTTTTGTATTTTTAGTAGAGAAGGGGTTTCACCATGTTAGCCAGGATGGTCTCGAACTCCTGACCTCGTGATCCGCCCACCTCAGCCTCCCAAAGTGCTGGGATTACAGGCGTGAGCCACCAGGCTGGCCTTGTTTGGTATCTTCTAAATCTGTTAATCTCTAGGGGTTTTTTGGTCTTTGCAATTAATTTGTTGGAGAAAACAGGTCATTTGTTTTGTAGACTTTGGGTAGTCTGGATTTTGCTGACTGCCTCCCTAAGGCAAATATTCTCAAAAATTTAACAAGTATTCTGTCTTCTACATCTCTTGTAAATTGGAAGTTGGGTTTATCTGCTAATTTCAACATCTCCCTGAAGGCCTTCTACTTTGAAGTGTTGCCCAATTGTTTCTCTAAAAAGGTCTTGCATAAGTAAAGGGATGGAGATGAATTATGCACCTTTGCCCTTTGTTTACATTGAAGAGAATATTCTCACCCACCTGTTAACTCCAGGTTAACAAGAGACCTGCTCTTACCTTTGTTAACTCTGTGAACAGTGTAGGTGTGAACACTGCCTCAGGCCGTGGGGGTAGATGGGTTAGCAATGCAGAGGAGCAGCTTGTCCTCATTGCTGATGGAAGATGGAAATAACAGATAGCCACAGACTTAATCACAGGCCTTCATCTCTTAGCCACAATTTCAGCACCCCTCTCTCCCCTGCCCGGAATTTTTTTCCCCTGAATTCGAGTTTGGAGACCAGGAGTGCACAGGGTTTGGTGAATGAACATCAGTAGGAGTTCCTGGGACAACCTTGTTCAGTGTTTGAAGAAGTTTTGCCTGTGGAGTGACACCCAGCTGTGACTTAAAAGATGAACTGCTGGCTGGGCGTGGTTGCTCACGTCTGTAATCCCAGCACTTTGGGAGGCCGAGAGGCAGGTGGATCACAAGGTCAGGAGTTAGAGACCAGCCTGGCCAAGATGGTGAAACCCCGTCTCTACTAAAAATACAAAAATTATCCAGGCGCGGTGGCAGGTGCCTGTAATCCCAGCTACTAGGGAGGCTGAGGCAGGAGAATTGCTTGAACCCGGGAGGCAGAGGTTGCAGTGAGCCAAGATCACACCACTGCACTCCAGCCTGGGCGACAGAGCAAGACTCCTCACCCACCCACCCCGCCCCGCCAAAAAAAAAGATGAACTGCCAAAAAGTGGGGCGAGCTTTGCAAAGGCCTTGTTACATAGGAAATGATTCTCATGTTTTTTGTTTGTTTGTTTTGAAATGGAGTTTTGCCCTTGTTGTCTGAGCTGGAGTGCAATGGCACGATCTTGGCTCACTGCAACCTCCGCCTCCCGGGTTCAAAAGATTCTCCTGCCTCAGCCTCCTGAGTAGCTGGGATTATAGGCGCCTGCCACCACACCCGGCTAATTTTTGTATTTTTAGTAGAGACGGGGTTTCACCACGTTGGCCAGCCTGGTCTCGAACTCCTGACCTCAGGTGATCCACCCACCTTAACCTCCCAAAGTGTTGGGATTACAGGCGTGAGCCACTGCGCCCAGCCCGATTATCATGTTTTCACTGGAGCAGGTCCCAAGCGGACTTCTGCTTAATGGTCAAGCCTGCATTCATCCATGTGGCAGAGGCAACTCTGTGTCTAGGGCTGACAGAAAGATGCAACAAGGGGGAGATGGCCCCTGCCCTCAGACGGCACATGGGTCAGTGAGGAGCTAGGATAAGTCTAAAAGTCTAGACTATGCCTGGTGTGGTGGCTTACACCTGTAATCCCAGAACTTTGGGAGGCCGAGGTAGGCGGATCACGAGGTCAGGAGATCAAGACCATCGTGGCTAACACGGTGAAGCCCCATCTCTACTAAAGATACAAAAAATTAGCTGGGAGTGGTGGCACGCGCCTGTAGTCCAAGCTACTTGGGAGGCTGAGGCAGGAGAATGGCTTGAACCTGGGAGGTGGAGCTTGCAGTGAGCCGAGATCGCGCCACTGTGCCAAAAAAAAAAAAAGTCTAGACTAAACTCTTCTGTGTGGGAGACAGCCCTCCACCCCAGCTCCTAGGGCTTCTATTTCATAAGCTCCAAGTTAATGATGGTTATTTCTTTCTTTCTTTTTTTTTTTTTTTGAGATGGAGTCTCACTCTGTTGCCCAGGCTGGAGTGCAATGGCATGGTCTCAGCTCACTGCAACCTCCACCTCCCAGGTTCAAGCAATTCTCCTGCCTCAGCCTCCCAAGTAGCTGGGATTACAGTCGCTTGCCACCACACCTGGCTAATTTTTGTATTTTTAGTAGAGATAGGGTTTCAGTGTTGTTGGCCCAGCTGGTCTTGAACTCCTAACCTCATGAGCCACCTGCCTTGGCCTCCCAAAGTGCTGGGATTACAGGCGTGAGCCACGGCACCTGGCCTAATGCTGGTTATTTCATTGTACACAAATATATTGAGTATTGAGTGCTTTCCCTGAATGGGGCTCTCTGCCAGGGAGGTAGGCTCTAACATGAGTGACATGCTCTGTGATTAGCAGACACGGATGGCTGATTCTTTTGCTGCCATTAAACTGAGTCTCAGAAAAGCTTGCTGGAAACATGGTTGTACTCTAGGGAAAACCAAGATCACATACTTCATTCCAGCCTCCAGGGATTGGACAGCAGGGTGGATGGGGGAGTCACAGGAGCAAGGCCTGTTCCCAGCCTTCAGGGGTTCCCCATGTATGGCTGTCAGTGCTAAGAAGGGCTCTCCTCCTCCCACCTAGGTAACGTGAAGCACCTGGTTCTCTTCCTCCATGAGGCTGTCCTGGTGCAGTATGTGGACACGCTCAAGCTCGCAGTGCCCTCTCTCATCTACACCTTGCAGAATAACCTCCAGTATGTTGCCATCTCTAACCTACCAGCTGCCACTTTCCAGGTGAGCCCCAAGCCCAGCATGGCCCCAGAGGAACTAACTGGGTTGGGGACTGGAGTATGGGAATAGCGTGGTGGGGGGGTGTTGCAGAGGACAGGGGCTATGTCACCTTCAGAATGTCCTTGGAACTCCTTCAACCTCCCTTTTCTCGTCTGTGAAAATTGGGGGTGGAAATAGTAATGCCTGTTCACTGAGATGCTAGGATACTTAAAAGAAATAATACCTGTGAAGAGCCCTTGATTGGTGACAGATAAGCTTTAGGCTATTTGTGGGCAGCTTTGTGAAATGGTTAAAGAGCCTGGATTCTGGGGCCAGGCTGTCTGGGTTCAAATCTCAGCTCTGCTACCTTCCAGCTGTGTGATTTTGGGGCACGTCACCTAACCTCTCTGTGCCTTAGTTTTCTCACCTTTAAATTGGGGCTTACAGTGGTGCTCACTTCAGAATGGTGTTGTGAGAATTAAATGAATGAATTCACGTGCAGTGCCTAGAACCACACTGATATATTGTAAGCACTATGTAAGTATTTGCTGACATTGTTGTGGCTATTGATTCATTTGTATCAAGTCCCTCATCACAAAGATACTTCCATACCTCAGCCATCTTTTATAGATGATGATGCCAGGGCTCAGACAGGGCAAGTGCTTTGTCCCCAGTCACACAGCCAGGAAATGGGATTGGGATGTGGACTTCTTGGCACAGCCATCCTTTTGTGCACTTGCTGGGAGAGACTTCAGAACTGTTTTGCTGCAGCTCAGCCAATGGCCAGTGGCTGGCTCCTTTTGCTGTTTTTGCTGTCATACCCCCCACCCTGTCCCTCCATTGTGCCTGGGGGCCCACAGTGGGTGCTGCCCCCCATGTGCACCTGTTGGGGGCCAGGGTCAGCCCTCAGTGCCTTCCACGTGCCACTCGCAGGTGACATACCAGCTGAAGATCCTGACCACAGCGCTGTTCTCCGTGCTCATGCTGAATCGCAGCCTTTCCCGGCTGCAGTGGGCCTCCCTGCTGCTCCTCTTCACTGGCGTCGCCATTGTCCAGGCACAGCAAGCCGGTGGGGGAGGCCCACGGCCACTGGATCAGAACCCTGGGGCAGGCCTGGCAGCCGTCGTGGCCTCCTGTCTCTCCTCCGGCTTCGCAGGTGTCTACTTTGAGAAGATCCTCAAAGGCAGCTCAGGCTCCGTGTGGCTGCGCAACCTGCAACTGGGCCTCTTCGGCACAGCACTGGGCCTGGTGGGGCTCTGGTGGGCTGAGGGTACCGCCGTGGCCACCCGTGGTTTCTTTTTTGGGTACACACCTGCTGTCTGGGGCGTGGTGCTCAACCAGGCCTTCGGCGGGCTACTGGTGGCTGTGGTTGTCAAGTACGCTGACAATATCCTCAAGGGCTTTGCCACCTCCCTGTCCATTGTGCTGTCCACTGTTGCCTCCATTCGCCTCTTTGGCTTCCACGTGGACCCATTATTTGCCCTTGGCGCTGGACTCGTCATTGGTGCTGTCTACCTCTACAGCCTTCCCCGAGGTGCAGCCAAAGCCATAGCCTCTGCCTCTGCCTCCGCCTCCGGGCCCTGCGTTCACCAGCAGCCTCCCGGGCAGCCACCACCACCGCAGCTGTCTTCCCACCGTGGAGACCTCATCACGGAGCCCTTTCTGCCAAAGTCAGTGCTGGTGAAGTGAGGGCTGGCAGCAATGGGGGGACACAAGGGAGGGGGACTGGGGTGGAGGGTGTTGGGCATCTGCAGGACCCAAGTCGCCACCCTCCGGGGCCTGGCTCCTCTGGGTTTGGGAGATGGTCTTTTCTCCCAGGTCACTGAGACTTCTGGAGGGGTGTGGGACTAGAGCTGGGTGTCACGTGAACCCTTCCTGGTAGGGTGACCCCCTTCCCCTGGAGGGGGTTTTAGAGCTGCCGCCTCTGCTCCCTCTAACCTCTTTGGAGGCAGGGTTGGGGGTATTGTCATTCAAGGCCTTTTTTTTGTCTGCTCCCTCCCCGACCCTGTGCCCTCTTCTGGAGGTTTCTCGTCTGGGAGAGTCCCTCCCAGCAGTCCCTCCACCTCCATAAGGACACACTGGACAAAACTCCCGCAGCTCTTCAGGAATGACCGATGCCTACCTGTGGGGTTCAGTTGCCCATAGTTTGAGGCCTTCTCTCCTCCCTTACCACCGCTCTGGATCATGTTACTAGTTCCGTCTTTTGTGTGGCCTTGGGCCAGCTTCCTTGATACCTTGAAGATGGGCTTCTTGTGAGTCCCCAGGGAGAAAGGGACAAGAGCTAAGATTTTTGCATCAGCCCTTCTGGCAGAAGGTGTGGTAGGGGCCATTTGTTTTTTTTAGTGGACTTGGGATTTGTGGTGTAATCATATCATTAATGATCCAGGGTGTGGGAAAAATGGAGGTCCTTGAAGTGGCTGAATCTCATTGTATTTAAGACACTGTCAGTTGCCAGATGTAGGCTTATTTTTGGAGATGTCTAGGAGAGGAAAAAGCTACCAATCATACTCTTGATATCCGTCTGGCTGTGTGAGGCACCCCTACCTCATGGGGGTGTCTTGGGATTGATGAACTGTGGAACCTGCCTCCTGCGCTCCCCAAAGCTTATTAACCCCTTAACTGTATCGGGGCGGGGTGTGTGTGTGCATGGAAGATGCCTGGGCTGTCTTTGCTATATGTAAATAGAGCCATTGGATCTTTATTTTTGATTAATTTGTTCTGATTTTTTGGTTTGTTTTTTAAGGAACTGTAATGAACAAATGTCAGGATATCCAATGCCAAATAAAGATGTTGTATTTATTTAGTCCACGTGTAGCTTTCTGACCAGGTGGGCACCATTACTAACCCCAGGACTACCAGCCTCACCACCGCCGCCCTCACTTGCTCAGGAAACCCGCCTGCCAGCCTAGCCCAGCTTTGTGTTTTTCTTTCCTCCCCATTCCCACCACAGGTTGCTCACCAAGGTGAAGGGTTCCTAGCCGCTGGGATTGAAGACATTGGCCTGGCCTCGTTCTCTCTTCTTGCCCTTGGCCCAGCTGGGACCAAACTCTGATCAGTATTAGGGGTAGAGTGAGGTAGACACTGGACTCCCTGTCCCCACCACCCCTGCCCCACCCAGGGCCAACATGACTAAGCTCTCTCATGACCCACCTCAGCTCAGCCCCCCAGCCCCTGCCAGCTCCACACTATCTCTTAGCTGAGTTTTTGCAAATAAAATGTGTTGTGTATCTTGCCGACTTGGGTTGGGCAGCCTCAAAGGAAGCACTCAGGTATGGTGGGCAGGATCACCAGAAAGCTTTTATTTTAACCCAGGGCCAGGGAGGCCGAAGCTTCAATCCTGCTGCTTGGTTCGGGAGGCCTCTGCATTGGCCCGGAGCACAGCCCCTGGGGATGGATACGGCCGCTGCTGGAAGAGGGGCCCAGCTGCTGTGGTGTCAGCGCCAGTCTTGGCCTCATTCCGCTTGGGGAGTCCTGTTGACCACGTGCCCCTGCCGGTGAAAGAGTCAGGGGATGGGGATGGGTGATGTGGCGGACACAGCCCACCTGGTCCCAATGAGGAATGGAGGAAGGAGGCCGGAGGATGGTGTCCACGTACTGAGTCAAGAGGGGTTGTCACTTACCGGGGGGCGTCTGAGTATGAGCTAGGGTCCATGGGGTCTAACTCTTCATCCTTTCGGCTTACTGCTGTGGAAGTGGCAGGGCAAAGTCTTCAATAGAGGCACCAGGATCCCCTGATCACTGAGCCCCACCCCACAAGAAGAAATGAAGCCCCTGGCTGCCATGTACCACAGCACCCTCCTCTAGCCCCAGGTCCAGGCATCTTTTTGAGGGAAGGCTTCCTCACGCAGTGCACCCTGCACCTTGTTGGTCTCACCGAGCCCCATTCTGCCCAGCTTACCCTTCTTGCTCTTGGGATAGGGAGCCAGCTCCTCCCGGCGATGGTGGCGCCGTTCTTTGCCCTCTTCCCGGTCTGCCTTGTCATACCCGCGGTCCCGATCCCGTTCCCTGTCTCGCTCTCTCTCTCTGTCTACCTTGTCATAGCCACGCTCTCGATCCCTGTCAGACTTGTCGTGGCCCCGGTCTGACTTGTCGTGGCCCCTGTCTAGTTTCTCATGGCTGCGGTCCGACTTGTCATGGCCCCTGTCCGACTTGTCATGGCTCCGGTCCAACTTTTCTTCAGCATCTGGGGACACAAGTCTTGAAGTGACCTCTTGCCACCCCAGGACCCAGCAGCCTCTGCCTTCAACAACCTCCCTTGCCTGAGGCTGGGCCCGCCTGGTCTCACCTGCCCCTCTGATCCACTATCATTCTACTTGGCCTCTCCGTGAGAACTGCTAAGATCACTCAAGGCACGCTTGTACCTGCCAACTCACCTGCATTACTGCTTCTGAGCTTCTTGGCCGATTTGGTAACCACGGAGTTGGGGTCATGTGGGGAGAGCCAGGATACAAGGTCTGTGTCTGCATTCCAGTAGTAAGGGAGCCCGCTGTGGGGCCGCAGGAAAGAAGTGTCAGCACAGATGTCCTTGCCTTGGATCCTCAACTCTTGTCTCCCCAGTCTCTGCCTATACCTGCCCCATGTCAGGACCCCACAGGCAGGATCCCCAGAATCTCTTCTCCTGAAGAGAAAACACTGTCAGCTGGGCGTGGTGGCTCATGCCTGTAATCCCAGCACTTTGGGAGGCCGAGGCAGGCGGATCACCTGAGGTCAGGAGTTCGGGACCAGCCTGACCAATATGATGAAACCCCATCTCTACAAAAAATACAAAAATTAGCTGGGTGTGGTGGTGTGCACCTGTAATCCCAGCTACCTGGGAGGCTGAGACAGGAGAATCGCTTGAACCCACGAGGCGGAGGTTGCCATAAGCCGAGATCACACCATTGCACTCCAGCCCGGGCTACAAGAGTGAAACTCCGTTTCAAAAAAGAGAGAAAAGACAGTCTTCCAACCCCAGAGGAGCCAGGCCCCAGCAGGCAGCAACTTGAGTCCTGCAGATACCTAATGCCAACACCCTCCACCCGAGGCTCCCTCCCTTGTGTCCCCCTAAACCTCACAACCAAGGTCAGCACAGGAAGGGTGAAGCCAGAAGTTAGCTCCCCCTCACCCAGGCTCACCAGGAAGGGTCGAACACCTTGTACCAGCTTGGTGGTAGGCCCTCCAACCTGGTGGCCTCGTAGTCCACAGGATCATCGTCATAGTCCTCGGCAATGATCTCTTCCTCTGGTTCTGGTAGAACAAGGTGGGGATGAGGAGAGCAGATAAGGACCAGGGGACCTCATCCTACATGTAGAGCCTAGAGACACGCACTCACATTCACACAAGCCACACATAAAAGACACGTGTGTGTGTGTGCCGGGAAGAATATGAAGTATCTTTCACATTCCAAATCCAACTCTCTATATTAGGAGGTTTACAAAAAAAGGTTACCTAAATCTGTGTCTGGGTTCAGATGATGAGTTCTACTGTTAGCCAAAGCTATCTGGTTTCAGAGTTGATAGGGATTCATCAAAAAATTTACTCATCTTGGCCAGGCGTGATGGCTCATGCCTGTAATCCCAGCACTTTAGGAGGCCAAAGTGGGTGGATCACGAGGTCAGGAGTTCAAGACCAGCCTGGCCAAGATGGTGAAAACCCGTCTGTGAGACTAGCCTGGTCAACATAGTGAGACCCCTGTCTCTACAAAAAAAAAAAATTAGCTGGGCACAGTGGCACACGTCTGTAGTCCCAACTACTCAGGAGGCTGAGGCAGGAGGCTCATTTGAGCCCAGGACTTTGAGCTTGCAGTGAGCTATTATCGTGCCACTGCACTCCAGCCTGGGCAACAGAGTGAGACCCTGTCTCTAAACAAATAATAAATAATATATATACCATAGGCACAGGTCATTCAATAGGCTTAAAAGAAAATCCAGCCTGGCCAACATGGTGAAACCCCATCTCTACTAAAAAATACAAAAATTAGCCAGGCACAGTGGAGCACGCCTGTGGTCCTAGCTACTCGGGAGGCTGAGGCAGGAGAATCGCTTGAACCCGGGAGGCAGAGGTTGCAGTGGGCCAAGACTGCACCACTGCACTCCAGCCTAGGTGACAGAGCGAGACTCTCTCAAAAAAAAAAAAAAAAAAAAAAAAAAAAAGTAAATCAATGATCATTGCCAGTTTTATTTTTTTGAGATGGAGTCTTTCTCTGTTGCCCAGGCTGGAGTGCAGTGGCATGATCTCGGCTCACTGCAAGCTCCGCCTTCCGGGTTCACACCATTCTCCTGCCTCAGCCTCCCGAGTAGCTGGGACTACAGGCATCTGGCACCACGCCCGGCTAAGTTTTTTGTATTTTTATTAGAGATGGGGTTTCACCCTGTTAGCCAGAATGGTCTCGATCTCCTGACCTCGTGATCCGTCCACCTCCGCCTCCCAAAGCGCTGAGATTACAGGCATGAGGCACCCTGCCCGGCCTGGGATCATTGACAATTTTATTAACCACAAGGTCTATACCTTGCACACAGTAGGCTTGTAATAGATGTCAGTTATCAATAAGGAGAAGATATATTTTCCAGTGCCTGGCACACTATAGCCCCAAATAGATGCCAGTTTTTAGTATTACTGATAATAAGGTGTGATTTGCAGCCAGAGCACAGTAGGCCTAAATGATAGATCCTCACTGCAACTACGCTTGGCACACAGGAGACAGCAGTAGAGGTTAGCAGTACTTCCTATTAGATACTATGTCATCACCCCCATAGAGTAATCCATGGGATTTAACTTGGCATACAGTAGGCCCCAAATAGGCATTAGGTGGTCAGTATTATTTTGTTGTTTTTTTTGGATTTTTTTCAGACAGGGTCTCCATGTGTCGGCCAGGCTGGAGTGCAGTGGCACAATCTCGGCTCACTGCACCCTTGACATCCTAGGCTCAAGAGATCCTCTCACCTCAGCCTCCCAAGTAGCTGGGACTACAGGCATGCACCACAACACACGATTAATTTTTGTATTTTTTGTAAAGACGGGGTTTTGCCATGTTGCTCAGGCTAATCTCTTAATCCCTAAACTCAAGCAATCTACCCGCCTCAGCCTCCTAAAGTGCTGGGAATGCCAGCTTGAGCCGCCACGCCCAGCCAGTCAGTATTGTTAAGAATGAAATATCTGCCGGGCACAGTGGCTTATGCCTGTAATCCCAACCCTTTGGAAAGCCAAGGGTGGGGGGTGGATCACCTGAGGTCAGGAGTTAGAGGCCAGCCTAGCCAACATGGTGAAACCCGTCTCTACTAAAAATGCAAAAATCAGCCGGGTGTGGTATCACGTGCCTGTAATCCCAGCTACTTGGGAGGCTGAGACAGGAAAATCGCTTGAGCCCGGGAGGCGGAGGTTGCAGTGAGACGAGATCACGCCACAGCACTCCAGCCTGGGCGACAGACCGAGACTCTGTCTCAAAAAAAAAAAAAAAAAAATTGCCAGGTGTGGTGGGGCGGGGCGTGCCTGTAGTCCCAACTACTCGGGAAGTTAAGGCAGGAGAATCGCTTGAACCTGGAAGGCGGAGGTTTTAGTGAGCCGAGATCGCGCCACTGCACTCCAGCCTGGGTGCACAATAAGACTCTGCCTCAAAAAAAAAAAAAAAAAAAAAAAAAAAAAAAAAAAAAAAGAATGAAATATCTATTCCCCCAACCCCCTCCACTTGACACGCGGTAGGGATGGATGTCAGGAATCCACATTGTTAACAACGAAAAATGCCTGCCACCCCATTGCTTGGTGCACAGTTGGCCCATGCTAGGTATCAAGCGTCAGTATCAACAACAAAAGTGCCTGTCGAGGCTGGCACGTGTTAGGACCATCTGCTTTTAGCTGTCTCACCAGGCTCCAGATGTTTGAGGATGCCTCTCTTGGCCAAGCGGGTCTGCAGCGCAACGGGCAGCGGCATAGCTGATAGCAGACAGACCTAGGGACAGACGAACAAACTGACAAGCAGCTCAGATAAAGATTCCTATCTGGATCCCGTAACCAAGCGCCTCCCGTAAACATGTACTCATCTGACTCCGATCTACTCAAATGAACCAGTAGCTGGGTGGACAGAACATACGCACTAAAAGATGTAAGAGGTAGGTGGCAATATCATCGCAACTCCCACCAACCCTACTGTCCCCGAAACCAGGTGCTCCAGGGCCCTGTTCCTCTCCCAGGCCCAGGCTCCGCCCACAGCCTAAGAAGCCCGGCCCCTCCGCACTTCAGAAATGGGCTCATCCAGCGTCCCCATGACTGCCGGGTGGGAGAAACCAAAGCGCTGGGATGGGGGAGCAGAGGGCAGCACTTCCTCCAGCTCCAAAAGAGTGCACCCACCCCAACGTTACCAATACACTCGTGCAGGTAGTGGAAGGCTGTCACACCGCCCGTCTCTCTCGTGTCGCCGCTACGATACCTGGGCCCACACGACTCTCTTCCCAAAACACCGAATGAGACCTTCTCTCAACGAGGCCTTCACTCCCCGAGCCTGAAAGTAACTGGACTACGCTCAGGAGGCAATGAACAAATGGCAGAAACTCGATTGGCCAATGAGAGTGCGTCCTTGGCGTGACATGCGGTATAGCGACCCAATCGCTGCCCGGTAATAGGCGGAAAGCTCCGACGCCGGTGTGCGTCTACGCTGGGGGCGTGGCCTGACTGCGCGGCCAGACGCCAGCGCCATGGAGGAGTACGCTCGGGAGCCCTGGTACGGCAATGGGCACAGGCATCCGGAATATTGCTGCGACGCCAAGGCCAGCCGTGGGGGTCGGGCGGGGGAGGCATCGGCCGCACAGAGCCATGTACCAGACTCGGGGGACTCTTAACGTATCTCCCGCTACCCCCACTCGGTTCCTGTCATTCGGGCTCCGTTATGAGGGGCCACAACCAGAGAAGGTGCGGCGAAGGCCGAACCACGCCATGTTTCTCCTGACTTCGTAATCTCCTAGCCCTGTTAACGAAAAAAGACACGCTGGACGATCCATCCCGGCTAGGGGTGGTACGGTGTTGACCGGAAATCCCCAGAGTTGCCGCCAGTGGTTTTTCCCAGGTCGCCTTTGTCAGTGGGGGGCGGGGCACGGATGAACCTGTTGAGGGCCGGCGGGGACGGTGGATGCTTCCCGCGGTCGCTCTTGGTTTTTCCCAGTTGTGCCGGATTGAAAAGGGGCGGGGCATGGTTGGACGGGCTCACCGTCGGAGAAGGGGTGCGACGCGGTCCTGCTTTGCTGACAGTCTGTCTTGGCTAGTTAACACGCCTATGTCGCTTATTGAAACGTCAACTCTGCGTGTGCCAATTCATTTAATCTTTGATCACAGTAAAACCGTTGGCTGATTCCTTGGTTGGTAGACAGGGCGAAGACTAATATTTCTCCCCCTTTGCCCCATTTCTCGCTTTAATGGGGGGGTGTGTGGAAAAAGCGTGACAGAACTAGCTCATTATTATCTGAAGTGTTTGTTCCTACTTAGGAACTTCCCATTCTGGTGACTTGGTTTCTCCCAGTTAGAAAAGAGTTCGTGTGACAGGACCTGGGGGAGGGCTCACATTAACCCCGTCCTTCCCTTCCTGCTTGCAGCCCATGGCGAATTGTGGATGATTGCGGTGGAGCCTTCACTATGGGTGTCATCGGTGGCGGAGTCTTCCAGGCCATCAAGGGTTTCCGCAATGCCCCTGTTGTGAGTCCAGGCCTTCCCTGGGTTGGTGTGGGGTTAGCTATCTTGCCCACAAGGGAGGCTGCTCTGAAAACTGCTTGGAGCTGCCAGTCACGTGCACTTATTCATTCTGGTGCCCACTCACCTACTATGTGCCGAGCCTGGCTCCTGTATCTGGGATTTTGTAGGGATTGCAAACATGGCCTCTGTCTTCCACCCTCCACCCCACCCAACTGGAGCTCCTCTGTGGAAATGCTGTGTCGTTCAAAGAGTCATCACCAAATTTTAAATGTATGTGCAAAGCCAGACAGTTTTTTTTTTTTTTGAGACAGTCTTGCTCTGTTGCCCAGGCTAGAGTGCAGTGGCACGCTCTTGGCTCACTGCAACCTCTGCCTCCTGGGTTCAGGCAATTCTCCTGTCTCAGCCTCCCAAGTAGCTGGGACTACAGGCATGTGCCACCAGACCTGACGAATTTTTGTAATTTTAGTAGAAATGGGGTTTCACTATGTTGGCCAGGCTGGCCTTGAACTCTGGACCTCAGGTGATCCACCTACCTCGGCCTCCCAAAGTGCTGGGATTACAGGCGTGTGCCACTGTGCCTGGCCATGTTTTTTTTTTTTTTTTTTTTTTTGAGACAGCATCTTGCCCTGTTGCCCAGGCTGGCGTGCAGTGGCCTGATCATGGGTCACTACAGCCTCCGCCTCCCAGGCTCAAGTGATCCTCCCACCTCAGCCTCCCAAGTAGCTGGGACCACAGGACTGCGCCACCATGCCCGGCTAATTATTTATGTATGTATTTATTTATTTGTAGAGACGGGGTTTCAACGTGTTGCTTAGGCTGGTCTCTAATTCCTGAACTCAAGTGATCCACCCACCTCAGCCTCCCAAAGTGCTGGGATTACAGGTGTTAGCCACTGCGCATTTTACCTAGAGGCAGATTCTGGCTCAGAAACCCGGATAGAGGAAAATGACAGGAATTTAATTGGCAGACGGAAGACAGCCTTGAAGTTGAGAGAATTCTTTTAACATAATTCTTTTTCTCTGACCACCTCCCCTCCCAGAAGATCGCAAATGCCATGACTTTAAATGCCATCTATTAGCCAAGGTCTCTGCAATTTATATATGTAGCCCCGTCCCTCCCCTAGACTCCTGGAACTCTCCTCCCTGGATCTTTGCCCAAGTTTGTCATCCTCAAGGTCTCAGCACAGATTCCCCCTCCTTCAAGAGGCCTTTCCTGACCCCTCAGCCCCAGTCATATTTCTTCATGGCATTTCCTCTACAGTGCAGATTGCTGTCTGAAGCTCCCTTGTTTATCTACTCTTGCTCAAGATCTGTGTCTCCCACCGTTAATGTGAGCTCTGAGAGGGCAGAGAGCAGACCTACCTTGTTCATGGCTGTATCCCTGCATATGGCATGGTGCTTGGCACATATAGTAGGTACTTGTTAATCATTCACTGAATGAATGAATGAACAAATGTATGAATGAATTAGCACTTCTCAACCTAGCTCTGAGAACACCCATGTTGGGGCGCTCTCCAGGCCACTAGTTCTTGGCCACTTCTCCACATCTCTACAGCTCATACCTCTAACAGGTCTCCCATCTTCTTCCCTCTCTTAAAAGTTGGAAACGTGTCTGCCAGTGGCTTCAGCCCTGCCCTAACGCCCTTCCTTCCTTTCCCCAGGGAATTCGGCACCGGTTGAGAGGTAGTGCCAATGCTGTGAGGATCCGAGCCCCCCAGATTGGAGGTGAGGGACTTGGGGAGATAGATATAGGAGATGTCTTGGCAAAGGTGGGAGTGGTTGATCCTTTGGGTCTAGGCTGCAAGTTAGGGGTTCAGATTCTAGCCCCTGCCAGAGACTTTCTAGGGGGGTGATGTTTCCCAACAATTGAATATGGAGGGGAAGAAAGTGGGTTCTGGAGTTTAAATCTAGGTCCTGACTGTTCCCTGCCATGTGACCTTGGGCTAGTGGCTTAACCTCTCTGAACCTCACTTGTACCGTGGGGGTGGTGATAACAGTAACCACTTCATCGGTAGTTTTATAGTTTATGTAATTTACATACTACTAAGTGCTGGTTGCTATGCTAAACACTTTAATAACATTAACTAATTTAAAATTGCAGAAGTTAAATAACAGAGCACCTCGAACAGGTCCTGGCACACAGTAAGCCCTCAGTAAACATTTTAACTATCATATTAACTGGGTTTCCTAACCTATTTCCTTCTCACTGAAACCCAAATCAGAATTCCAACTCTGTGTGGTGATTATGAAGCTCAAAGTTGCTCTGTTAAAAGCCATATGAAGATAAATCTGCTTGTAAACATTTGTCAACTCCCCATAAAGATGAAGGGAATGTTGATGGTGATTATAGACGGCTTGAAGTGGGAGCTACCACAGGATGGGGACAGATAGGAAATACTCTGTGTGGGTTTGCTATCTGCCTTTGTGTCTGGGTTTTTCTCCCTGTTCTTGGCCAAAGCATTCAGGCCTTGGAAGTCCCCTGAGATGTGAATTCTCAGGATTTCCCAGGAACTAATTAGGCCTCGGTTCCACTACAGGTAGCTTCGCAGTGTGGGGGGGCCTGTTCTCCACCATCGACTGTGGCCTGGTGCGGCTTCGGGGCAAGGAGGATCCCTGGAACTCTATCACCAGTGGAGCATTGACCGGGGCTGTGCTGGCTGCCCGCAGTGAGTGACCCCTGGCCCTGGCCCCAGCCCCTTCCACCCTGTTCTGCCTGCTCTCACCTCTGTTTCTCTGCCTCCAACTCCCCCAGGTGGCCCACTGGCCATGGTGGGCTCAGCAATGATGGGGGGCATCCTGTTGGCCCTCATTGAGGGCGTTGGCATCCTCCTCACTCGCTACACAGCCCAGCAGTTCCGAAATGGTGAGTAACTGGTGGTCGGGGGAGTGGGAAATACTCCACCTGGCCTCTTCCACTCATCCTTACCCAAGTCTCCCTTCTCCAGCGCCCCCATTCCTGGAGGACCCCAGCCAGCTGCCCCCTAAGGATGGCACCCCGGCCCCAGGCTACCCCAGCTATCAGCAGTACCACTGAGGAAGCCACTGCCACCATGGGAGCTACTTCTCGGTTCCCTCCCCGATGGTCTACCTCGAAGGGAGGGCTGGCTCCCAGTTAGCCCTGGGACCCTCCAGAGAGGGTTTCTACTCTGCTCCCTAGTCCCAGGGTGGGGGTGGGGCACCCCAGCTGCCCTGACAGATGGGTCCCCTTTTTCTCTCTCAGGGCACCCCAGCCCCACACTCACATGTACGAAGTTCTCACCCCAGCTCCTTTGTGTGGCACCCTGATGAGTATTTAAAGCCCGTTTTGAAATGCCTATGTGTGGACTCCTTGAACTGCCTATGGGGCCCCTCCTTAGGATGAGGGGCAGAGCCTGCTTCAGGGACTTGGAAGCCCTAGGACTTGGAGGCCCACAGCAAGTGGGCTCTAGTAAATGTCTATGGGATGGATGAGCAGGAAGGGAGAATGAAGATGTGAATTAGGGACATGAATAAGGTTGTCTGGGGCCTGGTGATGGGTCCTAGCTGTCAGAGGAACAAGCTTGGGAAAGAAGTGAATGAACACCAGGATTGCTGGGGATGGGGGTGGTTCTGGACGTTGCACCCCTGACCCCATCCCCCCCCACACACTCCAATATCCCTGACTCCTGGTCCACAAGCCCCCGTCACCGAGGCTGGGAAATGTGGCCTCACAGGAGTCCCTTCTTTCTGGACACTCAGCACGGCATTTGTGAAGGTGATTCCCCTCCCTCCATGTGGCCTCAGGGTGGATCTGGGATGGAAGAAGGGGGCCAGGAGACCTAGCTCCTTCAAAGAAGGTGCCCTGGATCAGCCTCCCCTTCTGTCACAGAGCTGCTTTTCTGCTTTCCTCTGCTCAGTGTGGTCAAGTGTTTTTATTTGTTGTTTTGAGACGGAGTCTTGCTCTGTCACCCAGGCTGGAGTGCAGTGGCGTGATCTCGGCTCACTGCAACCTCCACCTCCCGGGTTCAAGTGATCTCCTGCTTCAGCCTCCTGAGTAGTTGGGATTACAGGCGTCCACCACCACACCCAGCTAACTTTTTGTATTTTTAGTAGAGACGAGGTTTCACCATGTTAGCCAGGCTGGTTTCGAACTCCTGATCTCAAGTGATCCGCCCACCTCGGCCTCTCAAAGTGCTAGGATTACAGGCGTGAGCCACCACGCTCGGCCAATTTTTGTATTTTCAGTAGAGACGGGGTTTTACCATGTTGGCCAGGCTGGTCTCAAACTCCTGACCTCAGGTGATCTGCCCGCCTCGGCCTCCCAAAGTGCTGGGATTACAGGCGTGAGCCACCGCACCCGGCCAGGTCTAGTGTTTTTAAAGGGTAACCACAAAATAACCAGAAATGAGTTTTCATTTTGGGATGGGGGAGCTAGGAGATTTTTCTGGGTGGACATACCCCCGCCCCCAAGCTGTGACTTCTGCGAAAAGCTCTACCTGGGTGGGGCAAACATTGCCTACACTGGGGTGCAGAAGCCACGGGGAGGCTCAAAAGCTTCCTGAGGAGTTAAGGGTTTCCTCTGCACAAACTGCTCCAGTGGCGAATACCTCGAGAGACATGAAAAACGTCCCTTTCTTGCAAGCCAGTCCCTTACAAAACTGGTCCGTGGGAATGTAAAGAGTCCTCAGCGGTGACAGCTGTGATACCTGTTTGAGCGACTCAATGCCGGGCAGGGCGCAGCCACGCCACTGAGGGACCAGGGAGGGCAGCGCGGGGCCCGGGCTTAGGCCTCGAACCCGCATCTCCACAAGTACCGCGGCGGCAGCACCAGGCATGCATCTTTGAGATCGGAGCGCCAGTCAGACCCAGGGTGTTCCTTGTGTCCTGGGGCCAATACCTCCTTTAGTCCCGCCCCTTCTGGATCTTTGGGCCGGCCCTGCCCCCTGCAGGCCTTCACTTGCGTGGATCTAGCGCCGCCCCTGGAGAGTAGCTCCTGGAGGCCCTTCCCTTCCGAGAGTCCTGGAGGCTCCACGCTCCCTTGGTCTCCGGCCCTGCCCCTCGGACCCGCCCTGGTCGTTTCGCTCAACACCGTCCCCTGAGCCCGCGGCGGGCCCCACCTCCTTCCTACAACCACCCGGCTCCTCCGAGGCTGCGCCTCTCCACGCTCCCCGAGACCCGCAGGCTCCCGCCCTCGGCAGCCTCTGGACCCACCTCCTCCCACCGCCAGGCCCCGCCCCTCTCCCGCGCGCGGGTCCAGCTGCGCAGTCTCCAGGCTGCGGGCGGCCGGACCCACCCGCGGGGCCTAGGAGCGGTCCTTCTGCGTGCCCTCGGCCCGGGTGGCTTGACCGCTTGCGGCGACGTTCGGGGCCTCCTCCGGCCGCTGGCTGGGGCGGGGCTGGGGGGCCGGAGTCACCTGGAGTGGGGCGGGAGCAGCACCACGTTTAGAAGCGAGGGAGCGGGCTGGGAAACCGAGGCTAGGGGCCTCGCGTGAGAGTTGCAGGGAGGCTGGGGACGGTGCCGGGGGAGGGGGGACTCCGTGGAGGCCTCGCGTCAACGGCATCACCCAGGCTCACCAGGCCCGGAGCTGGGGCTGGGGCGCCCTGGGTCGTCCGCGGCTCGCGAGCTGGGGCGCGCGGCTGGGGCGAGCCCTGAGGCCCCGCCCTCTGACTGACCTAGGCCCGGGGCCGGCGGCCTCTGTTCCTATAAGAAGGAAATACGGGGTGAGACCCTTGGTTGTTTCGACGAGAAGAGACTACAGAGACCAAGGGAAGACGGGGGATGGAGAGATAAAGAGAGGGAGAGAAATAGAAACAGACATGCACGTAGGGAGGTAGAGACCGACAGAGAGGTGGAAAGAGATGGAGGCAGAGAGACACGCAAGAGATCAATGAAAAGAGACAGAGAGGAGGAGAGACGCTAAGAAATAGAAGAAGCTGCGTGAGGGTCAGAAACGCAGGCAGGTAGAGGGGAATACCACGTCAGATGCAGGCAAACACAGGAGACATAGTGAGGAGCGGGTGAGCTGTGAGCTGGCTTCAGGCCGGGCCTCCTCCGGCTGCCGCCCACCCACACCCTAGCTGCGGGGCCTCAGGGGACAGATGCCTTACCTGCATCCTCTTGGTGTCTCTCTCTGGCACTCTCCCAGTCTCGTCGCTCATTTAATCCCATCTGCTTCCAGCAAGGACTTCAGCGGCTCTGTCTCAGGTTCCTCCTCCTGTTTCTTCCTGCTTCCTCCCTGCCTAAGCCCTTAGTCTCTGCCTCTATCTGTCTTGATCTCTCAGCTCCGCATCCTCATTTTTTTTGCTTTGGTCTCCCTGGCTGGTGCTTTCACAGTGTGACCCCGGTGGCCCTTGAGTTTGCCACCCACCTGTCTGCATGGGGAGAAGGGAAATAGTCTGTGGGCAAGAGGGGTTAAGGAGGTGGGTGGGATCAGAGAAGAGCAAGGGGGTCCAGCCCTGACAGGTGTGGGATCACTTTACTCACTTCCTCAGGGACAGACCCCGACAGGTCAGGGAGAAAGAGACAGACATGGGGGAATCAAAGGGACAGAAAGAGAATAGGGAGAAAGACATAGAAAGAGAAGCCAGAGTTTACGGAGAGATCAAAGGAGAGAGAGATGCAGAAAAAGATACCAAGAGGCCGGGCGTGGTGGCTCATGCCTGTAATCCCAGCGCTTTGGGAGGCCGAGGTGGGTGGATCACCTGAGGTCAGGAGTTCGAGACCAGCCTGACCAACAAGGTGAAACCCCGTCTCTACTAAAAATACAAAAGTTAGCTGGGCATGGTGGCACATGCCTGTAGTCCCAGATACTCGGGAGGCTGAGACAGGAGAATTGCTTGAACCCGGGAGACAGAGGTTGCAGATAACTGCACTCCAGCCTGGGTGACTGAACGAGACCCTGTCTTAAAAAGAAAAAAAAAAAGTGAGAAGGAGGGGCCAGGTGCAGTGGCTTATGCCTGTAATCCCAGAACTTGTGGAGGCCGAAGTGGGCAGGTCACTTGAGGTCAGGAGTTTGAGACCAGCCTGGCCAACATGGTGAAACCCCGTCTCTACTAAAAATACAAAAATTAGCCAAGCACGGTGACGGGCGCCTGTAATCCCAGCTACTTGCACGGTTGAGGCAGGAGAATTGCTTGAACCCGGGAGGCGGAGGTTATAGTGAGCCGAGATCGCGCCACTGCACTTCAGCCTGGGAGCCAGAGTGAGAATCCGTCCAAAAAAAAAAGTGAGAAGGAGAAAGACACATTGGCAAAGACACAAGGCAGAGGTAACAGGGAAAAAAGAAAAACAGGAGCAGAGAGAGAATGAGATTGAGAAGGTAAAACGGATACAGAGGAGCAAGAGATGGAGTCAATGCAGAGGCAGGAGGAGCAAAAGGGAGACGGAAGAGAGGTGCACGCACTTCACCTTGAGTCGGGCTGCTGGTCTCAGTGTTCCTATTTCCGCTGCTCTCTTAGTGGCATTTGGAGAACAGGGCTTGACAGGCAGGGCAGCTCTGACACCCCTGACCCCAACCTAGGGGCAGACCTTTAGAGATTGATGCTCTGACGTTAAAAAATGCGAACCATCCCGGTGGGCCCATTTAGGACCACGTCTGAGGTGACACAAAACTGCCTTTTGTTGTCCTCATTTGCACTTGAGGAAACTGAAACACAAAAAGGCGAAGCAACTTCCCATGACTACACTGCCTCAGAGGGGCAAGGCTGGGACTAAAATCCACGGCCGGGCGCAGTGGCTCGCACCTGTAATCCCAGCACTTTGGGAGGCCAAGACGGGAGGATTGCTTGAGGCCAGGAGTTCAAAATCCTTATTTACAGCACTTAGAGTTTCAGAGATGTCATTTACAACATAGACAACATATTCTCAATTATAACTACAGGTGTCATTTGAAGGTTTTATGAGCCTTCTTTGCTAAAGTAATAATTTCAAGGACAAACATTCCTCTTTTTGCTTTTATTATTTTATTTATTTAAGACAGTTTTTCTCTCTGTTCCCTGGGCTGGAGTGCAGTGGCACAATCTCGGCTCACTGCAACCTCTGCCTCCTGGGTTCAAGCGATTCTCGTGCCTCAGCCTCACGAGTAGCTGAGATTACAGGCACATCCCACCATGCCCAGCTAATTTTTGTATTTTTGGTAGAGATGGGGTTTCACCATGTTGGCCAGGCTGGTCTCGAACTCATGACCTCAAGTGATCCGCCCGCCTTGGTCTCCCAAAGTGCTGGGATTACAAGTGTGAGCCACTACACCTGGCCTATTATTATTATTATTATTATTATTTTATTATTTTCGAGACAGAGTCTTGCTCTGTCACCCAGGCTGGAGTACAGTGGCGTGATCTCAGCTCACTGCAAACTCCACCTCCTGGGTTCAAGCAATTCTCCTGCCTCAGCCTCCCAGGTAGCTGGGCTTACAGGCACACACCACCATGCCCAGCTAATTTTTGTATTATTTTTTTTTTTTAGTAGAGATGGGGTTTCACCATGTTGGCCAGGCTGGTCTAAAACTCCTGACCTCAGGTGATCCACCTGCCTCGGCCTCCCAAAGTGATGGGATTGCAGATGTGAGCCACTGTGCCTGGCCCCAGCCTATTATTTTTAATAGACACATAATAATTGTAAATATTTATGGGGTACAGTGTGACTTTTTCATTTTGAGGCAGGATCTCACTTTGTCGCCTGGGCTGGAGTGCAGTGGCACCATCATAGCTCACTGCACCCTCAACCTCCTGGGTTCAAGCGATCCTCCTGCCTCAGCCTCCCAAGTAGGTGGTACTACAGGCATGCACCACCATGCCTGGATAATTTTTTATTTATTTTATTTTATTTTATGTTATTTTATTTTATTTGAGATGGAGTCTTGCTCTGTCACCCAGGCTGGAGTGCAGTGGCGCAATCTCAGCTCACTGCAAGCTCCGCCTCCCGGGTTCACGCCTTTCTCCTGCCTCAGCCTCCCGAGTAGCTGCGACTACAGGCGCCCGGCACCACGCCCAGCTAATTTTTTTGTATTTTTATTAGAGACGGGGTTTCACTGTGTTACCCAGGATGGTCTCAATCTCCTGACCTCGTGATCCGCCCGCCTCGGCCTCCCAAAGTGCTGGGATTACAGGCGTGAGCCACCACGCCCGGCCTTTATTTTTTATTGAAGACAAGATCTCACCATGTTTCACGGGCTGCTCTTGAACTCCTGGGCTCAAGTGATCCTCCCAAAGCGCTGGGATTACAGGCAAGAGCAGCCTGGCCTGGCCTATAGCTGTACTTTTGTATTTGTTAACCAACCTTTTGCTCTCCCCACTGTGGACAGACTTGACTTAATGGAGATGGCGTTGGTAACGATCCTGGGCATTTCAGAGGGTTCTGTAGTTGTACAGGGACTCAAGACAGACATTCTTGTCAAAGTTTCTCAATTCAACACTTCACCAAATCAGATGGTGTAAACAAACTTTATGATGGAGATTGGACTCTCTCCCCCCACAGCCAAAAGGAAACTTAGATTCCTTTAGTTAATTATAAAGACAATCATTATTAAGGCTAGTGTCTGGATCTGGAATTTAATTAGGTGAACATTAAAAAGAAAATACATTTAGGCCTATGGAGCTAACTTTTTATTGCAAAATACAAAGGATAGTCAATTTTCTTTAAATTTCAGTGAAATAATGAGCATGTTATGTTTTCCATCTACAAAATCAAAGGATTCCTTTAGGATCTGTCCCCCACTTAGCCCCCTTTCAGTTCAAACAGGCTTTCCTTCTTTCGTTCTTTTTGAGACAAGGTCTCATTCTGTCACCCAGGCTGAAGTGTAGTGGTGCCATCTCAGCTCACTGCAGCCTCAACCTCCTGGGCTCAAGTGATTCTCCTGCCTCAGCCTCCCGAGTAACTGGGACCACAGGCGTGAGCCACCACATCCAGCTAATTTTTATACTTTTTTGTAGAGATGGGGTTTTGCCATGTTGCCCAGGCTGGTCTTGAACTCTGGGGCTCGAATGATCTGCCTGCCTTGGCCTCCCAAAGTGCTGGGGTTACAGGCATGAGCCACTGTGCCCGGCCAACACAGGCATCTTCTGAGATGTGCCAGATACTATGTGGTCCTTGGATGTTGACTCATGTATGATGCTCCTGCTTTATCCCTCAAACTGACTATGGGGTACTTCCAGGTCTAACTCTCGGTTAAATCTGTATCCCCTAGAGGCATAGGAAATATTTGCTTGCTCTTCCCAGCCATAACGGGAGTGCAGTGGTTTTGTGGGGCCCATCTGCCTAGACCGACATACAGATATGTCTACCCAAAAAGACATAGTCAGCTTCAAACACATATGGTTGACAAAGGATGAATAGCCACAATACAAGGGGACTTCAAAAAGTGTGGAAAAATGAAATGACAATTGCCTTTGTTTGATGAGAGGAGTAGGCAGGAGCATTGTTGTGGTGGAGAAAGATTTTCTGGTGAAGCTTTCCCAGGTGTTTTTCTGCTAAAGCTTTGGTTTTCTCAAAACACTCAGAATACATAACTTTTTTTTTTTTTTTTTGAGACAGAGTCTCGCTCTGTCGCCCAGGCTCAAGTGCAGTGGCTCGATCTCGGCTCACTGTAACCTCTACCTCCCAGGTTCACGCCATTCTCCTGCCTTAGCCTCCCAAGTAGCTGGGACTACAGGCACCCGCCACCACGCCTGGCTAATTTTTTGTATTTTTGGTAGAGATGGGGTTTCACCATGTTAGCCAGGATGGTCTCGATCTCCTGACCTCGTGATCCGCTTGCCTTGGCCTCCCAAAGTGCTGGGATTACAGGCGTGAGCCACCGCGCCCGGCCCTTTTTTTTTGGAGACGGAGTCTTGCTCTGTTGCCCAGGCTGGAGTGCAATGGCGTGATCTCTGCTCACTGCAAGCTCCACCTCCCGAGTTCATGCCATTCTCTTGCCTCAGCCTCCTGAGTAGCTGGGACTACAGGTGCCTGCCACCACGCCCGGCTAATTTTTTTGTATTTTTAGTAGAGACAGGGTTTCACCATGTTAGCCAGGATGGTCTCGATCTCCTGACCTCGTGATCTGCTCGCCTTGGCCTCCCAAAATGCTGGGATTACAGGTGTGAGCCACTGCGCCCGGCCCTTTTTTTTTTTTTTTCAGATGGAGTGTCGCTTTTATTGCCCAGGCTGGAGTACAGTGGCACCATCTCGGCTCACTGTGACCTCCACCTCCTGGGTTCAAGTAATTCTCGTGCCTCAGCCTCCCGAGTAGCTGGGATTAGAGGCACCCACCACCATGCCCAGCTAATTTTTGTATTTTTAGTAGAGACGAGGTTTCTCCATGTTGGCCAGGCTGGTCTCCAACGCCTGACCTCAAGTGATCCGTCCGTCGGCCTTGGCCTCCCAAAGTGCTGGGATTACAGGCGTGAGCCACCACGCCCAGCCATAATACATAACTGATTAATCCCCTGGCCAGGCACGGTGGCTCACGCCTGTAATCCCAACACTTTGGGAGGCCAAGGCGGGCGAATCACGAGGTCAAGAAATCCAGACCATCCTGGCCAACATGGCGAAAACCCGTCTCTACTAAAAATACAAAAATTAGACGGGCGTGGCTGGGCGGGGTGGCTCACGCCTGTAATCCCAGCACTTTGGGAGGCTGAGGCGGGCGGATCACGAGGTCAGGAGATCGAGACCATCCTGGCTAACACGGTGAAACCATGTCTCTACTAAAAATACAAAAAATTAGACGGGCATGGTGGCAGGCGCCTGTAGTCCCAGCTACTCGGGAGGCTGAGGCAGGAGAATGGCGTAAACCCGGGAGGCGGAGCTTGCAGTGAGCAGAGATCACGCCATTGCGCTCCAGCCTGGGCGACAGAGCGAGACTCCGTCGCAAAAAAAAAAAAAAAACAAAATTAGACGGGCATGGTGCCGGGTGCCTGTAGTCCCAGTTACTCAGGAGGCTAAGGCAGGAGAATGGCTTGAACCCGGGAGGCGGAGGTTGCAGTGAGCCGACATCACGCCATTGCACTCCAGCCGGGGCGACAGAGTGAGACTCCATCTCAAAAAAAAAAAAAAATAATAAAATCCCCTACCTGCTCCTTTTCTCTTGCAACCTGTGGATGACCACACCCTCCCTCTTTCCCCGCCAGCCCGCTTTTCCCATTTAAATATTGAAGCCCTCAAAATCATCTTTGGAGAAAGGCACAGGCACAGATGTGTGTCCAGGGCATTGTCCTTAACCTTGGCAAAGTAAACTTTTTTTTTTTTTTTTTGAGATAGAGTCTCTCTCTGTCACCCAGGCTGGAGTGCAGTGGCGAGATCTTGGCTCACTGCAACCTCTGCCTCCCGGGTTCAGGCGATCCTCATGCCTTAGCCTTTCAAGTAGCTGGGATTACAGGCATGTGCCACCACACCTGGCTAGTTTTTTCGTTGTTGTTAGTAGACATGCAGTTTCACTATATTGGCCAGGCTGGTCTCGAACTCCTGTCCTCAAGTGATCCGCCTAGCTCGGCCTCCCAAAGTACTGGGATTACAGGCGTGAGCCACCTCACCCGGCCAACCTTGGCAAAGTAAACTTCAAAACTGATTGAGACCTGTCTGGGATACTTTTTGGTTCACACCCTCTTAGGAGGCTGCCCCTTACCTGGTCCTTTGGCTAAGGGGAAGAGGTTTCCCCAGGTCTCTGGGTCTTTTATTTCTTTGTTTAGAGATGAGGGTCTCACTATGTTGCCCAGGTTAGATTTAAACTCCTGGGCTCAAGCGATCCTCCTGCCTCAGCCTCCTGGATAGCTGGGACTACAAGCACGCACCACTGTGCCCGCCAGGCTTTCCTGAGTCTTTTTTTTCTGCACCGCTTGGTGTTCTGCGTTGCTGCTTTCTCCAGCACCTGGTCTTGAATGCATAAGAAAACCCACGGGGCTCAGCACCATGTCATTTCTCGATTCCGAATCCCTAGCCATCTGCTGGCTCTTCTGTACCTTGCAGTCTTCTCAAGCTTGTTTTCTATGTAACATCCATTGGTTTCAGCTGTACTTTGTAGGCGAAACAGGGAGGAGTGTATCCACTCCGTCTTTTCCAGGAACTGTGGCAGGTCAGGTCTCCATAAGCCCTTTGTTGTAATGATGAGTGTATAAGTCAAACATTAAAGCAGGAGCAAAAAATGAATACTGACCTGGGAAAACTGGTGCCTGAGTGCCAGAGCTGAAATGCAAAAACAAACCATGAAAACCCCTCCTGGATTTCTCAATCTCAAAACCTGATAGAGTAATAAAAGCATTCCTACACATGCGACCCCTACCAAAACCCATTTAGGATTAAGATTAAGAAACTTGGCCAGCCACGATGGCTCATGTCTGTAATCCCAGCACTTTGGGAGGCCAAGGTGGGCGGATCACGAGGTCAGGAGTTCGAGACCAGCCTGACCAACATGGTGAAACCCCATCTCTACCAAAAAATACAAAAATTAGCCAGGCGTGGTGGCATGTGCCTGTAGTCCTAGCTACTCAGGAGGCTGAGGCAGAAGAATCTCTTGAACCCGGGAGGCAGAGGTTGTAGTGAGCCGAGATCACGCCATTGCACTCCAGCCTGGGTGAGAGAGCGAGACTCCGTCTCAAAAAAAAAAAAAAAGAAAAAGAAAAAGAAATAAAGTTTCCTACCTTCAGACCCCTAGTTAAGAGGATTAGATGGCCAGGTGAGGTGGCTCACGCCTGTAATCCCAACTCTTTGGGAGGCTGAGGTGGGTGGATCACTTGAGCCTAGGAGGAGTTCGAGACCACCCTCGGCAACATTGGGAGACTGCATCTCTACAAAAAATTTAAAAATCAATTGGGCATAGTGGCGCTGTTCTGTAGTCCCAGCTACTCAGGAGGATGAGGTGGGAGGAATGCTTGAACCGGGGAGGTCTAGACTGCACTGAGCTGAGATCATACCACTGCAGTCCAGCCTAGGCGACAGAACAAGACCCTGTCTCAAAAAAAAAAAAGACAAAAAACAAAAAAACCATTAGATTAAGAAACACTCCTGCACATAGGCATAGAGTTTGAATTGTATACATAAGCTAACAAAACACCTAACTTTGGGTGGGTCTGGTGAGTTACTCCGACCTTCTCTCTGTAGCCAGCTGCAGAAAAAAACTCCCTTCTCTTCTAGTCTGTCTGCTTCTTATTATTGGACCACAAGAACAAGCAGGTCCATCTGGGAACAGAACCAGAAGACTGGGTATTGGCGTTTATCAAATACTGGGGTGGGCCGGGTACAGTGGTCACGCCTGTAATCCCACCACTTTGGGAGACCAAGGCGGGCAGATCACTTAAAGTCAGGAGTTCAAGACCAGCCTAACCACCATGGTGAAACCGTCTCTACTAAAAATACAAAAATTAGCTGGGCATGGTGGTGCACGCCTGTAGTTACAGCTACTTGGGAGTCTGAGGCAGGAGAATTGCTTGAACTTGGGAAGTGGAAGCTGCAGTGAGCCCAGATTGCGCCACTGCACTCCAGCCTGGGCGACAGAGAGAGACTCTGTCTCAAAAAAAAAAGAAAACAAAAAATAAAAAACTGGTTTTGTTTGTTTGTTTTTTAGATGGAGTTTTGCGCTTGTTGCCCAAGCTGGATTGCAATGGCGTGATCTTGGTTCACTGCAACCTCTGCCTCCTGGGTTCAAGCGATTCTCCTGCCTCAGCCTCCTGAGTAGCTGGGATTGCAGGTGCCCGCTACCACGCCCGGCTAATTTTTTTGTATGTTTAGTAGAGGCGGGGTTTCACCATGTTGGCCAGGCTGGTCTCAAACTCCTGTCCTCAAGTGATCCACCTGCCTCGGCCTCCCAAAGTGCTGGGATTACAGGCGTGAGCCACCACACCTGGCCACTGGGTTGTTTTTGTTTTCTCATCAATTGATATGATCATATGCTTTTTTTTTTTAACCTGTCGTGGTGGATGACATTGATGAGTATCAAAAACTGAACCAGCCTTTCATACCTGGAACAAATCCTACTTGGTCATGGTGTATAATTCCTTTAAAACATTCCTGGATTTGATTTCCTAATATTTTGTTGAGGGTTTTTGTGCCTAAATTCACAAGAGATATCAGTTTGTAGCTTTCCTTTTGTGTGTATGCTTTTTTCCCTGGTTTTGGTAGCAAGGTAAAACTGGCCTCATACAATGAGTTGGGAGGTGTTCCCTTTGCTTCTATTATCCGGAAGACAGTCTACAAAATTGACACTAATTTCGCTTTAAGTGTTAGGAGGAATTCTCCAGTGAAAACATCTGGGCCTCAAGATTTCTTTTCTGAGGGCTAAATAATAAATTTAAATTTTTAATGGTTGTAGAATTATTCAGATCGCCTATTTTATATTGCTTGAGTTTGGTCGTTTGTGCTTTTGGAGTAATTGGTCCATTTCTTCTAAGTTGTTGAATTTATGAGAATAGAGTTCTTCTTCATGGAACTTGCAGTATCCTTTCAGTGACTGCAAAATCTGTAGTGACATCCCCTCTTTCATTCCTAATATTGATGATTTGTATCTTCTCTCTTTATCTTTGCCAGTCTTGCTACAAGTTTTTCAATTGTATTGATCTTTTCAAAGATCCAAGTTTTTGTTTCATTGATTGTTTTCTCTGCTGTTTTTCTGTTTTTAATTGTATTGATTTCTGTTCTTATCTTTATTATTTCCTGCCTTCTGCTTCCTTGAGGTTCCTTTGCTCTTCTTTTTCTAGTTTCTTGAAGTAGGAACTTAGATTATTGATTTGAGACCTTTCCTCTTTTCTAATGTAAGTACCTAGTTCTATAAATTTCCATCTCAACACTACACTCATGCATTGCACATATTTTGACAGGTGTATTTTCATTTTTTCCAGTTCTGTGTATTTATAAAATTTCCTTTTGACTTACTTTGTGACCCATGGGTTATTGAGAAGCATGTTTTTAAATAAGTGTTTAGGGGGTTTTCCTGTTGTCTTTCTGTTATGATTTCTAATTTGATTCTATATAATCAGAGAAGATACTCCCTCTGATTTTAGTTTTTTTAAATTTGTTGAGGTTTGTTTTATGGCCCAGGTAATGTTCTATCTTGCTGAACGTTCCACAGGCACTCAAAAACAACATGTATTCTGTTGTTGGGTTGAATGTTCTATAATGTCATTTCAATACTGTTTTTTTGTTTTTTATTTTTTGACACAGAATCTTGCTCTGTCGCCCAGGCTGGAGTACAGTGATGTGATCTTGGTTCACTGCAACCTCTGCCTCCTGAGTTCAAGCGATTCTCCTGCCCCAGCCTCCCAAGTAGCTGGGACTACAGGTGTGTGCCACCACACCTGGCTAATTTTTGTATTTTTAGTAGAGACAGGGTTTTGCCATGTTGGCCAGGCTGGTCTCGAACTCCTGACCTCAGATGACCCACCCACCTTGGCCTCTCAAAGTGCTGGGATTACGAGCGTGAGCCACCAAGCCTGGCCTTGTTACTGTTGATTGATGGTGTTGTTTAGTTCTTCTTTATCATTGCTTGAATTTCTCTCTAGTAATTCCATTTGTTGCAGGGGTGGTGTTGATATCCTCAATTATAATTGTGGATTTGTCCATTTCTCCTTTCAGCCTGATCATTTTTTCTTCGTGTAATTTGAAATGATCTTGTTTAGTGCATGCACATTTAGGATTGCTATATCTCTTTGGTGGATTAATGTGTTTTTTTTGAGACAGAGCCTCGCACTGTTGCCCAGACTGGAATGCAGTGGCACGATCTCCGTTCACTACAACCTCCACCTCCTGGGTTCAAGCGATTCTCCTGCCTCAGCCTCTTGAGTAGCTGGGACTACAGGCGCATGCCACTACGCCCGGCTAATTTTTTGTATTTTTAGTAGAGGGGGGTTTCACCATGTTGACCAGGATGGTCTCGATCTCCTGACCTCGTGATCCACCAGCCTTGGCCTCCCAAAGTGCTGGGATTACAGACGTGAGCCACCACACCCGGCCCACGTTTTCTTTATTCACACATTGTTGGATAGAGGTTGATTTCCTATCTTGGCTATTGTGAATAATGATATCATGAACATAAGAGTGCAGATATTATTTTAACATATTGATTTCTTTTTTCTTTTTTTTGAGACAGAGTTTCACTCATGTTGCCCAGGCTTCAGTGCAACGATGTGATTTCAGCCCACTGCACCCTCTGCCTCCCGGGTTCAAGCTATTCTCCTGCCTCAGCCTCCCGAGTAGCTGGGATTACAGGCATGTGCCACTAAGCCCGGCTAATTTTTTTTGTATTTTTAGTAGAGATGGGGTTTCTCCATGTTGGTCAGGCTGGTCTCGAACTCCTGACCTCAGGTGATCTGCCCGCCTCGGACTCCCAAAGTGCTAGGATTATCTTTCATCTTTTAAAAAAATGTATTTTATTTTTATTTTAGAGACAGGTGTCTCACTGTGTTGCCCAGGCTGGCATAGAACTCTTGGGCTCAAGTCATCCTCCCAACTCAGCCTCCCTAGTAGCTGATACTAAAGGCATCCACTGCTGTGCCCAACTTTGTCTTTTGGTTTTAATTTATTTTTATTTATTTTATTTTATTTTTGAGACAGGGTCTTGCTCTGTTGCCCAGGCTGGAGCATAGCGGCGCGATCTTGGCTCACTGCAGCCTCTGCCTCCTGGGTTCAAGCGATTCTCCTGTCTCAGCCTCCCTAGTAGCTGGGACTACAAGCACACATCACCATGCCTGGCTAATTTTTGTATTTTTAGTAGAGACAGGGTTTCACCATGTTGGCCAGTCTCAAACTCCTGACCTCAAGTGATCTGCCCGCCTCGGCCTCCCAAAGTGCTGGGATTACAGATGTGAGCCACCACACCCAGCCTCTTCATCTTTTTATTTGAGATGGAATCTTGCTCTGTCACCCAGGCTGGAGTGCAGTGACGCAATCTTGGCTCACTGCAACCTCTGCCTCCCGGGTTCGAGCAATTCTCCTGCCTCAGCCTCTTGAGTAGCTGGGATTACAGGAGTGTGCCACCACGCCTAGCTAATTTTTCTATTTTTAGTCGAGATGGGGTTTCACCATGTTGGCCAGGCTGGTCTCTAACTCCTGACCTCGTGATCTCCCCACCTCAGTCTCCCAAAGTGCTGGGATTACAGGTGTAAGCCACAGCGCCTGGCCCTCATTGTGGTTTAAATTAGTATATTTTACTATTGTTTTCTGTTTGTTCCCTCTGATTCTCATTCCTTTGTTTCTCTCCCTTTGCCTTCCTTGGGGTGGGTACATGACCATTGTTTTTAGAATTCCATTTTGACTTATTTATATAATTTTTGAGCATATCACCGTTATGATTTGAATGTTTTTGTCCCTTCCAAAAATTCATGTCTAAACTTGATCCCCAATGCAGCAGTGTTGGGAGGTGGGGTCTTTTGGGATGTGTTTAGGTCAAGAGGACTCTGCCCTTATGAACAGATTAATGCTGTTAGAATAGGGCTTGAAGGAGGGAATGCCTCCCTTTTTGCCCTTTCACCTTTTTTGCCACGTGAGGACACAGTGTTCCCCCGCTCCAGAGGATGCAGCATTCAAGGCACTGTCTTAGAAGCAGAGAGCAGCCCTTCCCAGATGCCAAACCTGTTGGTGACTTGATCTTGGACTTCCCAGCCTCCAGAACTGTGTGAAATAAATGTGTTTTATAAATTATCCAGTCTCAGGTATTCTGTTACAGCAGCACAGAATGTACTACGACAATCACTTTGTATGGTCTTCTTAGTGATTGCTCTAGGTATTACAACCTGCACGTGTAACTTATCACAGTCCACCAATGTCAATGTTTTACTACTGTAATTGACGTGGAGGAATTTACTTCCCTTTAGATCCCTTTACCTATCCTATTTTCAAAATGTAATTGTCCTAAGTGTTCTCTCTATATACATTGAAAACCGTATCAAATGTTGTTACAATGTTTTGCTTCAACCATCAAATATGGTTTAAAAACCTCATGAGAAAATGAAAAAGCTCATGAGGAGAAGAGTATTTACTCCTATTTTAACCCATTTTGTTGTTCTCTTTTCCTTTCTGAAGTTCCACACCTTCGTCTGTTATTTCACTTCTGTTTGAAGAGCTTCCTTTCACCTTTCTTTAACAGCAGATGTCCTGGAAACAAATTTGCTATGGACTGAATTTTGTCTCCCCCAAAATTCATGTGTTGAAGCCTTCACCCCCCATGTGACAGTATTTGGATGTGGGATTTTGGGGAAGTAATTGGGTTTAGATGAGGTCATCAGGGGCCCTTGTGATGGGACAAGTGCCCTTATAAGAGACACCAGAGAGCTTGTTTCCCCTACCCTTCTCTCTCCTCCCACCATGGAAGGACACAGCCAGGAGGCAGCCCTCTGCAAGCTGCTAAGAGAGCCCTTTCCGGAAACCAGATCAGCCAGCATCTTGACTGAGGACTTCCCAGCCTCCCGAACTGTGAGAAATGAATTCATGTTGTTCAAGCCACCCAGTCTATGGTATTTCATCATGGTAGCCTGAACTGATTAACACAGACTTGTTTTAGTTTTCCTTCGCCTGAGAATGTCTTTATTTCCCTCTCATTCCTGAAAGAGACTTTCCCCAATGTAGGACTCTCAGTTGACAGTTCTTTCAGTACTTGAAGAATATCATGCCACTTCCTTTTAGTTTCCCTAGTTTCAGATGAAAACACCACTGTCATTCTAATCAGTGTCCCCTATGCCTCATGTGTCATTTCTCTCTAGCTGCTTTCAAGGGTTTTCCTTTGTTTTTAGTGTTTAGAGGTTAAATGATGACATATGGGCGTGGGTTTCGTTTGGTTTATCCTACTGGGGTTTGCACAACTTCAATCCGTAGGTTTATGTCCTTTGCCCAATTTGGGAAGCTTTCAGCCATTATTTCTTTAAATATGTTTTCTTCACTACTATTTCTCCTCTTCTTGCAGAAGTCCAGTGACATAAATCTTAGATCTTTGTTGTTGCCCTATAGGTCTCTGAGACTCTGTCCATCTTTTTTTCAGTGTATTTTCTCTCTGTTGTTGAGATTGGACACTTTCTACTGTTCTGTCTGCCAGATCACTTCTCTGTCATATTCATTCTGCCATTGAACCTTTTGCATTAGCTTTAATTTTCTGTTTTCTTTTTCTTTTTTTCTTTTTTTTGGATGGAGTTTTGCTCTTTTGCCCAGGCTGGAGTGAAGTGCAGTGGCTCACTGCAGCCTCCGCCTCCTTGGTTCAAGCCATTCTCCTGCCTCAGCCTCCCCAGTAGATGGGATTACAGGTGCCCGCCACCACGCCCGGCTAATTTTTGTATATTTAGTAGAGACAGGGTTTCACCATGTTGGCCAGGCTGGTCTCAAACCCCTGACCTCAGGTGATCCACCCACCTTGGCCTCCCAAAGTGCTGGGATTACAGGCATGAGCCACCGCGCCAGGCCAGTTTTAATTTTCATTTATAATTTTTAGTTCTATCATTTCTATTTGGTTCTTTTTCTATATCATCTATATGTTGATAATTTTTTTTTGAGATGGGGTCTCACTCTGTTGCCCAGGCTGGAGTGCAGTGGTGCAATCACAGCTCACTGCAGCCTCAACCTCCTAGGCTGAATCGATCCTCCTAAGCTCAGCCTCCCAAGTAGCTGGAACCACAAGTGCACACCACCATAACTGGCTACTTTTTGTATTTTCTGTAGAGGTGGGGCTTCACCATATTGCCCAGGCTGGTCTTGAGCTCCTGGACTCAAACGTCCTAACCGCCTTGGCCTCCCAAAGTACTGGGATTACAGTTGTGAGCCATCGCACCTGGCCAAAGAATTTCTATTTCTTCTTTTGTTTCCAGTTTATTTGTAATTCCTTATTGACTCATTTTTATGGTGACTACTCTAAAATCCTTGTCAGATAATTCCAGCATGTGATTCATCTTGCTATTGGCTTCTGTTTTTTGTTTTGTTTTGTTTTGTTTTGAGACAGACTCTTACTCTGTCACCCAGGCTGGAGTACAGTGGCATGATCATGGCTCACTGCAGCCTCAACTTACCCTGGCTCAGGTGATTCTCCCAGCTCAGCCTCCCGAGTAGTAGCTGGGACTACAGGCACGTGCCACCACGCCTGGCTAATTTTTCCATTTTTTTGTAGAGATGAGGTTTCGCCATGTTGCTCAGGCTGGTCTTAAACTCCTGGACTCAAGCGGTTGGCCTGCCTTGGCCTCCCAAAGTTCTGGGATTACAGGCATGAGCCGCCACACCTGGCCCATTCTTAAGCTGAGTTATCTATTTGTAAACTGCTGATTTATTTGGGGGCATTGTCCCCATAAACTTTTCAGAAAGCATCAATGATTTTTCACCATTCTTCCACCCAACCATCACCATAAATTTGATTTTGTTCTTGCTTCAGTATTAGCAGAATTCATGTGGCTCTGGTAGAGGCTCTTTTCAAATTGATGTCTTATCCTTCTTAACCCCTCAAACCAGATCCTGTTCAGACATGTTATAACAAGTTAGTACAGATTTATTTTGGTGTAAAAAAAAATTGAAATTCAAAAAAGAAAAAACAAAAATAAATAAATAAAAGCAAAACAAAAATAGGAAGGAAAAAAGCAAAACAGAAAAACAACAAAAAACTATAAAACATTTGAAATCCATGCATATAGTTTTTTTCACCAAATGCATTTTCCGTGTACTTTTAGATGACCCCTCATATAAAAAGAACTCCTAAAAAATTTTAAGGGAAAGACAAGACGCCCAATCAAAAAGTATGCAAAGGTTATGAACAAACATTTTGCATAAGAGGAAACCCAAATGGCCAATAAATATATAGAAATATGCTCACACTAAATCAGAGAGCTGTATATTAAAGGAACAAAATGTTATTTCCTGTCTATCAGATAGGCAAAAAGATTTTTTTTTTTGAGATGGAGTCTTGCTCTGTTGCCCAGGCTGGAGTGCAGTGGCACTATCTCGGCTCACTGCAATCTCTGCCTCCGGGGTTCAAGCAATTCTCCTGCCTCAGCCTCCTGAGTACCTGGGACTACAGGCATGTGCCACCATGTCCGGCTAATTTTTGTACTTTTTAAGTAGAGACGAGGTTTCACTATGTTGGCCAGGCTGGTCTCGAACTCCTGACCTCAGGTGATCTGCCTGCCTTCGCCTCCCTAAGTGCTGGGATTATAGGTGTGAGCCACCGCTACCCAGCCCCAGATAGAGAAAAAATTTAAAATCTGATAATACCAACTGTTGGTAAGCATTTCCAGAGACAGAATGTCTCATTCACAGCTGATGGGAGCATAATGGATACAACAATTATTTTGGAAAACCGTTTTATAGTTCCTTTTTTCTTTCTTTCTTTTTTTTTTTTTTGAGACAGAGTTTCACTCTTGTCACCCAGGCTGGAGTGCAGTGGCAAGATCTTGGCTCACTGAAACCTCTGTCTCCTGGGTTCAAGTGATTCTCCTGCCTCAGGCTCCCAAGTAGCTGGAATTACAGGCGCTCGCCACAACGCCCAGCTAATGTTTGTATTTTTAGTACAGATGGGATTTTACCATGTTGGCCAGGCTGGTCTCGAACTCCTGACCTCAGGTGATCCACCCGCCTTCGCCTCCCAAAGTGCTGGGATTACAGGCATAAGTCTCCATGCCCAGCCGGCAGTTTCTACTAGAGCTGTATATGTGCACACCCATCACTCAGTGATGCCACTTCTGGGTATATACTAAACAGAATGTGTATAAATGTTTTTTTGTTTTGTTTTGTTTTATCCTTTTTTTTATTATTATACTTTAAGTTTTAGGGTACATGTGCACAACGTGCAGGTTAGTTACATATGTATACATGTGCCATGTTGGTGTGCTGCACCCAGTAACTCGTCATTTAACATTAGGTATATCTCCAAAGGCTATTCCTCCCCCGCCCCCCATCCCACAACAGTCCCTGGTGTGTGATGTTCCCCTTCCTGTGTCCATGTGTTCTCACTGTTCAATTCCCACCTATGAGTGAGAACATGTGGTGTTTGGTTTTTTGTCCTTGCAATAGTTTGCTGAGAATGATGGTTTCCAGCTTCATCCATGTCCCTACAAAGGACATGAACTCATCATTTTTTATGGCTGCATAGTATTCTATGGTGTATATGTGCCACATTTTCTTAATCCAGTCTATCATTTTTGGACATTTGGGTTGGTTCCAATTCTTTGCTATTGTGAATAGTGTCACAATAAACATACATGTGCATGTGTCTTTATAGCAACATGATTTATAATCCTTTGGGTATATACCCAGTAATGGGATGGCTGGGTCAAATGGTATTTCTAGTTCTAGATCCCTGAGGAAGCGCCACACTGACTTCCACAAGGGTTGAACTAGTTTACAGTCCCACCAACAGTGTAAAAGTGTTCCTATTTCTCCACATCCTCTCCAGCACCTGTTGTTTCCTGACTTTTTAATGATCACCATTCTGACTGGTGTGAGATGGTATTTCATTGTGGTTTTGATTTGCATTTCTCTGATGGCCAGTGATGATGAGCATTTTTTCATGTGTCTTTTGGCTACATAAATGTCTTCTTTTGAGAAGTGTCTGTTCATATCCTTTGCCCACTTTTTGTGATGGGGTTTTTTGTTTTTTTCTTGTAAATTTGTTAGAGTTCATTGTAGATTCTGGGTATTAGCCCTTTGTCAGATGAGTAGATTGCAAAAATTTTCTCCCATTCTGTAGGTTGCCTGTTCACTCTGATGGTAGTTTCTTTTGCTGTGCAGAAGCTCTTTAGTTTAATTAGATCCCATTTGTCAATTTTGGCTTTTGTTGCCATTACTTTTGGTGTTTTAGACATGAAGTCCTTGCCCATGCCTATGTCCTGAATGGTATTGCCTAGGTTTTCTTCTAGGGTTTTTATGGTTTTAGGTCTAACATTTAAGTCTTTAATCCATCTTGAATTAATTTTTGTATAAGGTATAAGGAAGGGATCCAGTTTCAGCTTTCTACATATGGCTAGTCAGTTTTCCCAGCACCATTTATTAAATAGGGAATCATTTCCCCATTGCTTGTTTTTCTCAGGTTTGTGAAAGATCAGATGGTTGTAGATATGCGGCATTATTTCTGAGGGCTCTGTTCTGTTCCATTGGTCTGTATCTCTGTTTTGGTACCAGTACCATGCTGTTTTGGTTACTGTAGCCTTATGGTATAGTTTGAAGTCAGGTAGCGTGATGCCTCCAGCTTTGTTCTTTTGTCTTAGGATTGACTTGGCCATGCGGGCTCTTTTTTGGTTCCATATGAACTTTAAAGAAGTTTTTTCCAATTCTGTGAAGAAAGTCATTGGTAGCTTGATGGGGATGGCATTGAATCTATAAATTACCTTGAGCAGTATGGCCATTTTCATGATATTGATTCTTCCTACCCATGAGCATGGAATGTTCTTCCATTTGTTTGTATCCTCTTTTGTTTCATTGAGCAGTGGTTTGTAGTTCTCCTTGAAGAGGTCCTTCACGTCCCTTGTAAATTGGATTCCTAGGTATTTTATTCTCTTTGAAGCAATTGTGAATGGGAGTTCACTCATGATTTGGCTGTTTGTCTGTTATTGGTGTTTAAGAATGCTTGGATTTTTGCACATTGATTTTGTATCCTGAGACTTTGCTGAAGTTGCCTATCAGCTTAAGGAGATTTTGGGCTGAGATGATGGGGTTTTCTAGATATATAAATCATGTCATCTGCAAACAGGGACAATTCGACTTCCTCTTTTCTTAATTGAATACCCTTTATTTCCTTCTCCTGCCTGATTGCCCTGGCCAGAACTTCCAACACTATGTTGAATAGGAGTGGTGAGAGAGGGCATCCCTGTCTTGTGCCGGTTTTCAAAGGGAATGCTTCCAGTTTTTGTCCATTCAGTATGATATTGGCTGTGGGTTTGTCATAGATAGCTCTTATTATTTTGAGATACGTCCCATCAATACCTAATTTATTGAGAGTTTTAGTTGTTGAATTTTGTCAAAGGCCTTTTCTGCGTCTATTGAGATAATCATATGGTTTTTGTCGTTGGTTCTGTTTATGTGCTGGATTATGTTTATTGATTTGTGTATGTTGAACCAGCCTTGCATCCCAGGGATGAAGCCCTCTTGATCATGGTGGATAAGCTTTTTGATGTGCTACTGGATTCGGTTTGCCAGTATTTTATTGAGGATTTTTGCATCGATGTTCATCAGGGATATTGGTCTAAAATTCTCTTTTTTTGTTGTGTCTCTGCCAGGCTTTGGTATCAGGATGATGCTGGCCTGATAAAATGAGTTAGGGAGGATTCCCTCTTTTTCTATTGATTGGAATAGTTTCAGAAGGAATGGTACCAGCTCTTCCTTGTACCTCTGGTAGAATTTGGCTGTGAATCCATCTGGTCCTGGACTTTTTTTGGTTGGTAAGCTATTAATTATTGCCTCAATTTCAGAGCCTATTATTGGTCTATTCAGAGATTCAACTTCTTCCTGGTTTAGTCTTGGGAGGGTATATGTGTCGAGGAATTTATCCATTTCCTCTAGATTTTCTAGTTTATTTGCGTAGAGGTGTTTATAGTATTCTCTGATGGTAGTTTGTATTTCTGTGGGATCGGTGGTGATATCCCCTTTATCATTTTTTATTGCTTCTATTTGATCCTTCTCTCTTTTCTTCTTTATTAGTCTTGCTAGCGGTCTATCAATTTTGTTGATCTTTTCAAAAAACAAGCTCCTGGATTCATTGATGTTTTGAAGGGTTTTTTGTGTCTCTATCTCCTTCAGTTCTGCTCTGATCTTAGTTATTTCTTGCCTTCTGCTAGCTTTTGAATGTGTTTGCTCTTGCTTCTCTAGTTCTTTTAATTGTGATGTTAGGGTGTCAATTTTAGATCTTTCCTGCTTTCTCTTGTGGGCATTTAGTGCTGTAAATTTCCCTCTACACACTGCTTTGAATGTGTCCCAGAGATTCTGGTATGTTGTGTCTTTGTTCTCGTTGGTTTCAAAGAATATCTTTATTTCTGCCTTCATTTCGTTATGTACCCAGTAGTCATTCAGGAGCAGGTTGTTCAGTTTCCATGTAGTTGAGCAGTTTTGAGTGAGTTTCTTAATCCTGAGTTCTAGTTTGATTGCACTGTGGTCTGAGAGACAGTTTGTCATAATTTCCATTCTTTTACATTTGCTGAGAAGTGCTTTACTTCCAACTATGTGGTCAGTTTCGGAATAAGTGCGGTGTGGTGCTGAGAAGAACATATATTCTGTTGATTTGGGGTGGAGAGTTCTGTAAATGTCTATTAGATCCACTTAGTGCAGAGCTGAGTTCAGTTCCTGGATATCCTTGTTAACTTTCTGTCTCGTTGATCTATCTAATGTTGACGGTGGGGTGTTAAAGTCTCCCATTATTATTGTGTGGGAGTCTAAGTCTCTTTGTAGGTCACTAAGGACTTGCTTTATGAATCTGGGTGCTCCTGTATTGGGTGCATATATGTTTAGGATAGTTAGCTCTTCTTGTTGAATTGATCCCTTTACCATTATGTAATGGCCTTCTTTGTCTCTTTTGATCTTTGTTGGTTTAAAGTCTGTTTTATGAGAGACTAGGATTGCAACCCCTGCCTTTTTTTGTTTTCCATTTGCTTGGTAGATCTTCCTCCATCCCTTTATTTTGAGCCTATGTGTGTCTCTGCACGTGAGATGGGTCTCCTGAATATAGCACACTGATGGGTCTTGACTCTTTATCCAATTTGCCAGTCTGTGTCTTTTAATTGGAGCATTTAGTCCATTTACATTTAAGGTTAATAGTTATGTGTGAATTTGATCCTGTGATTATGATGTTAGCTGGTTATTTTGCTCGTTAGTTGATGCAGTTTCTTCCTAGCTTCAATGGTCTTTAAAATTTGGCATGTTTTTGCAGTGGCTGGTACCGGTTGTTCCTTTCCATGTTTAGTGCTTCCTTCAGGAGCTCTTTTAGGGCAGGCCTGGTGATGACAAAATCTCTCAGCATTTGCTTGTCTGTAAAGTATTTTATTTCTCCTTCACTTATGAAGCTTAGTTTGGCTGGATATGAAATTCTGGGTTGAAAATTCTTTTCTTTTTCTTTTCTTTTTTTTTTTTGAGACAGAGTTTCGCTCTTATTGCCCAGGCTGGAGTGCAGTGGTGTGATCTGGGCTCACTGCAACCTCCGCCTTCTGGTTTCAAGCGATTCTCCTGCCTCAGCCTCCTGAGTAGCTGGGATTACAGGTGTCTGCCACTACGCCCGGGTAATTTTTTTTTTTGTATTTTTAGTAGAGACAGGGTTTCAACATGTTGGCCAAGCTGGTCTCAAACTCCAGACCTCATGATTCTCCCGCCTTGGCCTCCCAAAGTGCTGGGATTACAGGTGTGAGCCACCGCACCCGGCAGAAAATTCTTTTCTTTAAGAATGTTGAATATTGGCCCCCCCACTCTTCTGGCTTGTAGGGTTTCCGCCGAGAGATCAGCTGTTAGTCTGATGGGCTTCCCTTTGTGGGTAACTCGACCTTTCTCTCTGGCTGCCCTTAACATTTTTTCCTTCATTTCAACTTTGGTGAATCTGACAATTATGTGTCTTGGAGTTGCTCTTCTCGAGGAGTATCTTTGTGGTGTTCTCTGTATTTCCTGAATTTGAATGTTGGCCTGCCTTGCTAGATTGAGGAAGTTCTCCTGTATAATATCCTGCAGAGTGTTTTCCAACTCGGTTCCATTCTCCCCGTCACTTTCAGGTACACCAATCAGACGTAGATTTGGTCTTTTCACATAGTCCCATATTTCTTGGAGGCTTTGTTCGTTTCTTTTTATTCTTTTTTCTCAGACTGACACCTCACACGGGCCGTTACTCCTCTGAGACAAAACTTCCAGAGGAACGATCAGGCAGCGACATTTGCTGTTCACCAATATCCGCTGTTCTGCACCCTCCGCTGCTGATACCCAGGCAAACAGGGTCTGGAGTGGACCTCCAGCAAACTCCAACAGACCTGCAGCTGAGGGTCCTGACTGTTAGAAGGAAAACTAACAAACAGAAAGGCCATCCACACCAAAAACCCATCTGTACGTCACCATCATCAAAGACCAAAGGTAGATAAAACCACAAAGATGGGGAAAAAACAGAGTAGAAAAACTGGAAACTCTAAAAATCAGAGTGCCTCTCCTCCTCCAGAGGAACACAGCTCCTCACCAGCAATGGAACAAAGCTGGACGGAGAATGACTTTGATGAGTTGAGAGAAGAAGGCTTCAGACGATCAAACTACTCCGAGCTAAAGGAGGAAGTTCGAACCCATGGCAAAGAAGTTAAAAACCTTGAAAAAAAATTAGACGAATGGCTAGCTAGAATAACCAATGCAGAGAAGTCCTTAAAGGACCTGGTGGAGCTGAAAACCAAGGCACGAGAACTATGTGACGAATGCACAAGCCTCAGTAGCCGATTCAATCAACTGGAAGAAATGGTATCAGTGATGGAAGATCAAACGAATGAAATGAAGCGAGAACAGAATGTGTATAAATGTTAACCAAAGACATAAAATAATGTTTATAGCAACTTTTTTCATAATAGCCCCAAACTAAAAACTACCCAAATGCACATCAGCCAAAGAATGGATACAAAAATGATGGTATATTCACGCAAGGAAATACTATATAGCAATGTGTTGGGAGGCAGATCTGCACAGATCACTCATGTTCCTGCATGGGCTAGGCCTTCTGAACAATGTTTGAACAGCAGCCTTGGATATTGAGATAGTGCATCCCTCTGGAGAGATTTAGAGACAGTTCAGCGTAAGAAACATAGAAATGCCCCACCCCTCCCCACAACCAGGAGATTGCTGACATTCCAGGGTAATGAATAATCTCTGGCTATGGAGGGGAGGACAGGCAGGTGTGTCAGCAAGTTCACAACAGCTTAGTCTCCTAATTTTAGTTTCTTCCCGCATGATGCAACCCACTGAACGCACAGGAAATATCTGGCTTCGTGTGAGCTGGGGCATGAGGAATTGATGCAAGGTATAGCTCTGGCTGCTGATTTTGTGGTAATCAATGATCCATTTTTCTGATTCATGATCGTGTGTGTGTGTGTGTGTGTGTGTGTGTGTGTGTGTGTGTGTGTTTTGAGACAAAATTTCACTCTGTCACCCAGGCTGGAGTGCAGTGTCGTGTTCATAGCTGACTGCAGCCTCGACCTCCAGGACTCAAGCAATCCTCCCACCTCAGCCTCCCAAGTAGCTGAGACTACAAGCATGTGCCATCAAGCCCCTAATTTTTTTTAATTTGTTTGTAGCAACAGAGTCTAGCTATGTTGCCCAGGCTGGGGTCTTGTGTTTTATATATCTGTGTGTATGCACATGTGCATGTATGTGTGTCTGTGCAAAATTTGGCAGGCTAACTTTTTAGCTTGCAAGTAGGGTAAACTCAAACCCTTCACAGTTCTGACTTACAATGAAAATGAAGAAAGGATAATTCCATGTGCATAACAGGGATGGACCTCACAAACAATGTTGGGCAAAAGAAGCTGCAGGACACAGAAGGATAATACTATATGATTCCCTTTATACAAAGTTCAAAAACCTGGCTTCATGGCCAGGCATGGTGGCTCATACCTGTAATCCCAGCACTTTGGGAGGCCGAGGTGGGTGGATCACTTGAGATCAGAAGTTCAAGACCAGCCTGACCAACATGGTGAAACCCCATCTCTACTAAAAAAAAGTACAAAATTAGCCGGGTATGATGGTGCACATCTGCAATCCCAGCTACCTGGGAGGCTGAGGCAGGAGAATCTCTTGAATCCTGGAGGTGGAGGTCACAGTGAGCCGAGATCACACCATTGCACTCCAGCCTGGGCAACAAGAGCAAAAGTCTGCCTCAAGAAAAAAAAAAGCCAAAAAACAAAAAACCTGGCAACATGAAATCATGCTGTTCAAGTCACAGGGAGGTGCCTGAGGTACTACGGGACATGGCTTTTTTGTTTCTTTCTTTCTTTTATTTTTATTTATTTATTTTGAGATAGACTCTCACTGTCACCCAGGCTGGAGTGCAGTGGTGCCATCTTAGCTCACTGAAACCTCGACCTCCTGGGCTCAAGCAATCCCCCTGCCTTAGCCTCCCAGGTAGCTGAGACTACAGGCGCACTCGGCCTCCAGTGTTGATTCTTTTTGCCTGAAATACGGATATACCTTTCCATTTATTCTGGTCATTTTTTTCTTCTGTCAAAATGTATAGAGCTCATATTTTCTTTTCTTTTTTTTTTTGAAACGGAGTCTCGCTGTGTCACCAGGCTGGAGTGCAGTGGCGCGATCTCGGCTCACTGCAATCTCCGCCTCCCAGGTTCAAGCGATTCCCCTGCTGCAGCCTCCCAAGTAGCTGGGACTACAGGCGTGCACCACCACACCCAGCTAATTTTTTGTATTTTAGTATGAACGAGGTTTCACCATGTTGGCCAGGATGGTCTCGATCTCCTGACCTCATAATCTGCCCACCTCAGCCTCCCAAAGTGCTGGGATTACAGGCATGAGCCACCATGCCTGGCCGAGCTCACACTTTTCTTGCTTACAAGAGGTTGATAAATTTTGTTACTGTGATCAACGGTACCCTGCCCTCTTACATTTTCTGATTTCAGGTGTCTGTCAAGGAAGGCTATACCCATCTTTGTTTTTTTTTTTTCTTGTTTTTTTTTTTTTTTTTGAGACGGAGTCTCGCTCTGTCGCCCAGGCTGAAGTGCAGTGGTGCTATCTCGGCTCACTGCAAGCTCCGCCTCCCGGGTTCACACCATTCTCCTGCCTCAGCCTCCCGAGTAGCTGGGACTACAGGCGCCGACCACCACGCCCGGCTAATTTTTTGTACTTTTTTAGTAGAGACGGGGTTTCACCATGTTAGCCAGGATGTTCTCAATCTCCTGACCTCGTGATCCACCCGCCTCGGCCTCCCAAAGTGCTGGGATTACAGGCATTAGCCACCGCGCCCGGCCCCATCTTTGTATTTTGTATTCATTTTTGGTTTTGGTCACCTTGCTGACTTCTCTTATTAAGTCTAAGAGTTTTTTTTTTTTTTTTTTTATGATTCTCTTGGATTTTCTAAGTGAATAACACCAATGCCCTCCAGCCAAAGACCACCAGGAGCATAGTGGTAGTTTACCAAAATTAGATTTTTTTTTTTTTTTTTTTGAGACGGAGTCTCGCTCTGTCGCCCAGGCTGGAGTGCAGTGCTGCGATCTTGGCTCACTGCAACCTCCACCTCCCAGGTTTAAGCGATTCTCCTGCCTCAGCCTCCTGAGTAGCTGGGACTACAGGCATGGGCCACCATGCCCGGCTAATTTTTTTTTTGTTTTGTTTTGAGGTGGAGTATCGCTCTTGTTGCCTAGGCTGGAGTGCAGCTGTGCAATCTTGGCTCACTGTGACCGCCACCTCCCAGGTTCAAGCAATTCTCCTGCCTCAGCCTCCCAAGTAGCTGGGATTACAAGCATGCACCACCACACCTGGCTAATTTTTTGTATTTTTAGTAGAGACGGGGGTTTTGCCATGTTGGCCAGTCTGGTCTCGAACTCCTGACCTCAGGTGATCCACCCACCTTGGCCTCCCCAAGTGCTGGGATTACAGGCGTGAGCCACTGTGCCTGGCCCGGAAGTTGGATTTATTAACTCATTGCAATGATGAAGCATCCACATCGTGGGAAACCATGGAGCATCTCATTAAAAGGGTGTTAGAAAAGGGAGCCGGACACGGTGGCTCACACCTGTAATCACAGCGTTTTGGAAGGCTGAGGTGGGAGATTCACTTGAGCCCAGGAGTTCGAGACCAACCTGGGCAACCTAGTGAGACCCTCATCTCTAAAAAAAATTTGAAAAGTAGATAGGCATGGTGGCATGCACCTGTAGACTCAGCTATTCAGGAGACTGAGGAGGGAGGGTCGCTTGACCCCAAGAGTTCGAGGCTGCAGTGAGCTGTGATCGTCTCAAAAAAAACAACAAAAAAAAAAAAAAAAAAAGAAAAAGAAAAAAAGAGGCTGGGCACAGTGGCTATGCCTGTAATCCTAGCACTTTGGGAGGCCAGTGCAGGCGGATCACGAGGTCAGGAGTTTGAGACCAGCCTGGCCAACATGGTGAAACCCTGTCTCTACTAAAAATACAAAAAAATTAGCCAGGCATGGTGGGGTGCACCTGTAATCCCAGCTACTCAGGAGGCTGAGGCAGGAGAATTGTTTGAACCTGGGAGGCGGAGGTTGCAGTGAGCTGAGATCACACCATTGCACTCCAGTTCTAGGCAACAGAGCAAGACTCCGTCTCGGGAAAAAAAAAAAGAAGAAGAAGAAAAGACAAGACAAGAAAAGAAAAGGTATTACTGGGTTGGAGTTTGTGTTAGGTGATTTCAGAGAGGGTTAAAGAAGCAGGACTTTGCTCTGGATTGCCTCCTGTCAGAAAGTAGGAGTAATTCTAGGATGTAATATCTTGATTTATATCTACAAGGCAAAAGGAATGAAGTGGATGAAAGCTATAACTGATAAGGAAGCAGGAACCACTCACATCAGCCAGGATGGACGGATGTTTGGCCATTTTGTGGTTTGGACAACGTCCATGTTTTTTTCTGTGTCTCAGACTTGATTCCAGACTGGTCTTGTTTTTGTCTTGATCTACCATGACCGCAGAGCAGCTTCATCTGATGTTAATATTTTGTGGAATTGTTCATGATCAACAGGAGACACCGATGGGAGTGTCAGGTCAGCTGCTCACAACACCAAGGCTTAGGTGATGAACCAGGCCAGTTCTTGGATGTCAGGGACTGCATTTCTTTTTGTCAGTACCCCTTTTGTCAAGGTCATTACTGTATCACCCTGCAGAGGTGAGGTGGATCCATGAATACACACACACAGCAAATTTGGTTCAAATGTCAAGCCTGCTGATGCCACGCATACACCAAGAAGGTATGAAAAATTTATTACTCACACAATGAGGCTTTTGAGAGAGAGTAGGGCTGGCTCCCAAGCTGGTCTGAAAATGATGTTTGTTTTGTTTTGTTTTGAGACGGAGTGTCGCTCTGTCACCCACTGGAGTGCAGTTGTTTAATCACAGCTCAGCAACCTTGACTTCCTGGGATTGAGTGATCCTCCCGCCTCACCCTTCCAAGTAGCTGGGACTACAGGCATGCACCACCACACCTGGCTAATTTTTGTATGTGTTTGTAGAGACGGGGTTTCACCATGTTGCCCAGGCTGGTCTCGAACTCCTAGCCTCATGCAATCTTCCTGCCTTGGCCTCTCAAAGTGATAGGATTACAGATGTGAGCCACCGCACCCTGCCCCTGGTGGCATTTGTATGTCTTCTTTGGAGAAGTCTTTTGTCCACTTTTTAATCAAATTATTATTTTTTTGGTCAGGCACGGTGGTTCACACCTGTAATCCCAGCACTTTGGGAGGCCGAGGCGGGCAGATCACTTGAGGTCAGGAGTTTGAGACCAGCTTGGCCAACATGTCGAAACTCCATCTCTACTAAAAATACAAAAAATTAGCCAGGTATGGTGGCAGGTGCCTGTAATCCCAGTTACTTGCGGGGCTGAGGAAGGAGAATCGCTTGAACCCAGGAGGCAGAGGTTGCAGTGAGCCGAGATTGTGCCACTTCACTCCAGCCTGGGAAACAGAGCAAGACTCTGTTTCAAAAAAAAAAAAATTGTTGTTCTTTTTGTTATTTGCTATTGAGCTGTTGGAGTTTCTTCTGTACTTTGGATATCAACCCCTTAAGCGAGAAATGGTTTGCAAATCTTTTGTTCCATTCTGTATGATCCCTTTTCACTCTGTGTTGTTTCCTTTGCTGTGCAGAATATTTCGGATTGATGTAGTCCCACTTGTCTATTTTAGCTTTTGTTGCCTGTGCTTTTTGTGTCATATCCAATAAATCACTGCCAACACCAATGTCAAGAAGATTTCCTCCTGTGTTTTCTTCTAGGAGTTTTACAGTTTCCGGTATTACATTTAAGTCTTTAATCCATTTTGAGTTGATTTTTTTGAGACGGAGTCTTTCTCTGTTCCCCAGGCTGGAGTGCAGTGGCACGATCTCAGCTCACTGCAACCTTTGCCTCCCAGGTTCAAGCAATCCTCCTGCCTCAGCCTCCCGAGTACCTGGGACTACAGGCGTGCACCACCATGCCTGGCTAATTTTTGAATTTTTAGTAGAGATGGAGTTTCAGCATGTTGGCCAAACTGTCTCTAACTCTTGACCTGAGGCAATCTGCCCGCCTCAGCCTCCCAAAGTGCTGGGATTACAGGCGTGAGTCACCACGCCCAGCTAATTTGAGTTGATTTTTGTGTATGGTGTAAGATAGGGGTCCAATTTCATTCTTCTGCATGTGGATATCTGGTTTTTCCAACAATGTTTGTTGAAGATACTATCATTTTTCCATTGTATATTCTTGACACTCTACTCAAAGATCAGTCAATCTACTGATTGACAATCTACTCAAAGATCAGACTAAGACCATATGTCTTAGTCTGTTTTGTGCTGCTGTAACAGAATACTACAGACTGGGTAATTTTTTTTTTTTTTTTTTGAGACAGAGTCTTGCTCTGTTGCATGGGCTGGAGTACAGTGGCGCAATCTTGGCTCACTGCAACCTCTGCCTTCTGGGTTCAAGCAATTCTCTTGCCTCAGCCTCCAGAGTAGCTGGGATTACAGGCACATGCCACCATGCCTGGCTAATTTTTGTATTTTTAGTAGAGACGAGGTTTTGCCATGTTGACCAGGCTGGTCTTGAACTCCTGACCTCGTGACCCGCCTGCCTTGGCTTCCCAAAGTTCTGGGATTACAGGCGTGAACCACCACACCTGGCCAGACTGGGTAGTTTATAATGAACAGAATTTCATTGGCTCAAGGTTCTGGAGGCTGGAAAGTCCAAGATCAAGGGACCAGCAACTAGGCAAAGCTTGCTGCATCATTCCATGGCAGAAGGGCAAAGCAAGGGTGACAGAGAGAGAGAGAGAATGGGGGTGATATGATTTGGCCATGTCCCCACTCAAATCTCATCTTGAATTCCCACATGTTTTGGGAGGGACCTGGTGGGAGGTAATTGAATCATGAGGGCAGGTGTTTCCAGTGCTGTTCTCATGATAGTGAATAAGTCCCATGAGATCTAATGGTTTTATAAAGGGACTTGGAGCAGGACAAGCCACAGACAAAATCCCTCAGGCACCGAGTTAAAGAAGGAAGGGCTTTATTCAGCCGGGAGCTTCGGCAAGACTCATGTCTCCAAAGACCGAGCTCCCTGAGTGAGCAATTCCTGTCCCTTTTAGGGGCTTACAACTCTAAGGGGGTCCACATGAGAGGGTCATGATCAATTGAGCAAGCAGGGGTAGGTGACTGGGGGCTGCATGCACCAGTAATCAGAATGGAACAGAACAGGACAGGGATTTTCACAGTGCTTTTCCATACAATGTCTGGAATTTATAGATAACATAACCCGTTAGGTTGGGGTCGATCTTTAACCAGGCCCAGGGTGCAGCGCTGGGTTGTCTGCCTGTGGATTTCATTTCTGCCTTTTAGTTTTTACTTCTTCTTTCTTTGGAGGCAGAAATTGGGAATAAGACAAAATGAGGGGTAGTCTCCTCCCTTATTTCCCCGCTTTGAGAATCTCACTCAATAGTGGGAGTTCTCACTTTCATTCTCACTACCCATGCCTTCTTGCAAGATAGATCGATAGTGATTCATATAGCATACCTGTGCTGAAGCATTTTGGTGAACTAAGGTAGCGATGAAGCTCCTTATCGTTTGAAGAAGTACAGATAGTAAACAAGGGAGCAGTAAGCAGGTTTCTATTACTATTATAACTCCCATTATAAGAGTTTTAAATCTTTCCAGTGCTGGGAACCATTTTCCAAACATGGCCCCAGGATCAAATCCATGCCACATTTGCACGGGCACATGTGCCAATTTTGTCATATTTCTAACTATGTCTTCAACTACTCGCCCTTGATCATCTATGTGTAGACAGCAATTAGTAAGGTTAAATTTCCCACAGACCCCTCCTTCAGCTGCTAGCAAGTAGTCGAGAACCAATCTATTTTGATAAATAGCATTTCTCATTTGGGTTTCTTGCCGGGCCAGAATAGTCAAGGCTCTGCTGGTCTTATTAGTGATTATTTCTAAGACAGCTTGTAACCATATGATTCGGTTGAGCATGTAAATGGGGATCTGGTATCCCCACAAGCCGTCTTGTGCCCAAGTAGCAGGCTCATAATATTGTATGATTCTCTCAGGGGGCCATTCATTATCTTTCCAATTTCCAATAGCTATGCTTCTCTTTGCGTGGGAAGCATAGACAGGGAAGCCCAGGAGTTCGCCTGTCTTTATGGGCAGTAGGAAGAAAGATGGTTTAATAGTGCCAATAATACAACTACCTGCCCACTGGTTGGGTAATTTGACATAAGGTCTATGCCCACATATCCGGTATAATCTAGTGGGGGCTGTCCAGTCCCGGTGGGACTCTGGGTGGGTCCACACGTTTTGCAACTTTGGGAATTTACTAAATGGATTTTTCTTAGTGTGGTTTGAACTCCACTAGGTGGCTGTTTTTGTAGTACTATTATACAGTTTTTGCCCAAGGCAGCTGAGTCTTCCCACAGGAAGGGTGAAGTCCTTCCCCACTCTTGCTATATAGTATTATCTAATGATTGAGGCTTTTAGGACCCAGAAATTATCAGGGTAATTTTTTTGAGCCAGGAATTCATCAGGAACTGGGTCTGTAGGTACTAATTTTTGGGCTTCCCATGGCCATTGGTCTCCCATTACCGTTCCTCCACATACATAACATGAAGTGACATTGAGAGACTGGGCTACATGCTCGGCTAATTGAAAAAACAAATTTCTTGTTTTTCCTGGAATTTCTGGTACTGGCACATTCAGTTCATCATAGAAGGTTTGAAATACTGGCTCAGGAGAGTGTTTATAAACTTCTACTCAAACCACAATATTTACTCGAGGATCCAGTCCAGCCCCATCAGTTCCTAAGGTTACATGCTCCCCTTTTTTCCAGCAAGGATCAAGGGATTTGGTTATTACCAGTTCTAAGGGGTTACACTGACCACTGGTACAGGAAGGGCCACTTTTCCCTTTCTGAAGATGGACAGGATTTTTTTTATTTTTTATCCAAGTAGCCTAAATGACACAAGACCACTATCCACATTTATTTCCACACAGTCTTAATTCATGACAAGTGTACTTACGTTCTGCCATATAGCCTCTTTCTTAATTAAGGGAACCACATCATATTCCTAACTTATTACTATTAATGACAGCACAGGCATCAGATTTCAAGGTGACTTGTTTGGGCACCCCTTTTTCTTCTGTTTTGGCTAACACTTTACTCGTATTGTTTATGAGCCCCCATCAGTCCTCAGTTCTTAATCTTATTTCAAAAACTGTGGTCATGGGAGGCTCAGATGGGTCATAACACACATTAGGTTGGTCATTTCCTGGGCTATGTACCTTGTATAGAATAACATTATACAAGCAAGTTCTTTTTAGAGTTCTAGTACACTTATAATAACCATAAAATAATAGGACCGTAGCAACCTTTTGTCCTACCTCAGTGACTTGATGTATACACTAGGAACAGTCCTCAGTCCAAGGAAGGTCAGTTGAAGTCCTTACTGTACAAGTCCAAATGTTAAGGAAAATGAGTCCCGCGATGAGTTTTCTCATGCTTCAGCCGTGCGTGGACCAGTCAGCTTCCGGGTGTGACTGGAGCAGGGCTTGTCGACTTCTTCAGAGTTACTTTGCAGGGGTTGGCGAAGCTGCTCCCGTCCACATACCGCTCACAGTCTACTGATGTTCAAGGATGGTCTCAAAGGTTGGGCCCACTAGAATAAACTGAGTCCAATACCTCTACACAGTTGTGTTCAACTGGGCTCTCTGATACTGGGAGCAAGGTAGCTGGGTTTAGGGTGTTGCAAACTTCAGTGGTTATGTGGGGATTTTCACATAGCAAGCTTTGGTACTTGGTTAATCTAGCATTTGTTATCCAGTGATGTCCTTTGGTATTCATCAAAGTTACCACAGCATGGGGGGCCTTTATATTCAGGTTTTGCCCAAGGGTTAGTTTATCTGCTTCTTGTGCTAACAGGGCCATTGCTGCCAGGGCCCTTAGACATGGGGGCCAGCCTTTGGAAACCCCGTCTAGTTGTTTTGAGAGAGGGCCCCACAGTCTGGGTTAAAACTCCAAAACTGCCATTTTTTCTCTTTCTGACACATAGAGTGTAAAGGGTTTTGTCAGGTCAGGTAGCCCCAGGGCTGGGGCCGACATGAGTTTTTCTTTTAACTCATGAAAAGCTCATTGCTGTTGGTTGTAATAGATGTAGTTTATCCAATCTAAATTTTTATTAACTGTCACCGACCAAAATATTGACTCAAATCCTGCAGCTATTTGATTTCAAGCTTTAAATTGATCTGGTATTCCCCATGGGACTCCAATTGCGTCTAAATAGACATGAGAGTCGAAAGACCTATAAGGGGCTTCTCTCGCTTTACAATGTCTTATTTTTCCTCCCTCTGGTTGATGAAATGCCAGGGTGAAAGGGATAGCCAATTGGACTAAAGTACAAGTGCCACTCCAGTTATTCGGCAGAGTGCCCAATAAAGGTCCACCCCAATACCACCACACATCCACTCAGGGATGAACAAGCGCTGACTGATTGATAAGCTCTTGAAAATTATTAAGCTCACTGCATCCCTTCAGGTCTCCAAGGAATGCTAAGTTTCCTCCCTGTCGTGAGAGACAAGAAGTGAAGTTAGTGTTGGGAGACGGAAGCTGGATGGCCCTTGGGGGCTGACCCACAGGGTGCCGTACTTTGGGATATAGCAGAGAGAGCTTGGCACGACTTATCACTCCAGGCTGTAGAATCCTGGAAAAGAGCTACCATGCAGCGCATGCCTGGTCCACTGGAGGACCACCTTAGTGGAAAGGGGACAATCTGGGACTCTGGCCTGCCATATGCACAAGCATAAGAATTGCTTTTGTTTAAGGTGCAGACGGAATATTTGATCCATTCCAACCAGGCATTTGCATCTTGGTATCCTGTCTTAATTGCCAAAGTTTGTTTTAAGTCTTTAACTTCTATGATCCTCTAGTAAAATGAATGTATGATTTTAGGAAATTACAAAAACCAGTTGGGGCAGTCCATCCTTGCACTTTAGTGGTCCACAGAATGTTGGACCAAGTACAGCATAAAAGCTCTACATTGGGGAGCAAGACTCCTGGTTGACACTGGAGTCTTTATTGAAATTTCCCCTGATTAAATGGTCCTAATTTACCAATGCCCAGTCTGAGGAGAGTCAGGAGGGACAGATGTATTTTTCTCAAGTACAGAACTGTCTTTGACTTGGCAGGTCCCCACAGGGTATAACAAGACAAGCATTAAATGCAATAGTCTGAGGTAAAATTGACTTGGTTATGTTAATAACTAGATGGTCAGCAATAGAGCGAGGAAAGAAGAAAGAGTAATAGAATAGATGAAAGAGTTAAATTTTTCTTAGCTTTAGTTTGGTAGGGTTTTCCCCTGGGACTATGGCCCATGATTCTGGAGGGGGTGGCGCTTTCTTGACTCAGGTGTGATGAGTCCATCCTTTTTTCGCTGTACGAACAGCAGTCTCGGTGGTTAGCAGCACAAGATAGGGTCCTTCCTAGGCTGGCTCGAGTTTCCTTTTTTTTCATCCTTTGATGAGAACGTGATCTTCAGGCTGGTGCTGGTGCTGGTTTACTGGAAATTCTAGGGGTGGTACATGTGCTAAAAGACTTTTAGTTTTGAGGGAAAGGGAAGTGGAGGATTAACCAAGTATATAATTTTTAAGAAACTGACCTTTTGTTTTAAATGTGGGGACATCAGCAGTGGACATTATAGTCCTTGGTGACTTTCTACTGAGAAATTTCCTTTAGCACCTATTTTTATTAGTTTTTGGACCAAAGAAGTCAAACACCATTTTATATTTGATAATGCTTCCTGTATGATTTTTATACCAGATAAGCTAAATTTCACCTTTATATTAGTGTGTTATTAATGTTAAACTTAGTTTTTTTTTTTTTTTTTGAGATGGAGTCTCACTCTGTCACCCAGGCTGGAGTGTGGTGGCTCCATCTCGGCTCACTGCAAGCTCTGCCTCCCTCCTGCCTCAGCCTCCCGAGTAGCTGGGACTACAGGCGCCTGCCACCACGCCCGGCTAATTTTTTGTATTTTTAGTAGAGACGGGGTTTCACCGTGTTAGCCAGGATGGTCTCGATCTCCTGACCTTGGGATCTGCCCGCCTCGGCCTCCCAAAGTGCTGGGACTACAGGCGTGAGCCACTGCGCCCGGCCAATGTTAAACTTAGTTTTAATAAAACTTTGCAGACATATTTATTCAGTTTTTAATGTCAGACCATAAGGTAAGATTTTTATAGACTCTTTTTAACCTTTTATAATCTGTGTTAAAGAGCAGGTTAGTGCTTTAAGAGAAACACGTTGTGTTTTTATTTTAATGTTCACTTCACAGAAAAACTGGATGATACCCCTTTAACTTTAGCTAATATGTTTACACGCAGAATTTTTTTTACAATTAACATTTTAAAACTTGCTTAAACCTTCAAAACAAATTTGTTTTAACCTTTTAATGTAGGTAAAAATTTACATTCTTATGCCACCTTATAATCCTTTTACCAAAGGTATATTTTACTTTCCTTATACACCTTGCACATAAACTATTTTTTCAATAGTTTTACATTCAGGAGGCTTAGTTACTTTTAAATTATACAACATTTCTTGCATAAATTCTTTTTTTATAATATATATTTTTTCTCTTTCATGACTTTCACAGACAATTCTTTGACCTGCCTCAACTTTCAGACTTATTACAAACATTTCTTTCTTTAAACAACCAGTTAATTTATTTCAGGACAAGAATTTACCATATAATATTCTTTTTACATAAACTCTGCCCCCATCTTTTCCCCCCTTTTTTTTTTCTTCTAAGATAACCATTCTTTTCCAAAGTGAACTTCCTTTATGTCTGTGGGCTAGATTGTCTAAGGCCACAAGATTAGAAGTTATTATAATACATGTTACATTGTTAACTTTTAGCAAACTTTACTTTTGTTGAAAATCTTGTAAGTTTGGGATTTCAATTATCCTTTGCTATTAATAAGACCTTGTTTAGTCCAAATTAACTTAGAATTGGTATAGATGGCTTTTTTTTCTTCAATTACCTGGGAGGAAGCATCTATCATCCTGTCCTGAAGGGAGTTCCTCCTAGGTCTGATCAGACCTTTGTATGGTAATTAAGATTTAGATCCCCTGTTAGGAAACCTGCTGGGTTAAGGGAATTTTCAGTGGTTAATGTTAAATCATCTTTTTTTTTCCCCCGCTTAGGATACTTCTGAACTAGTGAGGTGTGCTCATAATGAGATTTCCTCTAAAAGTTATTTTTCTACTTTATTCTGTTAGCAAAGCAGTTGCCACTACAGATTGAATGCATTTGGGCCATCCACAGGTTACTGGGTTAAGGATTTTTGATAGGAAGGCTACAGGTAGTCAGTGGCCTCAATGCTTTCAGGCTACGCCCTTGTTTACACTTACAACAAGGTTGTATTGGAGTGTTGTAGGGTCACGGAGAAGACCTTCAATTATCAATTATAGGTATTAAATTTACCCGGGCTTTTAAAGGAATAGATAGGGTACGCTGTTTTTTTTTTTTTTAACTACTTGTATATTTCTCTCTTTCTTTTTTTGACTTTCTGTCTCTCTTTTTGACTTTCCTTTTGCCTCTGTCTCTTCCTCTCTTTTTCTCCTCGACTCCCTCTTTGTCTCTCTGTCTCTTCCTCTCTCTCTTTGCCTCTTTCCTCTCTGTCTCTTTCCTCTCTCTCCCTCTGCTGGTCTTTCCTTGCCTCTGCCAGCCGCTTATGCTGCTGTTCTCTCAACCACTGTGTGTGTGGGGGGGTCTAAAACCACCTGTAACCAAGTGTCTAGCTACGGGAACTGGTCTGGGTTCCCTGGCTTACAGGTTACCTTGTGCCATACCTTTAAAACAAGGGACCTGTCCAAGCTTCCTTCTGATGGCCAACCCACCTCTAATGCTGGCCAGTCTATTTCACACAAAGTTCTAAGTTTTCCTGGTGTCATAGTAACACTGTAATCTCCCGTAAATCCTTTCTTGAAAATTTTCAACATAGTTCCTAGTGGGGTGGGCTTACCTTGTGCCCGACCCATGCTTCCTCAAGACAAAACACCACTCTCACACCACACACACACCACAAAACAAAGAACGGGTAAAAAGGGCACACACACACTTTTACAGTTTACACCAAACCAGAATCAAAACCAAAATCAGAGTATCCAGAAATCTAAGCCAGGTCAAAACCAAAACCAAAGTATCAAGCAACCCAAGTCAAGTCAAAAACAAAAACCAAAGTGCCGGTACAGGCACATCGTGGGTGATCAGGCCACGCTTCCATTGAAATGGAGTGGGCAAGTTCCAAAGACCAGTCTTACCAAGTTTCAGATGTCCAGACTCCAAGTGCCAGTTCCTTCCCGGTGTTCAGCCACTGAGTTGATCTTCCACAGGGGCCTGCCACATGCTGCTCTGGTGAGGCGTTCCACTGGGGTAATTGCCTACCCCGGGGCACTCTCAGGATCCGCGTCACTCAAGCTGGCTGGAGTCCCCTGCAGGGATGCTCCACAGGGCAGGCCTAAGCTGCCTAAGGGGCTGCCTCCACCATCCATTAATCACCTTTCTAACTGGTCAGGGAACCAAGTAATGTAGCAGGACAAGCCTCAGACAAAATCCCTCAGACACCGAGTTAAAGAAGGAAGGGCTTTATTCAGCTGGGAGCTTCAGCAAGACTCACATCTCCAAAAACTGAGCTCCCCGAGTGAGCAATTCCCATCCCTTTTAAGGGCTTACAACTCTAAGGGGGTCCACGTGAGAGAGTCATGATCAATTGAGCAAGCAGGGGGTACGTGACTGGGGGCTGCATGCACTGGTAATCGGAACGGGACAGAATAGGACAGGGATTTTCACAATGCTTTTCCATACAATGTCTGGAATCTATAGATAACATAACTGGTTAGGTCAGGGGTCAATCTTTAACCAGGCCCAGGGTGTGGCAGCCTATGGATTTCATTTCTGCCTTTTAGTTTTTACTTCTTCTTTCTTTGGAGGCAGAAATTGAGCATAAGACAATATGAGGGGTGGTCTCCTCCCTTAGACTAATGGTTTTATAAAGGGGCTAATACAATAAATTGGTACCAGGAGTTGGGTGCTGCTATAAGGATACCCAAAAATGTGGAAGCAACTTTGGAACTGGGTAACAGGCAGAGGTTGGAACAGTTTGGAGGGCTCTAAAGGAGACAGGAAGATGTGGGGAAGTTTGGAACTTCCTAGACATTTGTTGAATGGCTTTGACCAAAATGCTGGTAGTGATATGAAAAATAAATTCCAGGCTGATATGGCCTCAGATGGAGATGAGGAACCTGTTGGGAACTGGAGCAAAGGTATGCTTTAGCAGAGACTGGTGGCTTTTTGCCCCTGCCTTGGAGATCTGTGGAACTTTGAACTTGAGAGAGATTATTTAGGATACCTGGCGGAAGAAATTTCTAAGCAGCTAAGTGTTCAAGAGGAAACAAACAGAGCATAAAAGTTTGAAAAATTTGCAGCCTGAATATGTGATAGAAAAGAAACCCCCATTTTCTGGGGAGAAATTCAAGCCACTTCAGAAATTTGCATAAGTAACGAGGAACCGAATGTTAATCACCAAGACAATGGGGAAAATGTCTCCAGGGCATGTCAGAGACGTTCGGGGCAGGCCCGCCCATCACAGGCCTGGATGCCTAAAAGGGAAAAATGGTTTCCTGGGCTGGGTCCAGGGCACCCCCTCCTGTGTGCAGCCTAGGGACTCCCAGCCTTTCCAGCCGTGGCTAAAAGGAGCCAAGGTACAGCTCAGGCCGTTGCTTCAAAGGGTGCAAACCCCAAGCCTTGGCAGCTTCCATGTGGTGTTGGTCCTGCAGGTGCACAGAAAACAAGAACTGAGGTTTGGGAACCTCTGCCTAGCTTTCAGAGGATGTATGGAAATGCCTGGCTGTCCAGGCAGAAGTTTGCTGCAGGGGCAAAGTCCTCATGGAGAACCTCTGCTAGGGCAGTGCAGAAGGGAAATGTGGGGTCGGAGCCCCCACACAGAGTCCCCACTGGAGCACTGCCTAGTGGAGCTGTGAGAAGAGGGCCACTATCCTCCAGACCCCAGAATAGTCGATCCACCAACAGCTTGCACCATGAGCCTGGAAAAGCCACAGACACTCAACACAAGCCCATGAAAGCTGCTGGGAAGGAGTCTGTACCCTGCAAAGCCACAGGGGTGGAACTGCCCAAGACCATGGGAGCCTACCTCTTGCATCAGTGTGACCTGGATGTGAGACATAGAGTCAAAGAAGATCATTTTGGAGCTTTAATATTTGACTGCCCCACTAGATTTCTGACTTCCATGGGGTCTGTAGCCCCCTTGTTTTGGCCAATGTCTCCCACTTGGAACAGTTGTATTTAGCCAATGCCTGTACCCCCATCATATCTAGGAAGTAACTAACTTGCTTTTGATTTTACAGGCTCATAGGCGGAAGGGACTTGCCTTGTCTCAGATCAGACTTTGGACTGTGGACTTCTGAGTTAATGCTGGAATGAGTTAAGACTTTGGGGGACTGTTGGGAAGGTATGATTGGTTTTGAAATGTGAAGACATGAAATTTTGGAGGGGCCAGGGGCAGAATGATATAGTTTGGCTGTGTCGCCACCCAAATCTTATCTTGAATTCCCACCTGTTGTGGGAGAGACCTGGTGGGAGGTAATTGAATCATGGGGGCAGGTCTTTCCCATGCTGTTCTCACGATAGTGAATAAGTCTCATGAGATCTGATGGTTTTATAAAGGGGAGTTTTCCTGCACAAGCTCTCCTCTCTTGTCTGCCGCCATGTGAGATGTGCCCTTCATCTTCCACCATGATTGTGAGGCCTCCTCAGCCACGTGTAACTGTGAGTCCATTCAACCTCTTTCTTTTGTAAATTGCCCAGTCTCGGGTATGTCCTTATCAACAGCATGAAAACAGACTAATACAGGGGGTTAAACTCCCCCTTTTATAGTGAACCCACTCTTGTGATAATAGCATTAATTCCTTCACTCTGCCCTATGGCCTAATCACCTCTCATTAGGCCTCACCTCCCAACACTGTTGCATTGGGAATTAAGTTTTTAACACATGCTTTTTGGGGACACATTCAAACCACAGCCTTCTGCCTCTGGTCCACCAAATTCATACCCTTCTCACATGTAAAATACATTCATTCCATCTCAATAGACCCATAGTCTTAATTTGTTCCAGTACCAACTCAAAAGTTCAAAGCCCAGAGTCTCGTCTAAACCAGATATGGGTGATACTGTAAGCACAGTTCATTCTAAAGCAAATTCCTCCAGCTGTGAACCTGTGAAATCAAAACAAATTATCTCGGCTGGATGCGGTGGCTCACGCCTGCAACCCCAGCACTTTGGGAGGCCAAGGTGGGTGGATCGCTTGAGGTCAGGAGTTCAAAACCAGCCTGGCCAACATGGTGAAACCCCGTCTCTACTAAAAATTCAAAAATTAGCCAGGAGTGGTGGCACGCACCTGTAGTCCCAGCTACTCAGGAGGGTGAGGCACAAGAATCGCTTGAACCCAGGAAGTGGAGGTTGCAGTGAGCCGCGATTGCACCATTGCACTCCAGCCTGAGTGACAGAGTGAGACTCCATCTCAAAAACAAACACAAGTTATCTACTTCCAAAATACAACAGTGGGACAGGCAGAAGATGAATGTTCCCATTCCTAAAGGGAGCAACAGGAAAGAAAAAAGGAATAGCAGTTCCCAGCAAATCCAAAAGCCCACAGGGCAAACAACATTGTCTTAAACCTCCACAATTATCTTTGACGGTATGCACCACCTTTGGGCACACTGGGGTAGGGATTGGGCCCCCAAGGCTTCAGGTAGCCCCGCCCCCACAAGCTTGCTGGGCTCAGCCCACACAGCAATCTCTCAGGGGTTGCAGGCACCCAAGCTGCTGTTGCTTGCTGGTAGCTCTACAGTTCTGGGTTCTTGGGGAGTGGGGGGGGCCCACCTCCAAAGCTCCACTAGACCTATTCTCTGTGGTGGCTCTGACCTCACAGCTTTGTTCTTTTTTCTCAAGATTGCTTTGGCTATTCTGGGTCTTTTGTGGCTACATATGAATTTTAGAATTGTTTTCTCTATTGCTGTAAAAAATGTCACTGGGATTTTGATGGGTCTAGGATTGAGGCTGCAGATTACTTTGTTGTTGTTGCTGTTGTTTTTGAGACAGAATGTTGCTCTGTTGCCCAGACTGGAGGGCAGTGGCACAATCTCGGCTCACTGCAGCCCTGCAACCTTCATTTCCCAGGCCCAAACAATCCTCCCACCTCAGCCTCCCGAGTAGCTGGAACTACAGGTGAGTGCCGCCACACCCGACAACTTTTTTGTATTTTTAGTAGAGACAGGGTTTCACCATGTTGCCCATGCTGGTCTTCAACTCTTGGCCTCAAGTAATCTGCCTTCCTCAGCGTCCCAAAGTGCTGGGATTACAGGTGTACACCAATATGCCTGGCTAATTTTGTATTTTTAGTTGAGATGGGGTTTCACCATGTTGCCCAGGCTGGTCTCTAACTCCTGGTTTCAAGTGATCCACACACGTCGGCCTCCCAAAGTGCTGAGATTACAAGTGTGAGCTACTGCGCCAGCCTTGTAGACTTCTTTGAATGGTATGGATATTTTAACACTATTAAGTCTTCCAATTCATGAGAACAGGATGTCTTTCCATTTATTTGTGTCTTCATTACTTTCTTTCACTAATGTTTTCTAGTTTTTGGTGTACAGATATTTCATTTACTTGGTTAAGTTTCTTCCTAAGTATTTAATTATTTGTGATGCTATTGCAAATGTGATTGTTTTCTTAATTTCCTTTTCAGATAGTTGTTAGTGTATAGAAACACAATTAATTTTTGTATGTTGATTTTACAGGAATCTCAAAGAGCTATCCACACTTCCATGTTCATCATAGCATTATTTACCATAGCCAAGGTATGGAAACAACCTGAAAGTCCATTGACACATGAAAGGATATCAAAAATGTGGTATATACATACAGTGGGATATTATTCAACCACAAAAAGAAGGAAATCTTATGGCCGGGTACAGTGGTTCACACCTGTAATCCCAGCACTTTGGGAGGCTGAGGCAGGCAGATCACTTGAGGTCAGGAGTTAGAGACCAGCCTGGCCAACATGGTGAAACCCCGTCTCCACTAAAAATACAAAAAACCAGCTGGGTGTGGTGGCTCATGCCTGTAGTCCAGCTACTGCTTGGGAGGCTGAGGTATGAAAATCACTTGAACCCGGGAGGCAGAGGTTGCAGTGAGCCGAGATTGTGCCACTGCACTCCAGCCTAGACAACAGAGTGAGACTCTGTCTCCATAAAATTAAAAAAAAGAAAAAGAAATCTTACCATTTGCAACAACATGGATGTTATGCTAAGTGAAATGAGCTAGTCACAAAAAAAGACAAATACTGCAGGATTCCACTAATATGAGGTATCTAAAGTAGTCAAACTCATAGAGGCAGAGAATAGAATGGTGGTTGCCAGGGTCTCCGGGGAGAGGAAAGGGAGACTTGTTTCTCAATGGGTATAAAGTTTCAGTTATGCATGAAGAATCAGTTCTAGAGATCTGCTGTACAACATAGTAATTATAGCTTACAATATGGCATTGTGCACTTTAAAATTTGTTAAGAGGGTAGATCTCATGTTAAGGGTTATGCCACACACAAAAAAACCAAAGCTAAAACAAACCACTACAAAGGGACACAAGGAAACGCTGGAGGTGATGGATATGATTATTATCTTGATTGTGGTGATAGTATCATGAGCATATACATAAGTCAAACTCACAGATTGTATACACTAGATATGTGTAGTTTTTGTTGTAAGTGTACAACATTAGTTATATCTCAATACAAGTATACCTCAATAAAGTTGTTTTAAGAAAAGACATTTTTTGGCCAGCCATGGTGGCTCACACCTGTAATCCCAACAGTTTGGGAGGCCGAGGCAAGTGGGTCACTTGAGCCCAGAAGTTTGAGACCAGCCTGGGCAACATAGTGAAACCCTATCCCTAATAAAAATACAAAAAATTAGCCAGGCATGGTGGTCCATGCCTGTAATCTCAGCTACTCGGGAGGCTGAGGCACGAGAATTGCTTGAACCTGGGAGGCAGAGATTGCAGTGAACTGTGATCATACCACTGCACTCCAGCCTGGGCGGTAGAGCGAGACTGTCTGTCAAAAACAAACAAACAAACAAAACAAAATAAACAAAACAACAACAACAAAAACCATATATTTATTTATTTAAAGATGAGCTCTTGGCCGGGCACAGTGGCTCACGCCTGTAATCCCAGCACTTTGGGAGGCCAAGGAGGGTGGATCACCTGAGGTCAGGAGTTCAAAACCAGCCTGACCACCATGGTGAAACCCTGTCTCTACTAAAAATACAAAAATTAGCCGGGCATGGTGGCACATGACTGTAATCCCAGCTACTTGGGAGGCTGAGGCTTCTCTTGGGAGGAGAATTGCTTGAACCCGGGAGGTGGAGTTTGCAGTGAACTGAGATCGCGCCATTGCACTCCAGCGTGGGCAACAAGAGCAAAACTCTGTCTCAAAAAAATAAAATAAAATAAAGATGGGGTCTGGCTATGTTGCCCAGGATGAAGTACAGTGGCTATTTACAGACGTAATAATAGTGCAATATAGCTTCAAACTGCTGTGCTCAAGCTATCCTCCTGCCTCAGCCTCCTGAGTAGCTGGAAATACAGGTACAGACCACCATGCCTGGCTAATTTTTATATTTTTAGTAGAGACAGGGTTTCACCATGTTGGCCAGGCTGGTCTTGAACTCCTGACCTCAGGTGATCCACCCACCTTGGCCTCCCAAAGTGCTGGGATTACAGGCATGAGCCACCATGCCCAGCCACTCCCTTCTGCATTTTTGATGCTCTGGAGAGCGTCGGCTTCATACTCACCATTATGGCTGCTGGGTTGCCTCAGTCTCCCAAGCTCCCAGCACTGCTGCAGCAACGGGGAGCTGCATGGCCCACCTGGCCACCATCCGCGATGCTTCCCGCCGCCCTGGCGGAGGTGCGGCCTCAGCCCTAAGAAAAGGTCCAGATGTTATAGGCCCAGCCGGGGCTACTGCTACCGCCTCTCTCGAGGTCGCAAGTTCTGGCTCCTCCCAGCGCTGCAGCCTACACCACATGGACTGGGGTCCCCACAATGCAGAATGTGAGGCACTCGCACAAGGCTCTCCTCTATGCCTGGCCAGGCCCCTGCAAGGCCAGGATCCACGACCCAGGAGGGACCTAGCTTCCCTACAGGACACCAAAGCCCAGCCTTGGATTGCTGGATGGCTATGACAGCCAACGGATGAACTTGGAACCCTTAGAAAGTGCTACTCCCCAGGAAGACATTTAAAAACTAACAGAAGAACTCAGCTCTAACTACAAATAAATACTATCTTAAAAACTTTTTTTTTTTTGAGACAGAGTCTCACTCTGTTGCCCAGGTTGGAGTGCAGTGGCGAGATCTTGGCTCACAACAACCCCCACCTCCTGGGCTCAAGTGATTCTCCTGCCTCAGCCTCCTGAGTAGCTGGCATTATAGATGCCCGCAACCATGCCTGGATAATTTTTTTTTTCTTTTTAGTAGAGACCGGGTTTCGCCATGTTGGTGAGGCTGGCCTCGAACTCCTGACCTTGGGTGATCCGCCTTCCTTGGCCTCCCAAAGTGCTGGGATTACAGGTGTGAGCCACTGTGCCCGGCCAAAACTTTTTCTTTTTTTGAGACAGGGTCTCTCTCTGTTGCCCAGGCTGGAGTGCAGTGATCACAGCTTACTGCAGCCTCAACCTCCCAGGCTCAAGTGATCCTTCCACCTCAGCCTCCCTAGTAGCTGGGATTACAGACGTGAACCACGACACTGGACTTTGAAAACCTTTTTAAAAAAAAGACTCTGGACAGGATACATTGGCCAAATGCAACACAGGCAATCACAGAAACAAGCTGAGGTTTAGTCTTTATAATAGACACTGAAGGCTGGGAGCTGTGGCTCACACCTGTAATCCCAGCACTTTCAGATGCTGAGGCGGGAGGATCGGTTCAGCCCAGGAGTTTGAGACCAGCCTGGGCAACATGGCAAGATCCCCGTCTCTACAAAAATACAAACAATTAGCCAGGCATGATGGCTTTCACCTGTCGTCCCAGCTAGTCAGGAGGCTGAGGTGGGAGGATTGCCTGAGCTGGGGAGGTCGAAGGTGCAGTGAACTGTGATCACACCACTGCACTCCAGCTTGGGTGACTGAGTGAGAGCCTGTCTCAAAAAAACTTCAACCAAACAAACTAGACTCCGAAGACAGGAGCCTAGACGGCCAAACCAGACCAGGGAAATATGTCCCAAAGCCTAGTTGGTCTCCTGTAGAGAACCAGGTAACTTTTTCTTTTCTTTTTTTTTTGAGACATTCTCGCTATGTTGCCCAGGCTGGTCTCAAACTTTTGAGCTCAATTGATCCTCCTGCCTCAGCCTCCCAAAGTGCTAGGATTACAGGCATGAGCCACTGCACCTGGCCAACTTTTTCTTTTAACCTCATCAGAAACTGTTCTACTTGACTTGCAGAGTTGATATAGGTGCATCAAAAAGTATTTGCTTTATGTTGAGTCTTGACAATGAGGAAAAAAAAAAAGAAGTGTTTACTAAAGCATACACTCCCCCTTGACTAGCCAAAGGAAATCAAGGGTTATGTTCATGACAATTCTGGCTAATGAATATTTTTGTGGGGGTTATCCTGCATCTCTTTTTTATTTTTTATTTTTATTTATTTATTTTTTTTTTTTTGAGACAGAGTTTTGCTCTTGTTGCCCAGGCTGGAGTGCAATGGCGCGATCCCGGCTCACCTCAACCTCCGCCTCCCGGGTTCAAGTGATTCTCCTGCCTCAGCCTCCTGAATAGTTGGGATTACAGGCATGCGCCACCACGCCCAGTTAATTTTGTATTTTTAGTAGACACAGGGTTTCTCCATGCTGGTCAGGCTGGTCTCGAACTCCCGACCTCAGGTGATTCGCCCGCATCGGCCTCCCAAAGTGCTGGGATTACAGGTGTGAGCCACAGTGCCTGGCCTTATCTCGCATCTCGTTACGTCGAGATGGCAAATGAATTTAAATTTAAACTGGTTTGTTGGGTTTCTAGAGTAGAAGTTGTGTCATCTGCTAAGGTCAGAGACAAGTTTGGGACCACCTTTTCCAATTGTGTGACTGCCACTGTGGGAACTGCAGCTCATATGAAGAGACTCAGCAGTCCCTACTGAGAGTTCTTCTGCGTAGCCCATGCTTGCCTCCCTTTGGGAGATTTTTGAATACCCGAGGGAAACAGGGTCCCCAGGAGGTGACAGTTCTCCTGCTCTGTCACCCCGGCTGGAGTGAAGTGGTGTGGTCACCACTCACCACAGCCTCGACCTCCCAGGCTCAATTGATCCTCCCGCCTCAGCCCCCAAGAGTAGCTGGGACCACAGGTCCTTGCCACCACGCCCAGCTAATTTTTTTATTGTTGAATTTTTAGTAGAGACGGGGTTTCACCATGTTGCCTAGGCTGGTCTCTCGACCTTCTGGGCTCAAGTGATCCACCCACCTCAGCTGCCCAGTGTTGGGATTACAGGCATGAGCCATCGCGCCTAGCCTACCAATGATTTTATTTAAAAATTTATTTTATTATGGTACAATACAACATGAGATCTACCCTCTTAACAAAATGTTAGGTGCACAGTACAGTATTGTTGACTCTAGATGCAATGTTGCACAACAAATCTCTAGAGCTTATTCATCTTGTTTTTTTCTTTTTCTTCTTCTTTTTTTTTGTTTTTTTGAGACAGAGTCTTGCTCTGTTGCCAGGCTGGAGTGCAGTGGCACAATCTCGGTTCACTGTAACCTCCGCCTCCTGGGTTCAAGCAGTTCTCCTGCCTTGGCCTCCCAAGTAGCTGGAACTACAGGCGCATGCCGTCACGCCCGGCTAATTTTTTTTTTTTTTTCGTATTTTAGTAGAGACAGGGTTTCATCATGTTGCCCAGGCTGGTCTTGAACTCCTGAGCTCAGGCAATCTGCCCACCTCAGCCTCCCAAAGTGCTAGGATTACAGGTGTGAGCCACCGCACCCGGCTGAGCTTATTCATCTTGCCCGAGACTAACCTTTATGCCTGTTCATTAATAACTCCCCATTTTGGCCAGGTGCAATGGCTCACTCCTGTAATCCCAGCACTTTGGGAGACCGAGGTGAGTGGATCACCTGAGGTCAGGAGTTTGAGACCAGCCTGGCTAACATGGCGAAACCCCGTCTCTACTAAAAATACAAAATTAGCTGGGTGTGGTGGCGGGCGCCTGTAATCCCGACTACTCGGGAGGTTGAGGCAGGAGAATTGCTTGAACCTGGGAGGCAGAGGTTGCAGTGAGCCAAAATTGCGCCATTGCACTCCATCCTGGGAGATAGATCAAGACTCTTGTCTTAAAAAAAAAAAATTAGCCAGGCATGGTGGCACATGCCTGTAATCCCAGCTACTTGGGAGGCTGAGGCAGAAGAATTGCTTGAACACGGGAGGCGGAGGTTGCGGTGAGCCAAGATTGTACCATTGCACTCCAGCCTGGGCAACAAGAGCGAAACTCCATCTCAAAAAAAAAAAAAAAAGCCCTCCCCATTTCCTCTTCCTCCTGGCCCCTGGCAACGACTCCATGACACTCTTTGGGTCTATGAATTTGACTATTTTAGATACCTCAGATACGTGGAATCATGTAGTGTTTGTGTTTCTGTGACTGGTTTATTTCACTTAGCATGATGTCCTCAATACCAGTTTAATTGGTGTCCCTTTTATTGGAGAATAAATTGGGATTCCCTAAGTCGGAATACAGTTTCCCCCTGTATTGCAATGGCTCTCCAGCAAAGAAAAGCTCAATTCACCCTGAAAATAACCAAGGACCAGAACTTACTCATAGCCCACTTGGAAGTGTTCAAAAGGGCCTCAGGTCTTTGGTTCCTATCCATGTTCTACCTTTATAGTCATTGCCATGACTGTGTCACTGGAGGAAGTAGGACATGGAAGAACCATCCTGGCAATACCCTTAAAGTGACCCCATCAATGTTGGTTCAGTATCAGGGCCCATTTAGCTCTCAGATCATGGCTCCTTCCTTTCTTTCTTCTTCTTCTTCTTTTTTTTTTTTTTTTTTTTTTTGAGACAGGGTCTCACACTGTTGCCTAGGCTGGAGTGCAGTGGCACAATCTTGGCTCACTGCAACCTCTGCCTCTGGGTTCAAGTGATTCTTCTGCCTCAGCCTCCCTGGTAGCTGGGACTACAGGTGCCCCCCACCACGCCCGGTTAATTTTTGTATTTTTAGTAGAGACGGGGCTTCACCATGTTGGCCAGGCTGGTCTCCAACTCCTGTCCTCAGATGATCTGCCCACCTAGGCCTCCCAAAGTGCTGGGATTACAGGCATAGCTACTGCTGCCAGCCTAATTTTTTTTTCTAAAGTAGATATGGGGTTTCACCATGTTGGCCAGGCTGGTCTCGAACTCCTGACCTCAGGTGATCTGCCCACCTGGGCCAGTGCTGGGATTACAGTTGTGAGCCACCGCACCTGGCCTTGGCTCATTTCATTAGTAGCTATCTCAGTAATAATAAGGCATACAAATTTTTCTTAATTTGTTGTCCATTCTTATAAGGGTTCCTGTAGTGCTCTGGGAATCCTTTTGTTGATAAAACATTTCAAAGTCATGGACTGACCCGAAATCATATATGTTTATATCAGTATTAATATATGCACCTCCTAGGCCGGGCGCGGTGGCTCACGCCTGTAATCCCAGCACTTTGGGAGGCCAAGGTGGGCGGATCACGAGGTCAGGAGATCGAGACCATCCTGGCTAACACAGTAAAACCCTGTCTCTACTAAAAATACAAAACATTAGCTGGGTGTGGTGGCGGGTGCCTGTAGTCCCAGCTACTCGGGAGGCTGAGGCAGGAGAATGACGTGAACCTGGGAGGCGGAGCTTGCAGTGAGCTGAGATCGCACCACTGCACTCCAGCCTGGGAGACAGAGCGAGACTCCGTCTCAAAAAAAAAAAAAAAAATGCACCTTCTATTTTCTGTCAGCTGGCAGATCTAGGCAAGGGCAATTAATTTAGCCATATGAACTAATTTATATATAACTCTCTCTCTCTCTCTCTCTCGCTCTCTTTCTATATATGTGTGTGTGTGTGTGTGTGTGTGTGTGTGTGTATGTATTTTTTTTTTTTGAGACAGAGTCTCGTTCTGTTGCCAGTCTGGAGTGCAGTGGCACGATCTCAGCTTACTGCAAGCTCTGCCTCCCGGGTTCAAGCGATTCTCCTGCCTCAGCCTTCCGAGTAGCTGGGAGTACAGGTGTGTGCCATCAGGCCTGGCTAATTTTTTTCTATGTTTAGTAGAGACGGAGTTTCACTGTGTTAGCCAGGATGGTCTCTATCTCCTGACCTCGTGATTCGCCTGCCTCGGCCTCCCAAAGTGCTAGGATTATAGGTGTGAGCCACCACACCTGGCCGTAAATATGTATTTTTTGAGACAGAGTCTCACTCGGCTTACTGCAACCTCTGTCTCCCGGGTTCAAGTGATTCTCCTGCCTCAGTCTCCCGAGTAGCTGGGATTACAGGCATGCGCCACCATGCCCAGCTATTTTTTGTATTTTTAGTGGAGATGGGGTTTCACCATGTTGGCCAGGCTGGTCTCGAACTCCTGAACTCAAGAGATCTCCCGGCCTCAGCCTCCCAAAGTGCTGGGATTACAGGCATGAGCCACCGCGCCCGGCATATTTGCATTGTTGTGTAAGTACAGTCATCATCCATCTGCAGAACTCTTCTCATTTCCACAACTGAAACTCTACACCCATTAAGTGATAAACTCCGTTCCCTCCTCCCCCGAGACCCTAGAAACCACCATTCTACTCTGTCTCTGAATTTGACTGCTCTAAGTACCTCATATAAGTTGGACCATACAGCATTTGTCTTGTGACTGGCTTATTTCACTTAGCATAATGTCCTCGAGCTTCATTCATGTTGTCAGGTGTCAGAATGTCCTTCTTTTCAAGGCTGAATAACATTTTATTGTATGTATATATCGCATTTGCTTATCCATTCATTCATCAAGGAACATGAGTTGCTTCTACATTTTGGCCATTGTGAATAATGCTGCTCTGAACATGGGTGTATAAATATCTCTTTGTGTTCCTGCTTTCAATTCTTTTTGCTGTATACTCAGAAGTGAAATTCTACCTACTCCTAGGGTATATAAAAGTAAAAAAAAAAAAAAAAAGGGCTGTGTGTGGTGGCTCACTCCTGTAATCCCAGCACTTTGGGAGGCCAAGGCAGGTGGATTGCTCGAGCTTAGGAATTCGAGACCAGTCTGGGCAACATGGTGAAACCCCATCTCTACTAAAAATACAAAAATTAGCTGGGCATGGTGGCGTGAGCCTGTGGTCCCAGCTTCTTGGGAGGCTTAGTCACAAGAATCACTTGAACCCTGGAGGCGGAGGTTGTAGTGAGCAGAGATCACTGCCACTGCACTCCAGCCTGGGTGACACAGCCAGACATTATCTCAATAATAATAATAATAATAATAAAAGTTTTTAAAAAGTGGAATTCCTTTAGTTCGTATTAGTTTTCACTTTTATTTTTTGTGGAGATGGAGTCTCACCATGTTGCCCAGGCTGGTCTTGAACTGCTGGCCTCAAGCGATCCTCTGGCTTTAGCCTCCCAAAACGCTGAGATTACAGACATGAGCCACCGAGTCCCAACTAGTGTTTCTTTTTGAGTATGAACTGCCAACAACACAATTAAATCAGGAGAGCTGAGGGGGTCTCTAGCAAGTGTGCGCAGGGTGCGGCTGGTTTCCCAGCAGAGGTAAGCAACAAGGGGCTTTCATCGCCCAGGTCATTCAGGAGGGGCAGAGTGTTGCAGCAATGGCTAGTGATGTGTGAAGGGGAAGCAATAATGTTTCATAGGCTACGCCTTGGCTCCTGGATCTAATCGAAAACTAAAGTAAATAACAGGCCTCCAAAGAGTCCCAGGTAATTGAGGCAATAGTCCTGATACTTGTTTAGACATATCATCAACAAAAAGGGAAGCGGGCATCTAGAATCCTGGAAACACATCTTTTTGTAGACAGTTCTTATACCAGGATTTGTGCTTGATTGTGTCATAATTATGGTTCTTTTAAACACAAAAAGTCTATAATCATTAAAATACACTTATGAGAACATATTTTACTTTTGCAGAATTAGCATAGAAAGATAAGTTTTCTTTTTGATTTGTCAGTTTTTTAAAAATCTGTTTAATAAGCCAAAGAGCACTTATAAGAATTTTGAATTAATTCACATGTGAAGCATTCTAGATAAACCTAATTACTTCTCTTGCCCTTCCTTTTATAAGGTGAAGGAGAAATCTTTAGATTACCTAATAACCATTTAATTTAATTTAATTTAATTTGTTTTTGAGACAGTCTTGCTCTGTCTCCCAGGCTGGGGTGCAGTGGCGTAATTATGGCTCACTGCAGCCTTGACCTCTGGGGCCCAAACAATGCTCCCACCTTAGTCTCCCAGAGTGCTGAGATTACAGGCGTGAGCCACCATGCCCAGCCCTAATAATCATTTTAATAAGCCCCAAAATAGTTTATATAGAAAAGACATCTAACCAATTTTATTCTGAATTTGGGAAAATCAGAATTACAAAGAGTTGTTAGAGGAGTCAAAATATTTCATAAATACCTAAGCACAAGAAATATTTATAATTACTGCAGAATCATAAAGCAATAAACAACGTTTATTAGAAACTTTTTTCAAAAATAAGTACTTACTGGGCGTAGTGGCCCACGCCTGTAATCTTAGCACTTTAGGAGGCTGAGGCCAGCAGATAGATGACTTGAGCCCAGGAGTTGGAGACCAGCCTGGCCAACATGACGAAACCTCATCTCTACTAAAAGTACCAAAATTAGCTGGGCGTGGTGGCACGTGCCTGTAGTCCCAGCTACTGGGGAGGCTGGGGCAGGAGACTTTCTTGAACCCAGGAGGCGTAGGTTGCATTGAGCCCAGATCGCGCCACTGCACTCCAGCCCGGGTGACGGAGTGAGACCGTCTCAAAAAAAAAAAAAGGTAAAGAAGGACTCTTTTAAAAAATGGTTTAAGTGGCCGGGCGCGGTGGCTCACGCTTATGATCCCAGCACTTTGGGAGGCTGAGGCGGGCGGATCGCTTGAGGTCAGGAGTTGGAGACCAGCCTGGCCAACATAGCAAAACCCCATCTCTACTAAAAATACAGACATTAGCTGGTCATGGTGGCACACGCCTGTAATCCCAGCTACTCGGGAGGCTGAGGCAGGAGAATCGCTTGAACCCGGGAGGCAGAGTTTGCATTGAGCCGAGATCATGCCACTGCACTCCATACTGGGCAACAGAGTGAAACTCTGTCTCAAACAACAACAACAACAACAACAAAAAAAGATTTAAGAATATGTCGAAAAGCACAGAGAGATAGATTATTTTTGATGACAAAAGAAACCTCCACTGAACTAGGAAAACAATAATTTAGTTATTTCATAGTAAAAGGACACAAATTCTAATTTTACATCTTTTGTACATTATTCATGTAATAATTTCCAGTAGAGAATTTATTAATATAAGTATATGTATGTAGTTAGTTATACATGGAAATATAAATCTACAGATACAGGCCTGGCATGGTGACTCACACCTGTAATCCCAGCATTTTGGGAGGCTGAGGCAGGCAGATCACTTGAGGTCAGGAGTTTCAGACCAGCCTGGGCAACATGGCAAAAACCCCATCTCTACAAAAAATACAAAAATTAGCCAGATGTGGTGGCGTGCACCTGTAGTCCCAGCTGCTCGGGAGGCTGAGGCATGAAAATCACTTGAACACAAGGGGAGTAGGTTGCAGTGAGCTGAGATGGCACCACAGCACTCCAGCCTTGGTGACAAAGCGAGACTCTGTCTCGAAGTCAGTCAATCTACACATAGTCAATAAATTAAAAAATTTTCCACAGTTTCAAAATACAATTAACTTAGTATGATAAATAAAATTATGTATGTATTAATTATAATATTACCATTAATAAGCTGTAATAACTTTTTATTTTTATTTCTTAATTTTTGTAGTCTTTTGTCCTCGCCCCTATAACTTTTCAATAAACAAATAAAACTCATATCCATTTTCATGTATACATATTTGTATTTATCTGTAATTCTTTTTACCTAGGATAATCAACCATGCATATCAAATGTTTTTAATCTTTAATTCCTTTTTTTGAGACAGAGTCTTGCTCTGTCGCCCGGCTGGAGTGCAGTGGCGCGATCTCGGCTAACTACAACCTCCGCCTCCCGGGCTCAAGCGATTCTCCTGCTTCAGCCTCCCGAGTAGCTGGGATTACAGGCGCCTGCTGCCATGCCAGCTAATTTTTGTATTTTTAGTAGAGACGAGGTTTCACCATGTTGGCCAGGATAGTCTGGATCTCTTGACCTCGTGATCCACCTGCCTCAGCCTCCCAAAGTGGTGGGATTACAGGCGTGAGCCACCATGCCCGGCCCCTTAATCTTTAATTTTTATAAGTACATGGTGTGTATATTTATGGGATACATGAGATTTTTTTTTTTTGAGACGGAGTCTCTCCCTGTTGCTCAGGAGTGCAGTGGTGCGATCTCTGCTCACTGCAACCCATACCTCCCAGGTTCCAGCGATTCTCCTGAGTAGCTGAGATTACAGGCATGCACCACCACGCCCTGCTAATTTTTATATTTTTAGTAGAGATGGAGTTTCGCCATGTTGGCTAGGCTGGTCTCGAACTTCTGGCCTCAAGTAATCCGCCTGCCTCGGCCTCCCAAAGTGCTGGGATTACAGCACCACACCCGGCCTCACTTCATTCCTTTTTATGGCTGAATAATATTCAATGATATGGAGAAACCTCATTTTACTTATCTGTTCATCTATTGATGAACATTTGGGTTGTTTCCACTTTTTGCTATTATAAATAATGCTGCTTTGAACATTTGTGTACAAATTTTTGCATGGACTCTTATATACATTTAAAAATATGGCCAGGTGTGGTGGCTCATGCCTGTAATCCCAGCACTTTGGGAGGCCAAGGTGGGTGGATCACTTGAACCCAGGAGTTCAAGAGCAGCCTGGGCAACATGGTGAAACCCATCTCTACAGAAAAATGCAAAAATTAGCTGGGCATGGTGGGGAACACCTGTAGTCCCAGCAAGTCGGAAGGCTGAGGTGGGAGGATTGCTTGAGCCTGGGAAGTGGAGGTTGCAGTGAGCCGTGATTTCACCACTGCATTCCAGCCTGGGTGACAGAGTGAGACCCTGTCTCAAAACACAAATAAACAAACCAAAACAAATTTTATTACACATTTTATTACAGAAGGAGTAGGATTAAAAATAAAACAAAATAAAAAGTACATTTAATTGATTTTCTTTAAAATATTCAGCTGGGGTTTAAATTGAAATTACATAGAAATTATATATTAGTTTGGATAGACTTGACATCTTTATAAAATGAAATTGCCTCATCCAGGAACATGTATTGTGTCTTCATTTATTCAGATGATCTTTTTTTGTTTTTGAGACGGAGTCTTGCTCTGTCGCCCAGGCTGGAATGCAGTGGCACCATCTCAGCTCACTGCAACCTCTGCCTCTCAGGTTCAAGCAGTTCTCCTCCTCCTCAGCCTCCTGAGTAGCTGAGATTACAGGCGCGTGTCACCATGCCTGGCTAATTTTTGTATTTTCAGTAGAGATGGGGTTTCACCATGTTGGCCAGGCTGGTCTCAAACTCCTGACCTCAGGTGATACACCCACTTCGGCCTCCCAAAGTGCTGGGATTACGAGCATGAGCCACCGCGCCTGGCCTATTGTAATTTTTTTTTTTCAGACAACAGAAAAGTATAAAGGAGAAAGTAACAAACCATTAGTTACCTCCCCAGAGATAACCATTGATGACATTTCCTCCCCAACATTTTTCCCCCTATGGATACACATACATTTTTTCAAGATCTTGTTTCCTTTGATATGTCATTTTAGTGGCTTGAACTTATTTCTGGAACAATATATGGGTAAAGTCTATGCATATATGTATCTATGTATATATCTATCTATGGAAAACAAGTAGATATAGACAGTAAAATAAAGACAGAGACAAGACAGCGGTTGGAGAGATGAAAGGAGAGAAAGTCATAGACAAGGAGAGACATATGGGGAGAGGAAGACACAGAGAGAGCTGTGGGCACATAAGGGCAGAAAGATAAACACAGAGAGCCATGGAGAGATGAAAGTATTGGGCTGGGGCCAGGCATGGTGGCTCAACGCCTGTAATCCCAGCACTTTGGGAGGCCGAGGAGGGCCGATTGCTTGAGCTCAGAAGTTGGAGACCAACCTGGCAACATGACGAAACCCCATCTCTACAAAAATACAAAAATTAGCCAGGCGTGGTGGTGGGCACCTGTAGTCCCAGCTACTTGGCAGGCTGAGGCATGAGAATTGGTTGAACCCTGGAGGTGGAGATTGCAGTGAGCTGAGATCCGGCCACTGTCCTCCAGCCTGGAGGACACAGCGAGACACTGTCAGAAAAAAAAAAACACAAAGAGACAAGGAGAGGATGGAAAGGAGCATTTATGGAGCTCCTACTGAATGTCATTCTAAACCTCCAAGGTCACTTTGAGGGAGGCTGTCAGTAGTAACCCCTTTACGCCGCTGAGAGCCTGAGCCTTAGAATGGCCAACTGAGCTGTCCATGGTCACATCACCTAGATTGAACCCATCTCCCTGGCGCGGGCCGGGCCCACTGCGGGTGATCCATTAACTATTTATCTAATGAACAAACTAAAGTCCATCTCCTCCCCCAGGAAGAGAGATGAGGACCAGACCCCCATTCCACTCCACTGAGTCAATTTTTCTTGCCTGTTTTCCTGTCTACTAAGGTAACAGTAAGGTCGGTTGCCCCAGCAACTGCCCTCCGACTGCCATGGCAACCGCCAGCTCTCCACCTTGCCCTTTGGGCATCTCCATGGCGACGGGAGGTCTGGTGGGGCTGCCAGCTCCCCAGGCTGCGCCTGCGTCGGTCGGGTGGGTGGGGTGGGGGCGGGGGGGGGGGGGCCTGGTTCCGGGCGTGCGCAGCCGCAGAGCGCCGCAGCCTCGCCAGCTCGCCCCGGCACTGCGCACTTGCCAGCCAGTCCGCCCGTCCGGAGCCCGGCTCGCTGGGGCAGCATGGCGGGGTCGCCGCTGCTCTGGGGGCCGCGGGCCGGGGGCGTCGGCCTTTTGGTGCTGCTGCTGCTCGGCCTGTTTCGGCCGCCCCCCGCGCTCTGCGCGCGGCCGGTAAAGGTGCGACCCCAGTCCGGCGAGGGGTGGGGGTTGGGGGAGGATGCCACCGGCGAGGGTTGGGGTTGGGGCTGCGCCGCCTCACCCCCGCCCGAGCCGGCTCCCGGGACGTGCGGAGAGATCGACGAGGGTGGCCCGGGCTCCGGCCGCCGGTCCGCGCCCAGGCCACGCCGGCACACCTGAGACCTGACTTGGTCTCTGCCTGTGCGGGTGGCGTTGTCCGGGGCGCCGCCGGTAACCGTGCCCTGCCCACCTCTCCGTGCCCGGTGCCTGTGACGCTGTCCACGGCACTAAGGCGCTTTAAGAAAGGGCGCGCGCGCATCAGTGTGTGTGCGTGTGATGTGAGGAGAGCGGTGTGGAGGTGTCGTGTCCTTGAAAGTGTGTGTTCTTTGGTTTGAGCGCTTCCAAGTGTCCTAGAAAGGTGCCGTGGTGCGTCTGGGTGTGTAGTGTGTGTGATACCGGGATACTTCTGTGCGCGATTCTTTTGTGCGTCCGATTGTTTTCTCAGTGACACCGTGTGGATATTTGTGAATCCTTATTATGTGTGTTGGCTTGGCCTATGGGCGTGTCTCTCTCTCTCTCTCTCTGTCTCTCTCTCTCTGTGTGTGTGTGTGTGTGTGTGTGTGTGTGTGTGTGTGTGTGATTTCGTTTGTGTTTGAGAGGGAATGGTCTTCGCATCTCCGTGTGCACATTCCATAGTGGTTCTGTTGGACCAAGTGCCTGGGATTTCGTTTGCGTGTTCCTGAGACTGTTTCTCTCCGTTTCTTTGTGGAGCTGTGTCATCCTGAGGAGAGGAGCCATGATGTCTCTCTGCTGCATTGTGTCTTTAAGGATGGTGCATGTCCTTGCACCTGGGTGGCTTGGCGATTGTAACTGCAGGAGCAGCTGCGGATGTGAACGTGTGCAGGTCCTTGCATGTGGCTGTGGCAGTGTTGGGCTGTATATGTGACATCTCCAGGCCTGTCAGTCCTCATGAGTGTGTGTGAGGCTGTGATTGCTGGTGAGTGTGATACCCCGGGGTGACTGAGGAGTGGTGGGCGCCAGCAAGGGCACTTGGAGAGGCATCCTCCTCTAGCTCTTCAATACTGTCTGCATCAAAGATGGGAATTAAAAAAAACTGTTACCTTATATCCGTGTAACAATGTGTTTAATATATATGTACAATGTAAAGAATGATGACAAAATAACTCTCTCGTGTAGCAGTCACTCAGCTTAATAAATAGAGCCTGACCAAGAGTTAGAAGCCCCTGCGTGCCCCTCGCCATGGCAGCCCCTGTCCCCACACAGTCCTTATTCTGTATTTTCTGTCCATTGATCCCTTACTTTTGTTTGTAGCTTATCACATATGTGTAGCTCTCAAAAAAAATCCATTGTTTAGTTTTTCCTGCTTTTGAACATCATTGAAACGGAATCATACTGGGTGACTGGTTCCTCGTAGTCACTAGGGGTCACTAGGAAGTCCTCAGGGTGTCTAGTAGTCTCAGGCAGTCTGCAGTGAAATTCTGGAACTTGACGTTTTTTTTTCCCTTGGCTCTATTCTGGTCACGAGATTCATCCAAGTTGATGCATGTGGCTGTAATTCATTTATTTTTATTGCTGCATAATATTACATCCTATGAGGACATCATGATTTATATATGTATTCTCAATTTGTCAGTGGACATTGGACTGTTTCCAGGCTTTTCTTTCTCCCCCGCCCTTTTATGCTATTACGAACAGTGCTGCTGTCATCTTTCACGAACTTGTGACCAGTAGCGTATGTGCCAAAGCTGCTCTGGGGAGTGACATCCCAGGAGTGGGTCATAGGATATGTGCATCTTTTTAGATATTGTCAAACCGCTCTGCAAAATTACTTTGCCAGTTTAATTCTCACCAGCATAGTATGAGAGTTCCCATTTTTCTGCATTCATATCAACACTTCATATTATCAGACTTTTTGATTTGGGTCAATCTTTTGGTTATATTATGCATAGTATCTCCCTGGCATTTTAATTTGCTTTCCCCTGATTACTAATGAGGTTTTTAATTTTATTTTATGTTTGTTAGAGACAGGGTCTTCCTCTGTCATGCACGCTGGAGTGCAGTGGTGCGATCTGGGCTCACTGCAACCTTGAGCTTCTGGACTCAGGTGATCCTCCCACCTCATCTTCCCAAGTAGCTGGGACTATGGGCTTGTGCCCCGCTCATTTTTTTTGGTTTTATTTTTTGTAGAGACAGGGTCTCGCCATTTTGACCAGGCTGGTCTCAAACTCCTGGCCTCAAGCGATCTTCCTGCCTTGGCCTCCCAAAGTGCTGGGATTACAGGCATGAACCACTACACGTGGCCCAATTTTTCATATGTTTAGTAATCATTTTTGTGAAATAGGCGATCATGTATTTTTTCTATTTCTGTATGAGTTTGTTTTTCTCTTACTACTTTTTAGGAATTCTCTGTATCTTCTGTGTACTACTCTTTCATTGACTATTTGTGTTGCAGGCATCACTCCTTTTAAACATATTTATATGTGGCCTGTATGTTTCTTTTCCAAACCTTCACAGTCATTTTTATGATCTTTTATTCCTTGCTCAGATTATTGGTACCCTCTTTTATTTCTTTAAACTTGTGGAAATTGTTTGAAAACTGCTTGAACTGAAAATTTGTCATTGGGTAATTTATTCTACAGATGAACTTGTACACATGCCAAATGATATATGAACAAGTTTATTCATATAGTTCCTATTGTCCACAATATTAAATATGGAAAAATCTATAACTGTCATATCTACCATCACTACTCTTATGAAGAAACTCGGTCTCCAGGAGTGGGGGTGGGGAGGGAGGAATTATGAGAGTCACCAAGGGATCACTGGCGCGCTGTGGGGTGGGGGTGGGGGGTGTCTGGGGATCTTTGGTGGTCTTAAGTGCGTCTGGAGATATTTGGTGGTTTCCAGTGGCCTTAGGGGTGTCCGGGTATATTTGGATGGTCACGGTGCTTTTGGTGGCATCTGGGATGTTTGAGGCCTACGAAGCTTCCCGGGCTGGGGGTCCCTGTCTCGACGGACGCTGACAAACTCTTTTCCCCCACCTCATTTTCCCGCAGGAGCCCCGCGGCCTAAGCGCAGCGTCTCCGCCCTTGGCTGAGACTGGCGCTCCTCGCCGCTTCCGGCGGTCAGTGCCCCGAGGTGAGGCGGCGGGGGCGGTGCAGGAGCTGGCGCGGGCGCTGGCGCATCTGCTGGAGGCCGAACGTCAGGAGCGGGCGCGGGCCGAGGCGCAGGAGGCTGAGGATCAGCAGGCGCGCGTCCTGGCGCAGCTGCTGCGCGTCTGGGGCGCCCCCCGCAACTCTGATCCGGCTCTGGGCCTGGACGACGACCCCGACGCGCCTGCAGCGCAGCTCGCTCGCGCTCTGCTCCGCGCCCGCCTTGACCCTGCCGCCCTAGCAGCCCAGCTTGTCCCCGCGCCCGTCCCCGCCGCGGCGCTCCGACCCCGGCCCCCGGTCTACGACGACGGCCCCGCGGGCCCGGATGCTGAGGAGGCAGGCGACGAGACACCCGACGTGGACCCCGAGCTGTTGAGGTGCCCGGCAGGGGGTGGGGAGGGGTCGGGCGCCTGCGTCCGGAGAGGACGAGGGCGAGGAACTGGGAAGCCTGCTTACCCCGTGGAGTGCGAACCCCTAAGTCCTGGGGCCTAAGAGGGAGTGAGGTCCTGGATCCAGGGAGTCCAGGCAAGGATGCCTGGCTGACTCAGTGGGGGAAGTGGACCCCAGGTCCTGGGAAGGGGAGAGGGAGGCGGGGAAGCCACAGTTTTCTGGGATGAAAGGCGATGACGGCTGTCTACTGAAAGCAGTGGGCTGAGGACGCCTTCTTGGGGAGGGAACCGTGTCCCCAGGCAGTATGTGGTTGTGGATCCTGCGTTCTGGGCCCCGAGCGTGGGGCGGGGGAACGCCCCACCGCGGACACCGCCTCACTGCTTTGCGCTCGGCCCTGCAGGTACTTGCTGGGACGGATTCTTGCGGGAAGCGCGGACTCCGAGGGGGTGGCAGCCCCGCGCCGCCTCCGCCGTGCCGCCGACCACGATGTGGGCTCTGAGCTGCCCCCTGAGGGCGTGCTGGGGGCGCTGCTGCGTGTGAAACGCCTAGAGACCCCGGCGCCCCAGGTGCCTGCACGCCGCCTCTTGCCACCCTGAGCACTGCCCGGATCCCGTGCACCCTGGGACCCAGAAGTGCCCCCGCCATCCCGCCACCAGGACTGCTCCCCGCCAGCACGTCCAGAGCAACTTACCCCGGCCAGCCAGCCCTCTCACCCGAGGATCCCTACCCCCTGGCCCCACAATAAACATGATCTGAAGCAGCTCTGTGCTTGTCTGTGTGAGTGGCAGTTTCTAGGGGCTGGTGGTTCCCCGCGGTGGTGGTTGCCCTTAGACCAGGAGAGAGGAGACTCTACCCTGGGTCCTGCACTTTAGAGCAATCACCTGCTCAGTCTATGTCTCTCCTAGGGGTGGAGGGGAAGACATCCACATGGACAATCGCGGATCTTGTGTCCCCCTTTTAGGCCTCACTTGGGTATGGGGATCCCAGGCTTTGAGGCCACTTTCAGGGCCTGCACCATCATCTTCCAAGGGACCATCCTCCTGAGGGCCAAGGGGTGGCTTTGTGGGGCACGTGAGTAGAGCTTGAGGTGCTGGCTGGGATGTCGCAGGCACACATGAACACCTCCTGATGTGGGGAAGAGAAAAGGAGAGAGCGGAGAGAAAGGGAGAGGGCACTGAGGGTCGGGAGGCCCCAGTACAGGCACACTCTTTGGCAGACAGGCACATTCTGGCAGGGAACTCTGAGAAGGCTGAGAAATTGGAGCCTGGGTATCCAGGTCACTAATAAAGTGTATTTGCCAAAGTAGGATAGGGTGTATTTCATTTACTTTGTAAAGCTTGATTCGTAATGTCTGAACGTTTACATATTTAGTTATGTAGTGTAGAGGCCTACCTGTACTCTTGCTCCAGGCCCTGGATATACTGAGGGTTGCTGTGGTGGCAGCTGATTTGTGGCCATGGTCTTTGCACTGGCTAGTCCCTCTGCCTCTGGATATCTTCAGGTTTTTGTCCAGATGTCACCTACTCTCAAGAAGGCTTTCCTGGACCTGTCACCCTATTCCTTCACCTGCCTTTAACACGTAGCCTTTATCACTATCTAGCCTGATGCCATATCTATAAGGGCAAGGATTTTTAAGTGTCTTGTTTGCCTCTACCTCCCTTATATATAAAGCGGAGCCTAGCACACAGTGGGCTCCCCCTGAATTTCTTGAATGAAAGAATTCTCACAACTCAAGTAACATTCTACCCAGTCTCACTCCCACCCACACAACACTCGGCATGGAGGCAGCTTTGAAACCCAAAACACCATTTATTTAATTTTGCACAAAATCTTTCAACTTGACATAACAAAAGCAACATTAGGCACTCCCATGTTACCAAAAAGCCCCTCACCAAGTGAAAACAAGAGAGATGTCCATCTTTCCCTAGTATACCTGATGTGTCCCTCAAAGCTAGTTGCCTCAGGGGTCTCATGTCAAATGAACAATCACCCTGGCCTGGGGAAAGGTCTACATTTCTTGGCCAAGACCTTCAGGCCACAGAGCAGCCACAGTGGCAGGTGGCCTTCTGGTGCCGGGTCTTCTCCCTACAGGACCTTGCCATGGGCTCCTTCGCCATGGCCTCCTGGACCCTCTGGATCTCATGGACCAGCAGGGAAAAGGCCTCCTCCACGCCTTGCCGTGTTTTGGCCGAGGTCTCCACGAAGTGGGCCCCCCAGCTGTGTGCGAGGGCTGCAGCAGCGGCATGAGCATCTCCAGCAGTGGTCACAAGGTCACACTTGTTGCCCACGAGGACAAGGGGCTGGGCGGGGTGAGGGCCCCAGGTGGCCCATATCTGCTGCAGCTGGATCAGAGACGAGGGGTCATCGAGAGCGAAGACGCCCAGCACACCATCACAGACAGCCAGGCACTGGTCACGCAGGGCCCTATGGATGGCCTGCCCTGCTGTGTCCAGCACATTCAGAATGCAGTCCCCACTGTCCAGGGTCAACTCCTTCCAGTAGGAATCCTGGATGGTGGGGTCGTGGTCCTCCACGAAGCACTGGTGGTTCAGCTGGATGGTCAGCGCACTCTTGCCCACGCCACTGGCGCCCACCACCACAGCCTTGTACTCAGGCAGCTGCCTGCCAACATCCCTGCGGCGTGCCTGAGCCCGGTGGGTTTCCCCCTGGAAGGAAGGGCTCCATGTGGCCAGGCCCAGGTCGAAGGTGCCAGGCTTTGTTGGCAGCTCCATGACCCCAGCAGGCAGCTCAGGGAAGAGACGTGGGCAGCAGGCTCTGCAAGTGGGAAGAGAAGAAGCAAGACAACAGGGGATACGTTAGGGGAGACCATTTGAGGGCAAGGAGACAGTGGGGTGTCATTATTTCAACATTTATTGAATGCCTATTGTGTGCTGATCACCTTCCAATTTGCATGCTATATATATATGATTTATGTTGTTTTCTCCCTGTCCCACGTCCCCCCATCTCTCCTTCCCTCCTCACGCGAATCAACAACTGTGAAGGCTGGATTTCCCAAACAGCTTTATTGAGATGTAATTTACATCCCATCAAGTTCAGCCAGCTAGTGTCCAATTTAACGGGTTTTAGCATATTCACGAAGTTGTGCAACTATCACCATAAGTAAATTTTAGAACATTTTCCTCACCCAGAAAAGAATCCCCATGCCCATTAGCAGTTCCTCCCCATGACAGAGGGAGGGCAGGATTTTGCCGGTTTTGGTCACCATTGAACCCTAGCCCAGCACAGTGCCTGCCAGACAGTAGGGACCCAACATTCCCACCCCCAGAAGGTTTATGTTCTAAAAGGCAGAGGCAGATAATATAATAAACCAAATAAATATGTAAATCACGTGGTCTGTTAGCCATTATCATTAGAATGTAGTCTTTATTAATTATTCAACATACATTTATTGGGAACCTACTGTGTGGCAAGGACATGGAGTTGGGCAATAAATAGACAACAAACTGTAGCCCTCATGAAGGTTATATTCTGGTCGGGGTGAGAGACAACAAACTAGGTTAAAAAGGGGGCGGGGCACAATGGCTCACGCCTGTAATCCCAGCACTTTGGAGGCCGAGTCGGGTGGATCACCTGAGGTCAGGAGTTCGAGACCAGCCTGCCCAACATTGCGAAACCCTGTCTCTAATAAAAACACAAAAAAATTAGCCAGGAGTGGTGGTGGACGCCTGTAATCCCAGCTACTCGGGAGGCTGAGGCAGAAGAATCGCTTGAACCCGGGAGGCGGAGGTTGCAGTGAGCTGAGATCACACCACTTGCACTCCAGCCTGGGAGATAAGAGCAAAACTCCGTCTCAAAAAAAAAAAAAAAAAAAAAGTGAACTATATGTCAGTAGCGGGTGATAAGCATGCAGAAGGTGCTCAGTTCATGCCAGGCTTTTAAATTATAATTTAATCTCCATTCATTAATTCAAGAATCTTCCTTCGTGCCAGGCATTGTGATATGGCAGTTAACAAAACAGACCCCAGTCCCTGCCCTTGTGAGGATTGGATTCTGGCAGAGAGAAAGAGACAGTAACAAGATAAGGAACAAGGAAGTTGCATGTTCGAAGAGGATGGGCACACGGCAGGTGGTCAATTAGTGTTAGTTATTAGCAGCACATCCCCATTCACTCAGTGAATGCCCCTCGGTGTCCTTGGGCTCAGGAAGTGCCCTGCTTAGTGCATCCTAATGGCTGTTGCCACGACTCCCCTCCGAAAGCCTGGCGCAGCGGCAGTTTGGGGGCGGATGGTGGCTTCGAGGTTTGGTGGAGCTGGAGATCCGGAGGTCGGAGTCGGGGCAAGGTCCCAAATGGGGATGCGGCCGCGGCGTCCTCAGCTCTGAGGGATCCCTGGGAATAGTCACTGGCGGCGTTGGCCCAGAAGGAGCGGGGGCGGGATAAAGAGAGCAGGAAGCGGAGGACGGAGCTTGGGGGTCCCCGACGGTTGGGGACAGGAAGAAGACCTGGAGGACTGCGGGGAGGGGCGAGGCGGCGGCGCACGTGGAGGGAGAGGTCGGCTTCTGGGGGTCCTGTAGGGGTGCCCGGCCATCTTTAGGGATGGGTCAGAAGGCAGAGGCGGGGTCGAGGCTGCCTCTTAAGTCGGGGTCTGAGCGGCTGGAGTCTGGGGGCGCCGACGGTGAGGAAGGAAAAGCCCGGGGCCTGGCCGAGTGGCGGAGCGCAGCTTCCACCCCAGGTGCCTGGCGGGACGGGGCCACACTCGCCCAGTCCCCGCGACGCGCAGGGAGGCCGCGGCCCTGGTCCCCAAGGCTCCGCTCCCGGGAGGAGCCCGAGGCGCAGAGGCACGTGCCGAGGGCACTGGCCCGGGGCCTCAGCCCGCGGGAGGCGCCGGAGATTGGGGGCTCGGTCCTCTCAAGTGGCGCGGAGCCCCCGGCGGGTCCCCGTGGCCGCGCGCTCAGAGCCGCTGGGACCAGGTTGGGGGGCTTCGCCCAGCTCACCAAGGCTGGCGCGCTAAGGGGCCGGGACCTGGGGTTAGGGCGGCCTCGCCAGGTCGTGCTTTCCCGGACGAGGCCGGGTGAGGTGCAAAGCTCGGAGTGCGGAAGGGTCCCCGAAACCAGGACTCCACTTCGGGCTCGGTGTGAGCAGCGTCGCCCGGGCATCCTGTCAAGACCCATCCCGACTCCGGGTGAGGCGGCCCCGCTTCCAGCCAAGCGCCGACACCCCTCCCGGCCGGCCGAGTGAGGGGCCGCTCGCCCGGGAGAAGGCTTGGCGCTTGGGGGACGATCCCCCAAAGCCGGCGCGGGGATACCCCCAGGCCTGGCAGGGCCAGGGGCACCGGCGCCTCGCTCACCTGTGTCCGTGGGGAGGCGGGCGCGCTGGGACGCTCTGACAGGCCTGGCGGGGGGCGACGCTGCTCCCCGGGGCACCCCGGCGGCGGTTGGGGGAGTGGACATGCGCAGCCGCCCTCCCTCGGCTCCTCAGGCCGCCCACCCCCCTGCGCCGCGCCCCTGCCCCTGCCACTGCCCCGCCCCTGCCCGTGCCATTGCCCCGGGGGAGCAAGGGGTCGTGCCCCCCCAGGCGGCTTGCGCACAGGCACGTGGGTGCCACAGCGGCCTCTAGGGGTGCACGGACGGCGGCCAAACCTCCCCGTGTGTCCCCTGTGGCGCCTCTCCCTTGCTTTCCTGTTGGTGGTGTGTGTGTGTGGGAGAGTTGGGTGTTAGATTTTGACCAGGATGGCCTGACTTTGGGAACGGTTTTGTGGGAAGCTCTTTCAGGCCACAGAGCCTGTGCTGCCTCAACTCGGTTTTTTGGTAGCTCTGGAGAAAAGACAGTGACAGAGGAGGGGTCATTCTGTCAGGGAAGAAAGACCCTGATTGGAGGCGGCTGCCTGTCAAACTACACATTTCCCAGGCTCCCTTGCAGCTATGGCAACCACATGCACAGTCCTGATCAATGAGAGGGCAGCAGAGGTGGGGCATCCAGAGGGCTCTTAAAACAGGGCAGCCCCTGGCCCGGGAGTGGTGGCTCACACCCATAATCCCAGCACTTTGGGAGACCAAGGCCAGCGGATCACCAGGTCAGGAGTTTGAGACCAGCCTGCCCAATATGGCAAAACCCCGTCTCTACTAAAAATACAAAAATTAGCCAGGTGTGGTGGTAGGCACCTGTAATCCCAGCTACTCAGGAGGTTGAGGAAGGAGAATCACTTGAACCTGGGAGGCAGAGGCTGCAATGAGCCGAGATCGTGCCACTGCACTCCAGCCTGGGTGACAAGAGCAAGACTCCATCTCAAAAAACAAAACAAAACAAGAACGGGGCAGCCCCGGCCCTTCCCCATCCCTCCTCTTCTTGACTCAGTAAGGCTGTGGTGGTCAGCTTGGGATCATAAGGTGGCCATGAAGAAAAGTCCTGGAAACCTCAGATCCAACTCCCTTGAGCTGCCAAAGCAATTCTCACCACGTGGGAGAAATTCAGCTCTCAGACTGTCCTCCAATTTCCCACCTGTGGTCAATGGCAGGCACCCCTTCTGCCAAGAAGCTACCATGACCACCACATTCAAGTTAAACCTGGACCTCCCACCATCCCCAGTCAGGCCAATGAGACAGTGGGGAAACAGGCCTGGTAAGGATACTTCCTGCTAGTTTTCTTGCCTTCTCAGCCTAGGGTGTGGGTGTGGCTGGGACTGGCTGTGAGGCTCCTATTTATAAGGCAAGCACCCATTTTCTCATGGATTCTACCATTTTATATCCCGTGGAGCCAGTCAAGATGGCTGCTCTATTTTCAGTTAGTTTTTTGGGGGCAATGGATGGGCAGGGGATTGACCTGACAGAGACCCACTCCCTCATTCCTTCATTACTCATCGGCTCTGCTGGCCAGGGATGTGGGGTTCTCCACCTGCTCAAAGTCAAAAAGCTTTCTCCAGGTTTTTTAACAGCTTGTACTTTATTACATATGCAACCTTGCCATGCCTGCCAGTTAACTCCCCTCCCGCCAATGTTATCCTCATGATATCAGCTCCCTCTTGGGGCCACTGAGCTGCCCCCCTTTCCTTCTGGGCTGGAGTAGTGGTGCCCCTCAAGCAGGCAATGGGCAGGGGGAGATCCACAATTAATCGTCGCAGTTCTCTTAAAAGTATTAACACTTAAATAAGCACTCTTGGGGAGTTGCAAAGGATATTCAGGATGGGATGCAGTGGGAGGCTACCCCTCATCCAAGGTACAGGCTGGAATGAGCTACAGCTGGTCTATCGTGGGCCTCAGAAGGTGAAGAGGGACCGTATTCTGGGGCTTAGTGTGGGTGGGGCATATCCTCCCCAAACTTGTTCTGGTGGGCGATGTTCTTCACATCTAGGAGAGCCTGAGGAGGAGGCAAGAATAGGGCAGGTGAGAGAGAGTGAGGACCCCTCTACCTCGGCTGCAGGGCTGCCCCCACTCCAGCCCTCAACCACTCTGTCTTCTGGACTATCCCACAGCCCCCGCCCCATGCAAAATAATCACATGAGGCAGCCATGCAGAGGGGCCTGTGGTCTCCCTTTACCCAATCACAGAAGGGGTGTGTGTGTGGGGGGTGAGTGTGCACGTGTCGAAGGGTCTACCCAGGGCCCACCTGGTGGTGGACATAGGCCTGACAGTAGTAACACCAGGCTGACAGGTCGATGTAGCTGAGGACCAGCGGGTGTCCAGAATTTCCATGGTGTTGGAGCATGTGGCCATTGATGTAACGACCACAGTAGACCTGAGGTTGGGGGTGTGAGTGTCAGGTGGGGGTCAGCATCCCCCTGCAGTTTGCTCCCGGGCCAACCTCCGCCCCATCCCCTTCCTCTGCTCCATACCTGATAGCAAGAGAGACACACCCAATTCTCTTGGATTGTTCCACAGTCCCCACAAGGTTGGGTCACGTCTAGGCCTGCTGCAGGTATGGGGCATACTGCCACCAAATGGGGACACCAGGGCAGTGGTGTCACAGCATAAAATATGGCCTGGAGTGGGTGGGTGAAACTAGGTAAGCTGAAGACCCCATCTCCCCATTATATGTTTATTCATCACATGCTCCTACCTGGAGACACAAATTGGCAAGAGAAGGAAGCCACAGTCCCAGCCTCTCCCTGAGCTCACCTGATCAGTGAGGCCCCTAGATCCCTGCATCAGCATCGAATCAGCCATGTCCTGACCTCCAGCTGCCTCTCCTAGTAGGTTCTCCTCTCCTGGGGCCTGAGATTCTGAGGCCCCCTGGACACGCAGAAGTAAGAGATGTATCAGAGAAGCCCGATTCTTGCCCCTTCTTGCCCCTACCTGGGTGTGGTGAGCCTTACCTGAGATTCGCTGCCTAGCTCCAAGGTCCTGAGACTCCCAATCAGTGTACTGGGAGATATCTGGGGTGTAGTTCCCTGCACAGGTGAGGTTGGGGGGGTCTGGTGGTCTGTGCTCGAGGCTAGAGGAGTTTGGATCAGCTCGGTGCCCCCTGGAGCCTCCTCTGACGTAGTCTGGTCCAGTGTGGCTCCCTCCATGGCTGCCTCCGAGGTGGTCTGGGCCAGTGTAGCTCCTCCTACAGCCTCCTCTGAGGTAGTCTGGCCCAGCGTGGCTCCCCCAACAGCATCCTCTGAGGTGGTCTGGTCCAGAATGGCTCCTCCCACAGTCTCCTCTGAGGTGGTCTGGTCCGGAGTGGCTCCCCCGACAGCCTCCTCTGAGGTGGTCTGGCCCAGCATGGCTCCCCCAATGGCTGCCTCAGAAATGGTCTGGGCCAGAGTGGCTCCCCCTGTGGCTGCCTCTGAGGGCTGGTCCTGAGTGAGGGCCACCACAGCTGTCTCTGAGTTAGTCTGGCCTGGAGTGGACTCTTCCCCAAATGATGCCGAGGTGACTTTCCCCATGCCTGCTTCCAGAACCTTCTTTTCTCGTGTGGTCATCCGCTCAGCTAACCTAGGTTTGGCTGGTTGGGGTGCCTTCTTGGTGACCAACTTAGAACTGGAGGGTCCTTCTCTGTCTTCTACCTCTGGAACCAGGGAGGGAGATCCTTGAGTGTGGGTACTGTCACCCTTCCTGCCTCTGATCTCTGCCCCTCAGCCCCCTCCTTCCCTGGGTTCCCCCCATCACCCCCAAATCCACTCACTCATGACCCGTAAGCTGCGCCAGTATCTGCGATGGACTTGGATGGTCTCAGTGATTGAGGCCAGGGCCCCTGATAGTGGGGGCCGTGGCAGGGTCAGCAGGGGTGGTGGGTCTCCAAGGAGGGAGCGAGTGCAGGCAGCCATGGACTCTGAGATGGATGTCAGGTTATAGCCACCCTTTGTTAAGGAAAAGGGGAGGGAAAGGTATGGTGGGGGTTCATTGGGGAATTTGGAGGACAACATGTCCTGCCTCCCCAATCCTCCCTACTGAGCCCTGCAAGTCTGGAGAGGGAGGGGGAGTACTGAGAACAAGTGAACAGAACCCACACCTTTAAGATAGGCAGCACCCACTGTGTAAGGTGGTTGTTGTGGGGAGTAAATTGTGATGTAAAGTGCAAGATAACAATACTGATAAAAGCATTAGTAACAGCTGACATTTATTGTTTGCTGTGTGCCAGACCCGATTTTAAGTACTTCATGCATATTAACTCAATCCTCACAACCACAGGCGCTCAATCTATACAGGAACTTGCCTTCATGCCATACAGAAATCCGTCTTCACACTGTCCAGGAACCCCTGGCCTCACATCATACAGTAACCACTGACCTGACCTGCACAAGACGACTGCTGTGAACCCATACAAAAGCCCCTGCCCTGACCTAGTACAGGAACAACTGGACTCTTTCTCCACATGGACTCCTGTATTGACTTTTTTTACACTCTACAGGAATCCCAGTTGCTATTCTTTTTACAGATAAAGAAACTGAGGCTCAGAGTGGTTAGATGACTTGTCCGAGGTCATAACAGCTGAAGAGGCAGCACTGGGGTTTGAACTTGGGCTCTCTGATGGAGTCATCTGTGTTCTTAACTCCCACCGTGTCCTGTCACAAGCAGTACTGGGCACATAGTAAGTGCGACTTTTTGCAAGCCAATTAATTTCTCAGTGACTTATTTTCCTCATCTGTAAAGTGGTGAAAATAACAGCACAGGCTGGGCGCGGTGGCTCACCCCTATAATCCCAGCACTTTGGGAGGCCGAGGCGGGAAGGTTACCTGAGGTCAGGAGTTTGAGGCCAGCCTGGCCAACATGGTGAAACCCCCGTCTCTACTAAAAATACAAAAATTAGCCAGGCGTGGTGGCATGCGCCTGTAGTCCCAGCTACTCGGGAGGCTGAGGCATGAGAATTGCTTGCTCGAGCCTGGGAGATAGAGGCTGCAGTGAGCCGAGATAGCGCCATTGCACTCCAGCCTGGGTGACACGGCGAGACTCTGTCTCAAAAGGAAAAAAAAAAAAAAAAAAAAAAAGAGGCAGGTATGGTAGCTCATGCCTGTAATCCCAACACTTTGGGAGGCTGAGGCAGGTGGATCACGAGGTCAGGAGTTCAACACCAGCCTGGCCAACATGGTGAAACCCCGTCTCTACTAAAAATACAAAAAAATTAGCTGGGTGTGGTGGCAGGCACCTGTAATCCTAGCTACTCAGGAGGCTGAGGCAGAGAACTGCTTGAACCCAGTGAGCCACAATCGCACCACTGCACTCTAGCCTGGGCGACAGAGCAAGACAACGTCTCAAAAAAAAAAAGAAAAAGAAAAAGAAAATAAGAGCACAGAAGGTTGCTGAGTGGGTTAATATCTGAACAACGCATAACAGTAACCAGGGGCCAGGTGCGGTGGCTCATGCCTGTAATTCCAGCACTCTGGGAGGCTAAGGTGGGTGGATTTCTTGAGGCCAGGAGCTCAAGACCAGCCTGACCAACATGGTGAAACCCCATCTCTACTAAAAATACAAAAATTAGCTGGGCGTGGTGGCGGGTGCCTGTAATCCCAGCGACTCAGGAGGCTGAGGTGGGAGGATCACTTGAAGCCGGGAGGTGGAGGCTGCAGTGAGCTGAGATCATGCCACTGCAGACTAGCCTGGGTGACAGAGCGAGACTCTTGTCTCACAAACAACAACAACAACAACAACAACAAAAAACCAGATCCAAAAGATCCAGCATTTACCATATGCCAGGCATTCCTCCATGATTAGCCTGCCTCATAAAGATGAGGAAACTGAGGCACAGGGCGTGGGGATACTGAGTCATTTACAAAGGTCAGTGAATTTCCTTTGTCCCAGGAACTTGTTAGAGGCAGTTCAGGTAGAGTAAAAAGCACAAACCCTGGAGCCAGGCTGCATGGGTTCAAGTCCTGGTTCTGCCATCAGTAAATGTGCCATCTCAGGCTAGTCATCACACCTCTTTGTGCCTCAGTTTCCCTGATCTTCAGAGAGGAAAATGAGGTAAGCTTACCCTACCTCATAAGGCTGCTTTGCCAAGTAACTGAATGAATAAGACACATGAGGTGCTCAGAAGAGTGCTCTGCACATAGTGAGCACTCAATTAAGGCTGTTAATGTTGCTGTTATTCTTATTACTACCCAGTATGTGCCAACAATCCCAGGCAGGGACACTCAAAGGAGATTTCAGGAAACTGTCCTGAGTGATGGTGCCAACATTTCCAAACTACCCTCCCACTGTGGGAAGAGGGACCAAGAGAAAGTTACCTCTAGGATAAGGATAATGCGGCCACTGGCAAGGCCCATCAGCAGGTGGGTGAGGTGGGCATAACCCTCAGGTGACACCTGGCAGCCCCCCAGCGGATCCCCCCGTGCAGCATCAAAGCCAGCTGAGACCAGCACCAGTTCTGGGTTAAACTGAGGCAGGGAGAGAAGAGATGTATAAGCATGAGGGTAGGGGCTTTTGGTAGGCAGTAAGTGATGGCGACCCAGAGACATGGAGAAAAGGACAAATGAAGACATGGAGATGCAAGTCAGAGAGATGGAGACACAGAACCTGGAGACTAGGAGACACAAAAGCAGAGACTGAAAATGAAGAAGGGAAGAAAAGAAATACAGACTCAGAGGTAGAAGAAATAGATGCAGACTTAGAGACATGGAGATGGCAGAAAGGGACAGATGGGGGCCGGGCATGGTGGCTCAGGCCTGTAATCCCAGCACTTTGGGAGGCCGAGGCGGGCAGATCATGAGGTCAGATTGAGACCATCCTGGCTAACACAGTGAAACCCTGTCTCTACTAAAAATACAAAAAATTAGCCAGACGTGGTGGCGGGAGCCTGTAGTCCCAGCTACGCAGGAGGCTGAGGCAGGAGAATGGCATGAACCCAGGAGGCGGAGCTGGCAGTGAGCCGAGATTGCACCACTGCACTCTAGCCTGGGTGACAGAGCAAGACTCCATTTCAAAAAAAAAAAAAAAGGGACAGATGGGGACATGAGACAGACTGACACGTCAAGAGAGTGACATGAAAAACAGAGAGACAGAGACATGTCCTCACACACACATACCCCAGGGTCAAACGTGGGACACACATACACAAGATACAGGGTTTTATATACATAGTGCCAAAGAGAGGTGCTTGCACACTTCCAAAACAGAAGATGGCAACGCAAGAACCACATACAGAGAAGATGGTCACACAGAGCCACACGTACTGCCACACAGACAGTACCATATAGATCAGTACTATATATCTGCACTAGTCATGTACACACACACAGTTTCTCAAAGAGGACAATAACCCACAGCCATCCTGCACAGTCACATACACATGCCATCACCACACAGCCACAATGGCGACATGCACTCTGGTATGTCCACAAGAGCTGGTTATTTGCACATACAGTTGTACACACACAGAAGGCTGTCCTGGCTACCCATGCACAGTCAGATGCACATGCAGATCCAAAGATGCACACCGGCGCCCAGGGTGACAGAGCGGTGCTCACACCCTTTCCCTCCCTCCCAGAGTCAGCCATACACAAGCCACCAGCCTCCTAGCTCACACAGAGGGAAGGCAGCTACCTCCCAGTCAGAGACATACACACAAACAGCCAGGGCAGACAGCCAGACAGTGACTGCTGTCACACACAGCCTTCCACATCCAGAAGGTCCCACACAGGCTGTCACAGAGATGGTTGCATTTAGTGACATACAGTATCACACCCATCACACAGAGAAAAGGTGAGAAATACCTGCCTGCACAGAGTCGCACACGCACATACTCAAGCACTTGTGATGGCACGCACATACAACACAGATCCAGCCAGGACACGGGCCATTGGTGCATAGTCAGAAGGCCCTCACACACACAGCCAAGACAGTCACTCACACAGTGTCACACAGAGAAGGCAGTCATGTACAGCCATCTGTGCACAAATACACAAGGTGATCACAGCCACCAACTGCCCTGGTAGCCTCATTAAACACCCATGCGCTGTCTCATATCATCAGCCACATGGTAGTCACACACACACATGCCAAGGAGGCAGGTCCAGGCTGCCACCTGCACAGGCGTGTCACATACGTCCTGCGATCTATCCTGAGCTGTACCTCGTAGGCAATGGGAAGCACCAGGCGATGCCAGGCAGCTAGGTAGTCAGCATCACCCATGCGGGGCCCGTTCCATGCCACGTTGACGGTGAAGCCTGTGCCCGCAGCCCGGCCGATCTGGCTGCTGGCACCCTCATCCCCCATGGGGAAGAAGGTGCCATGATCATAGCGGTGCAGGGACACATATAGCACACTGCCAGGGAGGGGGTGGGAAGCGGACCATGGCTGGTTAGGGGCTCCAGTACCCCTGAGGTGCTCACCCGCCTCCCTGATCACACTGCGGCCCCTGACTGCAGCCCTTACCTGGGGTCATCCTCAAACATGTGCTGAGTTCCATTACCGTGGTGGACATCCCAATCCACAATCAGGATCCTGGGGAGGAGACAGCACCTCAGTAACCGACGATACTCACGCCCTGGAAGAGGGCTGGGCTAGACCCCTGGGGTCTGCAGGGGCATTTAGTGCTGAGTGGCAGGACCCTGGGTCCTATCAGTTAAGGAGAAAAGTCTGATCCTGGTTCCCAAGGGCTGCCCGGTAGGCCTGAGCAAGTGCTCGGGGCTGGGCCCTGGGCTCTTCTGGGTCATTGCTAGGGAACTGGACCCTGGGCCTTGGGCAGCTAATGCTGGGGGCTGGTTCGTGGGTCTTCTGGAGTATGCATCAGGAGCCTAGACCTGGGTTCTGTCGAGGCAGCTGCTATAGGCCAGAAATGCTGGGGTGGGACCCTGGATCCTGTTTTGTAAGTGCCCAGGTAACATGATCTGGGGGTCCTATCTAAATAAGCACTGAGAGGCTCCATCCTCGGTCCTTCTCTGGGTAAGGACTGCACCCTTACTTCTTTCTGGGGAAGGAAGTCCTGGGAGCTGGACCATGGGGCATGAGTAAACAATGGGCTGGGGGGAGCATCCAGGTCCCCACAAGGATCAGGATTTGGGGGGTCCCCAGGGAGTCCTTACCGTAGGGCATGCCCACTGATAGTCTGGGCATGGCGAGCAGCCACAGCCACAGAGTTGAAAAAGCAAAAACCGCAAGCTGCATCCTGCTCTGCGTGGTGTCCTGGGGGACGCACCACAGCAGCACCATTCAGAACCTGGGAAGCAGCAGGGTGCTAAGATCGGACAGCCTGCCCTCACCTTCCTTTCTTCCTTTTTTTTTTTTTTTTTTGAGACGGAGTCTCGCTCTGTCGCCCAGGCTGGAATGCAGTGGCGCCATCTCGGCTCACTGCAAGCGCCGCCTGCCAGGTTCCCGCCATTCTCCTGCCTCAGCCTCCTGAGTAGCTAGGACTACAGGCGCTTGCTGCCACGCCCGGCTAATTTTTTGTATGTTTCTTAGTAGAGACGGGGTTTCACCATGTTATCCAGGATGGTCTCGATCTCCTGACCTCGTGATCTGCCCACCTCGGCCTCCCAAAGTGCTGGGATTACAGGTGTGAGCCATCACGCCCGGACCTTTTTTTTTTTTTGACACAGGGTCTCACTCTGTTGCCCAGGCTAGAGTGCAGTGGTGCAATCATGGCTTACTGCAGCCTTGACCTCCTGAGCTCACCTCAGCTTCTCAAAGCGCTAGGATTACAGACGTGAGCCACTGCACTTGGCCACCCTTCCCTTTCTCCAGTTCCTTCCATTATTCCCCCAGCCTCTAGGCCCACCCCCTCCCGTGCCCCTCCCCATGGCCCCTTTCCTCAGGCCCTGCTTGACTCTCTCAGAGCCTCCAGAAACAGCAGATGGCTCTCTTTTTCCATTCCCCCCAGGTCCTCCTCTCCCCAGCCCACAGAGGACACACCTCTCCTGAGAGCACAGCCTCCACCAGGCGGCAGGCAGCGCCAGTGGCAAGCTGTGCACAGGCGAAGGTACTGGGGCAGATATAGATGGAGTCAAAGTTGGAACTCTCACGGTGCAGCTCCCGGGTTTTCATTTTCTCTGTGGCCCGGAGATGACCCACGTACTCAGCACTGGAAGCACAGAGAGGAGCACCCGCAGGACAGTGAGGAGGGTCTGTCCCCTCCCTGGTCCCCACCCCTAAGACAGGGACTTCAGCCCCTCTCAAGTCCTGCAGCAGCTCCCCAGGAGGGGAAACCCAAGTTCCAGCCCCTGAGACCTCATCCACAGTCCTGGGAATCCACCCACCCCAGGCACCGGGGTCTGACCTGTGACAGGTGAGCAGCTCAGCCTCTGTGGCAGGGCGCGGTGTCAGGGTGAGGCAGCGCCCGGCAAGGCCCAGCTCCTCCAGACGGCACATGATCCGCAAGATGCGCTGGGGTACCTCAGGGTGGTGGCTAGCAGTGGGGAAACGAGAGGTAGAGGCTTAGTGCCTGAGGGGGAGGGACCCCCAACACCTACTCATCCAGCCCTCCAAATGCCTACCTGTCCCACAAGTTGCAGTGATTCATCATATTTTGGTCATAGACCAGCCCTGTGCGAGACTGTAGCACTGGCCATGTCAGGATTGGGAGCACAGGGGGCTCCCAGGGTCCTTCCTCCTCGCTCTCCTCTACATTGTCCTCCTCCATGTTGTCCCTCTCCACGGTCTCAGCTAAAAGGGGGAGGCCACGTTTGTCCTACCCTCTCAATCTGAATCCCCGTCATACTCTGGAACTCAGGTGACCCAAACAGAAAAAGGGGTGGGAGGCCTGAAACCAGGGCCCAGGGAGAGAGAGAGGGCCTGACCCTCTCCCACCAAGGCAGCCCAGTAAAGTCAGAGGAAGTCTGAAGACAGTCTCCCCCAGGGCTCATCCCACGTCCACCCCACACCAGGCCCACACCCCACTTCCTACTTGATCTCACAAGAACCTCCCAGAAGGGCTCAAGGGCTTCCAGAGCACAGGAAACTGAAGCCTGGGCACTGCAGGGCAGGGAGAAAATATGATGTCAAGGAATGTGGGCGGGCAGTGAGGCTCCCGCTTTCCCCTCCTCCACCGGGGCTCACCTCCGGCAGGGGGCACCAGGTGACTCCAGCATGGGGCAAGGGTCTCCCAGAAGGGTGTGGAGCGAAGCACTGACGCCTTCAGCCAGGGCGCGGAGGTTGTAGCCACCCTGGGGCAAGGAGTTGTGAAGGGGGATCAGGAAAGGACCAGACATGACCAGGGAATAATAATAATGATGATAATAAGAGAGTGCATACCACATGTCAAGCAACAAGGAACTTAGAAGGGTGCCTCACTGAATTCACTGGACAATGATATGAGGTGATTACATTATGCTCGTTTTATAGAAGGAAAGCGGAGGCACAAAGAAGTGAAGTGACTTATGCAAGGTTGTCCAGCTAGTAAGTGAATTCCTGGGCCAGGAACTCCTGTTGGACTTGAAAGCTTCGTTCTTAAGCCCTCCAGGATCCACAGGCTGAGGGACGAAGGTGAGTCACTCACCTCCAGAGACAGGATCAGCTTGCCTCCTGCCAGACCCATGAGCAGGTGGGTTAGCTGGGCGAACCCTGCCGGAGTGGCGGCCATCTCACCCTGGGGGGACATGGAGGGTCAGCCTGGCTCCATGCAACCCACCTGCCGCCCCAGGGAGCCTGCCTTACCTTGGGGTCCCCTTGCAGGGCATCAAATCCAGCAGCCACCAGGACCAGCTGAGGCTGGAACTGAAGGGGGAACAGACTCCATGAGGCTACCTACCCTCACAGCCTAACCTTCAAGGCCACTCCTCCTCCCAACACACCCCAGATCCCCAGGACCTCGAGGGCGACTGGCAGCAGGACGTGCAGGAAAGCAGCAATGTAGTCAGCATCCCGCATCCCCACCTGCAGACACAGGAGTGTGATGGGGGATGTTCAGCCACCTGTCCCGAGCCGCTGACAGAAGGGCGGGGCTGGGCCTCACTTTGGGGGCAGAGGTGGGTAGATGCTGACCTGGTTCCAAGGCACATTGATGGTATATCCTTGGCCTTGGCCGAAACCTGTGGTGGACCAGTTAGAGGCCTTCAGGTGGGGCCAGAACCTACCCTGCTCGTAGCGGTGGATGGAGAAATAGAGGACACTGGGGGCAGAAGAAAAAGAGGTAAGAGAGTTGGAGAAGTCAATCCCCATAGACACCCCCAACCCAACAGTTGCCAGTTTCCTCTACCACTCATTTCCCCATTCAACCACTCGTTCATTCTCTCATTCATTAATTTCCCCATTAATTATTTAATCCATGAATCCATTCTTCCATTAATTTACCCTTACATTCAGTCACCAATTTAATCATCTTACCATTTTTTCATTCTTATCTTTATTTATCCATTACCTCACTCGCTCATTCATTTAGTCTCTCACCAGAACCTCTCCCTCAGCAAACATCGCTGCCCCCTCAGTGCCCACCCAATTTCAGGCTCAGCTCTAGGGTCTATCTCAGATCATGGGGGCTCCTGACTCTGTGGGGTACTCTAGATCATGTCCGCCCACTACCTGCCCCTATGACAAAGGTAGTAGTAACAGCAGGTCAAACCCTGTGACACTGGAGGCCCAAATGGAGCATGGGGCTCTTAGCTGCGGGGAGCCAGCTAAGGCTGAAAAGAGCCTCAAGCCAGGCTGGGGAGCTGGGTGATTCTCTAGCAGGAAGTGGAGAGACCTGGGGGGTAGGGGTGAGACTTGCTTCTGTGGGTGGAACTAGAGCGGGGGTGCTGGCTGGGGCTGTCATGAGGCCAGTGAAAGGGCAGTTCCTCCTCCCCAATGCCTTACAGGCCACCTCTACTACTTCTTCTATTTTATAGGCGAGAGAATGAGCACTCAGAGGGGTGAGTATGACCGACACGCAAAACAGATACTGAAAAGATGCGATGCACGTGTTTTGACAGAAAGCCCAGCAAGGGGCCATGGGAGGGCTTAATTCTGACTGGGGAAAGCAAAATGAATAATCTATCATCCATCCATCCTTCTATCTGGTCATTTACCCCCTGCTTTGTTCCAGAGAGGATCTAAGGCAGCTTTTTTAGGGAAATGCAAGAAATAGTGGTATGCATTGAATCTAGACAAACTTAAGAGTCACATTTTAATGGGTTGATAATGTAGTTGTGAAATTTAATGCAAGTGATATAGAAAGATTCTTAAAATTGAGGGAAAAGAGCTTGGAATTGGGGAATAAAAACAAGCAAAAGCTCTGGTGTTGAGTAGGTGGAGGATGATTGTTTTATTTTTGACATTGATAGATAAATCTTGGTTCTAAACTTTTAGTAAGTTAATCATTAGAGGAAGAGAAACACAGTAGGACATAAAAATTATCACCAGAGGGCTGGGCGCAGTGGTTCACACCTGTAATCCCAGCACTTTGGGAGGCCAAGGTGGGCGGATCACTAGAGGCCAGAAGTTCGAGACCAGCATGGCCAACATGGCGAAACCCTGTCTCTACTAAAAATACAAAAAATTTGCTGGGCGTGGTGGCGCGTGCCTGTAATCCTAGCTACTTGGGAGGTGGAGGTAGGAGAATTGCTTGAACCCAGGAGGCGGAGGTTGCAGTGAGCCGAGATCGGGCCACTGCACTCCAGCCTGGGCGACAGAGCATGACTCTGTCTCAAAAAAAAAGAAAGGAAAAGAAAAAAATATCATTGGGGAAGACAGGAAGAAAGAAAAGATCTGAAGAAAGCTGACTCTAAAAGAGAGCCATCAAAGTCAATAAACAGCAGAACTAGCACTCAAGCTAAGTTTAAAAAGAAAACAGAAGGGAAATTCAAAATAAGTTCAACCACCTTCAAGTTAAATGGTGGATTGATAGCACAGGTTTACTTCCTCAACCTCCTACTACCCCATTCAAAATACAGTAAAGAAATTGTAAACAAACAGCAACCCAGAAAGAGAGAGTGGAAAGGATGTCAGAGAATAAGAGACTTCAATGAATTTCTAGAAAGTAGACTTTGAGATTCCAGGGGCCCCAGGGTGCTCTGTCTCATGCTGAGCAGGATAAGGGGGCACCCAAGATAAGCTGAAGTTTCCTTTCTGGAGAAATCCAGTACAGATCCAGGTCAATGCACACAAAATCCCTTCTGAAGAGCCAACTCACTGAATCACCAATACAACAAAGTTACTTGTTTCTTTTAACTACTTAGTTTTAGATCATCTGCTTTCCTTGTCTTCACAACAGTATTTTAAGGATTATCCAGTTTGTCTCCCTGCTGCTGGAGTTCAGAGACTGAGAGATGGGGAGCTGGGAGATCCAAGGGCATGGACATGTTCTTTTTGTTTGTTTGTTTACACACGTTTGTTAATAAGGAAGAATGCACTGAATATATTCACAGTGTTTCACATCTGTGTGTGTAATCAATAGTGTACCCATGAAAGAACACACAGCTATAGCCTCCTATGCATTTATTCAAACAAAAAGAATGATTAATGATATTAAAGAATTCTTTGAATGACAGACCCTTGGCAGATTAAAAAAATAATTATTGTTAATTTTCAGGTATTGATACTAAGGTAATGCTTTTCTAAAAAAGTGTACTTATGTTTTAGAGATGCATTCTGAAATATTTACAGGAGAAATTATATGGTATCTGGGATTAGCTTTGAAGGAAAACAGGAAGAGGGCAGTGGGTACAGGTATAGATGAAATGAGATCGGCCAATGAGTTGATAAATGTTGAAGCATTAAATTCCAGAAGCCAGAAATGAACAAAATAAAGAACGTCGGAGGAAAACATTAATAAAGATAAAACCAGAAAAATTAATGAAGTATTAAAAACCCACCATAATAAAACAGTAGAGATGACCAACAAAGCCCAAAGCTACACTGGAAAAGATAAGTACAACAGATACACTTTGGAAAGGCTGAGGGAAAAAAGAGATGTTACCCCAAAGAAGAGGCCTCCTTTGTTCTGACATCTGGCAGGATCCCATCTAATGCCCGGGTCCTTGCCCACACTCGCTAAAGTTGCAACCTGTCAGTGGACATTCCCTGTCCCCATTCTGGGGAAATGCCTTTCAGGAAAACAGACCTACAAACACTGCAGCAGAGTAGTCCTCTGACAGCCCCCTACAATGGGCCTTCATTCTTGGGTATAAATAGCCAAATAAGGATTGCTAGACATTTGAGGAAAACCATCAGCATAAAAGAGAAGGACCAAGAAAAAAATAATTCAACCAGCCTCAGAATAAAGAGACATAACTCAGACAACAGAAGAAACTTAAGGCACTTCCTTTTTTGAGACAGGGTCTCCCTCTATCGCCCAGGCTGGAGTGCAGTGGCATGATCTTGTCTCACTGCAACCTCCGCCTCCTGGGTTCAAGCGATTCTCCTGCCTCAGCCTCCTGAGTAGCTGGGATTACAGGTGCGCACCATCACGTCTGGGTAATTTTTGTATTTTTAGTAGAGATGGGGTTTCACCATGTTGGCCAGACTGGTCTCGAACTCCTGGCCTCAAGTGATCCACTCACCTCGGCCTCCCAAAGTGCTGGGATTACAGGCATGAGCCACCGCACCCAGCCGGCACTTCTAATCCATACTCTATAAAAACAAGATCAGGTATGAGAGGACATAGAAACAGAGAGGAAGAAAGAGCTTTTGGAGTTTAACAGGATATCTAAATACATAATTCAACAGAAGGGCTTGAAGATAAAGTTGACAAAATCTCCCAGGTCACAGCAAAAGAAAAAAGAGACAGAAAACATAAGATAAAAAATAAGAAGCCTGGGCAACATGGTGAGACCCCATCTCTACAAAAGATTAAAAAATTAGCTGGGTATGCTGGTGTGCACCTGTGGTCCCAGCTACTCAGGAGGCTGAGGCATGAGGATTGCTTGAGCCCGGGAGGTCGAGGCTGCAGTGAGTCGTATTTGTGCCACTGTACTCCAGTCTGGGCAACAGAGCAAGACCTTGTCTCAAAAAAAATAAATAAATAAATAAATAAATAAATAATAAAAAAGAGAGAGACATAGAGGATCAACCCAGGAAGTCTAACATCTGACTAACAGAAGTCCTAGAAAGAGAACAGAGAAAACAAAGAAGAAATTATCAAAGATCTAATAGAAAATAATTTCCAAGAGTTTAAGAAAAGCATGAATCTTCAGATGTAAAATGTCTACCTACTATTAAACAGAGTGAAAAGGCCAGGGTAAAAGTTTAGAACATCAAGGCTAGGTACAGTGGCTCATGCCTGTAATCTCAGTGCTTTGAGAGGCTGCAGTGGGAGGACACTTGAGGTCAGGAGTTCGAGACCAGTCTGGGCAATATAGTGAGACCCTGTCTCTACAAATAATTTAAAAAATTAGCTGGGTGTGGTGGCACATGCCTGCAGTCCTAGCTACTTGGGAGGCTGAGGCAGGAGGATTGCTTGAGCCCAGGAGTTTGAGGTTACAGTGGGCTATGATCATGCTACTATACTCCAGCCTGGGTGACAGAGTGATACCCTGTCTAATAATTTAAAAAAAAAAAAAAAAGAACACCAAGATAACCTTGCAGAGAGGAAAGTAGATTACTTGGAAAGGAATGAAAAGCAGACACCTGTCAGGAACACTGAATGCTGCAAAATAATAAAGCAATGTCTAGAGAACAACCAACCTAAATTGGATTCTTCAGATCTTGGATAAGTGGATTCTCTGTAGTCAGCTAGGAAGAAGGCTAGATAAAACTACTACAGGTTGAGCATCCCTAATCTAGAAATCTGAAATCTGAAATGCTGTAAAATCCTAAACTTTTTTTTTTTTTTTAGATGGGGTCTCAGTCTATCACCCAGGCTGGAGTGCAGTGGTGCGATCTCAGCTCACTGCAACCTCTGCCTCCTGGGTTCAAGTGATTCTCCTGCCTCAGCCTCCTGAGTAGCTGGAAATACAGGTGTGTGCCACCACGCCTGGCTAATTTTTCTGTATTTTTGTAGAGACGGGGTTTCACCATGTTGGCCAAGCTGATCTTGAACTCCTGACCTCAGGTGATCCGCCTCGGCCTCCCAAAGTACTGGGATTACAGGAGTGAGCTACTTCACCCGGCCCTAAAATCCTAAACTTTTTGAAGGCCAACATGATGCTCAAAGGAAATGCTCATTGGGGTATTTCGGATTTTGGGTTTTCAGATTAAGGATGCTCAACCACTAAGTATAATATAAATATTTCAAAATCTGAAAAAATCTGAAATGTGAAATACTTCTGGTTCCAAGCACTTCATATAAGGGATACTCGACATGTACTTAGTAATGTCTCCTACTGACAAGGACTTGCTCAATCACTTTCTGCAGGAAGGGTAAGCTGGTCCCCTCCTGGAGGGAAGTCTGGCAGTGTATACCAGACTTTAAAGTATGCTGACTCTCTGGCCCAAGCAACCCACTGTTAGAAATTCATCCTACAGATAGACTCAGAGAAGTGCAGAATTACATATTTACTAGACTATTCACAGTAGAAGTGCCTGTAATAGCAAAAACTGGCAGGCATCTTAAAAGTCCTGGGGTTAAATAACCAGAGGTACAGTCATAAAATTGAATACTACAAAGAACGAGATACTTTAAGAGGTACTAACATGGAGAAATGTCCCAGATATGCTGTTAAATGAATAAAGCAAGTTGTCGAAGAACATGTGGAGAATTATTCCATTAGGCAGTGTGTTATTAATAATTATAACAATAATAATAAAAATTCAGACATCTATAGAGAAAATCTGTAAGGATATAACCTAAACTGTCAACACTTATTTTTGAGGTAATGGAAATTAGAGGAGACTCACTGCTTCAGACACTTCTGTATTATTTAATTTCTTTAAACAAATAGTTTGTTATTTATTTATTTATATTTGTTTTTTACTATCTACTGAAAGGATAAACAAACACTTTGAAGCATTATCCTAATCAGAAAAAATAAAGCAGTAATTTGAGGTTCACTCTAACCCAACGGTTAATCAGTGAATAAGATCTTCAAATATTTGTGGGTCAAATCCCGTCTCTCCCAGTTCTTCTCTGTGTGACCTCTTAACGTATAAGCCTCAGTCCCCCTATCTGTAAAATAGGGAACCCAACAGTCCCTGCCTCAGAGTGAAATTAGGAGAGATGGCAGACACACAAAAGTAGCACAGATCCTGATCCCAGGATAGGCCCCATGAATGTGAATGCCTTTTCCTCCTTCTGGACCCCTTCTGGCTGGGCCTGTAAGGGTGGGAGGTGGCTGGGAGTCTAGCACCTAGGTGGGAGTCGGGGTATACCTGGGGTCCTGGTCGAAGGTGAACTGTGTTCCTTGACCGTGGTGCACATCCCAATCTACGATAAGGACCCTAGGAGCAGCAGAGAGAGGGGACTCTGTGCAAGGAGATCAAGGTGAATCTGGGGGAAGAGCCCAGACCAGGACACCCCACCCCATGCCACCCCCATCACATCTGCCCTCTGTTGCTGACCTCCGGATGCGGTGTTTCTGTTGAGCATAGCGGGCTGCCACAGCCACGTGGTTGAACATGCAATAGCCATCCATAAGACTGTGCTGGGCGTGATGTCCAGGAGGCCTGGGCAAGACAAGGAAATAACAGCTTGGAGTATGTGAGGGGTCCTCCTCTGCAGAGACAGACTGTCCCCTGCTCTCTAATCCTGGACCACCAATTCCTTTAATGCTGATGCCTAAAAATCTGCCGGGAACTGAGTAATGGAGGCCCTCAAACTCTCACCCCCTGCCAATCTACCCCTCTGTCTCCAAAGGAGATTTGAAAATGTTCACTAAAATGATAAAGGCCGGGTGCGGTGGCTCAGGCCTGTAATCCCAGCACTTTGGGAGGCCGAGGTGGGTGGACCACGAGGTCAAGAGATCAAGACCATCCTGGCCAACACGGTGAAACCCCGTCTCTACTAAAAATACAAAAAATTAGCTGGGTGTGGTGGCGGGCGACTGTAGTCCCAGCTACTTGGGAGGCTGAGGCAGGAGAATCACTTGAACCTGGGAGGCAGAGGTTGCAGTGAGCCAAGATTGCATCACTGCACTCCAGCCTGGTGACAGAGCGAGACTCCGTCTCAAAATAAATAAATAAATAAAAATAAAAATAAAATGATCAACGCATTCATTCTCATACCCAGTCATTCTGCTGCAGGAACTTAGCCCACAACCTGTGTTTTAAAAAGGGTGAAGTAACATTTTTATTTTATGTTAGTGTAAAATAAAATTTTATTTTTATAAAGGTACTAGCATATTTGCTGTAGCATTTTTTTAAAACAGCAAATGACTGGGGAGAACCAAAATGCCCATTAGTCGGGGACTGATTAACATAGAGTGCATTTACACAATGGTGTTCTACCGGGCTCCAAGATACATACTGTTAGAGAAAGGTTTCCAAGATGTGTAAGTGAAAAGATGGTACGAAGGGAGTATGTCATGTTACTACCATTTGTGGTTAAAAACAGGGGAGGGAGGAGAAAGCTTTTGCATTTCATCAGTTCTGGGATGCCAATGATGATAAGATGTACCATGATTTTACATGCCAAAAACGAAGCAGAAAATACTGCCAATGGAATTCTGAGATGTCACTGTTTGTAAGATGCATCTGGATTTCAAGATGTTACAAATATGAAAAAATGTACACCTTAGAATCAATGAAATATGGTATTTATTTCTTGAATAAGACTTTGTGGGAGGACACATGAGTCAGTGGTTCCAATGACTACCTCCCATGAGAGGAGGCAGGTGTCTGGGTGACAAGGATGGGAGACAGATTTTTAATTATATTCTCTTTTTTACCTTTGGATTCTTGAATCACATGAATATATTACCCATATCAATACATTTTACACTTGAAGGAAGGACTTTAAAACAATGTAAAAAGTCAAATGCTGTAGAGTCCTACCTAATGATGGCCATGCCATTCCGGATCTCAGCCCCCAGGACCGCATCCACCAGCCTGAGGACAGAGCCTGAGGCCAGGCAGGCACAGGAGTATGAGTTCTGGAGAGACAGTGGGGAGCCAGAAAGGGAGTAAGGGAGAGAACAGCCCTATCCACTCAGCTGCTTCCCCCAGGGTGGGGTGGGCATAGGGATGGGGACCCCAAGATTGCCACCATTCCCTGCCCGCAGAGTTCTCATCCATACCGGATGCAGATAAACTGAGTCGTAGGTGTCTGCTAGGACACGGAGTTCTCCCTCATTCATGTACTGGGTTGTTTCCATCAGATCAATATATTCTAGGCTAGACACAGATGGGAGATGAGATTCAGGGCCCTGTCTCTTCCCCAACTGAGCTGTCCATACACCAACCCCCTGGTCAAATTAGGGCTTGGCTCCCCCAACTGTCAACCTGAAGGAATAGCCAGGATATAAGACACATTCTGTTTCTTCCCTAGCCCGCCTCAGTTCAGGTAATGTTCTCTGCTCCCCTGCAGTAGCCACACCAAATCCTACTTTCAGGCCTTTGGCCACACTGGTTCAGCTGTCTGTTCTTCCCTTCCCTCAGTCACCCTCTTCATCTGACTCACTCTTTTTCTCCTCTTAAAGTTCAGCTCAGATACCTGCTCTGGAAGCTAGCTTTCCTCAAGCCACATAGCACTAGGCCTCTAAATCTGGAAGCCCCTGGGGGAACCCCGATCACTCTGTCCACACATCCACCATCTATTCACACAATCAGATCATGATAACAGTAATAGCTCATCATGGGCTGATTATATATCAGGCCCTGTTCTAAGCACCTGACACACATCAAACTCTCCTGAGGAACTTATGTTTACTGGTCCCCTTGTTACAGGCGATGACACAGATTCAGAAAGGCTCAGCGACTTGCCCAAGGCTGGCTGCAGAGACCATGACATTGCTTCCCAAAGCGTTTAGCTTGCCCTGGTTTGTCCAGGGCAGGCTCCTCCCCATCCCTACAAGGCTCCCAAGCCTTCACCTGTGAACCAACATCAGCTCTTCCTTTTCAGCAAACCGGGCCTGGGGAGAGATGAGGAATAAAGTGGGGTAAAGGGTTAAGGCATGGGCTGCACCCAGGTCAGGTCAGCTCCCTGCCCTTCACCCAGAGTGTTGGCTTGGGGGCCTTACCTGAAAGGACACGCAGCGATCTAGGAGGCCCTCCTGGATCAGTTGCTCCTTGATGGCATGGAGCCGCTCAGGGCCTTCCGGGAAGCTGGGGAGATGGAGTCACAGTCACAGATGCATGAGGACACTGGGGAGCTCCACATCTGTTCTCTCCACATCTCCCCATCCACCCTTCCACAGCTGCTTACCCCAAAACTGTGGTGTCAGTCCTGCCTCCCATCAGCTCTGGTGTGTGACCCTCTCCTCACCACTGCCACTGCTATTACCATACCCTCCCGCCTGGGCTGTGGCGGCATCTCCTCGGCCTCCCTGCTTCGACCCTCGCCACCTCAACGGTCCTTTCTGTGCATAGCAGCTAGACACTGGTTAAAACCCTAATCAGTTCATGTCCCTTCGAGGCTCCCATCCCATTCTGAGTAAAAGCCAAAGTATTACCCATGCCCAGAAGGCCCTAAACAATCTGTCCTCCATCACCTCTCTGACCCCATCTCCTACCCCTCCCTCTTTCCTTTGCTTCGCTTCACCTACACTGGTCTCTTCCCTGGTTCTCAGTTGAACCAAATACTCTTCAGCCAGCCCTAGAACTTTACTCTAGCTGGCCCCCCCACCCCCGCCTAGAATACTCTTCCTCCAACTGTCTCCATGACTTACTCCTTCACCTCTTCAGATCCCTGCTCAAATAGTGAGGCCTTCCCTGACCAGCCTATTTAAAATTGAAGTCTCCTCCACTGTACTTTCTCCTACTATCCTCCCTTTACTGCTTCTTCATAACACTGCTCTTTCTACCACAGTGCATCATTTACTTTTTGTTTATTTATTGTCTGTCTTCCCCCTTTACCCTGAAGACACAGGCTTTTGTTTGTTTTGTTTACTGCTGTATCCCTAGCTCCTCAATAGATGGTAAATAGGTATTCCATAAAAGAAGTCTTTTTCCCATAGTAAGTTAGTCTTAGGTTGGGATAAGGGATATAGATATTAATTGGTAAACACACAAGTATGATAATTAGCAAACAATGTCATGGGCTAGGAAAATAAGATCAGGTATTGGGGTAGGGTTTGGCCAGGCAAAACCTTCTCTGAGAAAGTCTCATTGGGATGTGAAAGGCAGCTGGAAGAGTAGAAGACCGAAAAGAATCTCTGGGAAAGGGGTTGGTCAGGGTACAGACCAGAGGCAAGAGGGTGCCTGGCATGTTGGAAGAACAAGGGGAGTAGTGTGGGCGAGAAGGATTGGCTGATGAGGTCACAAAGTGATGTGGAGCCAGATCATGTGGAACCTTTGAGGCCAGGATGAAAAATTTGGACTTTACCTTGAGGGCAACAGTTTGCCCTTAAAGTACTTTTTTTTTTTTTATTTTTACTTTTTGAGACAGAGTTTTGCTCTTGTTGCCCAGGCTGGGGTGCAATGGCACAATCTCGGCTCACTGCAACCTCCGCCTCCCAGATCAAGCGATTCTCCTGCCTCAGCCTCCCAAGTAGCTAGGATTACAGGTGTGTGCCACCACGCCCAACTAATTTTTGTATTTTTAGTAGAGACAGTGTTTCATCGCGTTGGTCAGACCGGTCTCGAACTCCTGACCTCAAGTGATCCACCTGCCTTGGCCCCCCCAAAGTGCTGGGATTATAGGCGTGAGCCACCATGCCTGGCCTCCTTAAAGTATTTTAACAAAGACATCAACTCATACATATTTTTTTAGGTTGCTGCATGAACAGATAATAGAGGTGAGGTTGGAAGTAGGGGACCAGGGAGGAGGCCTCTGCAAGTCTAGGTGAGTGATGATGATGGTGGCAGTGGAGGTGGTGAGGAGAGGTCAGATGGTGAATATATTTTGAACATATAGCCAAAAGGATTTGCTGATTCTTTTTGAAAAGTAAAGCAAACGGGAGGTTTCATCCTTCTGTTTCAGTACAAACGTCTCTTCCTCTATAAAGGCTTCTGGGAAGCCCGGATACTAGTTTAGGATCCTCTATTATACACCCTTGAATCCCCTGGTCTTAAGTCTGTCTTCATTAAACACCTCATACTGCTGTTGGCTGTTTAATGATCTGCCCTCCTACTCATCAATCCGCTCCTAGAGAAGGACCCCTGTCTGTTGTTTGGTACATTTGTATCACCAACTCTTGGCACACAATAGGCACTCAATAAATGTTTGTTAGCTACATAAAAGAACCCTTTCAAGTGTGAGCCCTACCTCCCCAAATCATCTGCTTCCAGTATCCAGGCTGGGGTAAGAAAAGATTTATTCTTGCTAATGGGCTCTAAGTGTGTGTATTTTTGTGGTTTGGAGACAGCCTGGAGGACCCAGCCTCACCTGTCATCCCAGAGGCAATGGAATTCATTTAACTGCTCATCCAACACCAAGCCAGTGCCAGCCAGTGCTTCAGCCTCAAGGTTCAGATCCTGCAGAGGAAAAAAAAAAGGAGACACAGATCCATTTTAGGCCCTGAGTCAGAGGGAACTGTCCAGGGTGGGGAACCTTTGGGTTTTGATTGTCATACGAGGCTAAACTGCAGCCAGGCCCTGCTCACCATCCCTTGCAGTCCCACGATTAGGTCTTCTTCCATTGCTTGGCCGAGCTTCTTCATTTTGCCTTTCTTCTTTACCTCCGCTAGATTGGGGATAGAGCGGGGAACGGCTCCCTTTTTAATATTTCGCTTCTGTGAATCAGAGAGAAGGGTCAGAGTCCAGGGCATGACCAACTTGCTCCCTCTCCCCCTCATCAGGGCGGGTCTAGGGCCTCACCGAAGTGACACTGGAGTCCTGAGGGGGCGACTGGGGGTTCTGCCTACTTCTTCGCTGCCTGGTTGTGGTGGAATCCTGGCCGGTTGAGGTCATAGTTGAGGAGGCTTGGCCCCTGCCGCGGTTCTGGGGGTGGGGGGAGGAGCGTGGGTATGTGAGGGGGCTAGTGTGCCCTGAGGACCCCACCTCTCTGCCCTTTTCCAGGCTCCGCCCCCTCTATTAGATTCCATTCCTTACGCGATCTGATTCTCCACAGCCTTCCAAACTCCGCCTCTCTCAGGCCTTCTCCCTCCACTCAGGTGGCCATTCTACCCGGCCCCGCCCGGCCCGCTAGACTCCACCCCTTTTACACGATTCTCTTTCCCTGGTCTTGCCCTTTCACGGAGCAATGAGCCCCCGGGCTCACACAGTCCGTCTTAGGGCCTGCCCTTTCCAACCAATCACCGCCCCTTCTACTCTCCTAAGCCCCATTCCCAGACCCTCTAAGCCCAGCCCAGACCCCATTCCTTCACGAACCTGCCCTTTCGGCCTATCTCCCGGGATAATCACCCACCCTTTCACTCAGCCGGCCCCGGCCCCGACCCCGGTTTCGACTCCACCCTTAACGATTCACTTAACTCCACCCCTTATCGGGCCGGACCGGTACCTTCCACTCCGCCAGATCCCGCCCCTAGCGTTTCAACCAGCCCCGCTCCTCAGGGGACTGCCCCGTTCCTTCAACCAGCTCCACCCCCTGCCCAGACCCGACCGCTAACGTTTCGCTAACCCTCTTCAGCCAGTCCCTAGCCGCCTTCGGTCGGCCTCCGCCCCCTTCCCGCCTCCGCCGTCGACGCGCTGTACTCACCGCTCCACTCATTGGACGCAGCCCCTTTCTCAAACTCCGCCCTTGGCTCGCTCCACCAAGTTTCTGGCGACCTGTGGGGACGCGAGCGCTCAGGCTTTTCTTTTCCATTGGGCCTCGTCTCTCGACTGCCCGCCCAGATCCCGCCTCCAGAGGGGACCGTGCCTCAAGGCCGCGCCCCTCGCGCGAGCCACACCTCTCGCGAGCTCACAAGCGGCGGGGCGGTGCGTCGGCGTGCTACGCCAGCTGGGCTGAGCCACACCGCGAGCTCACAGGCGACGGGGCGGTGCGTCGGCGTGCTACGCCAGCTGTGCTGCGCCTACGTAAAAGGCAGGCGCCGGCGGTTCCCGACAGGGCTGCGGTGCAAGCTTTTTCTTGCCTCGGCTATCGTCGCTGTCGTCCCGGATGCCATAGCCGCCGCCCCTCCGTCCCTGTCCAGTCACTTAGGAGCCCTTCGGGTCGGCGGTGTCTGGAGAGCAAGCAAGGAAGCGAGGGAATTAGGAAGGGGCATCTTACCTTTTCCCCGCGACTTCCCGCGCGACGCGCCGTGATGACGTAGCGCGGGCGGGCTGGTTGTGGCTGGGCCGAGAGCGAGGTTGCCACTGGACGTTGGTGGTGGCGGCCAAAATAGGCGTGGTGACGATGCTAAATGTGAGGATTTTCCGAGTTAATATTCACTATGGTGGTACACAGGAAACACTGGCCGAATATTAGCTATTAATATTCTGCCGCAATATTCTGAGTGGAAGGAGTCTTAGTGGGGGCAGGGAATGGTAATGATAGCAAGTATTATGTGACAGGCATCGTTGTAAACCACAATTCTATGAGGTAGTTCCCATTATTAAGGCTGCTTTGCAGATAAGGAAACTGAGGTTACGGGACTTAACCATGTGACTTTGGGCAAGTTGCTGAACAGTTCTGTGCTCCGTTTCCTCATCTGGAAAGTTGTGATAATAATAGTGCCCAGGGCCAGAATGGCCTTGAGGATGGGAGTTCTCATGGGCAGCAGCTCTCCCTATCTGCCCCCTCCAACGGGTAACCACTGCTCCCAAGCAGTAATAGAAAGTGTGTGTGCGTCTGGGGAGCTGTCCCTAGGCACCCCCTCTCCCCCGCAACTCCCACTCCATGTCTAAATGTCAGCTCTGCAGGAGGCCGGTTTGTCCTCCTAATCTCCCTGTCTCATTCTCCACCATTTCCTACCGGGCTATAAGCTGGGACCGGAGAGATAAGCAGTCCGGGGGTTCTGCATCAGACTGACAGATTGACGGTCTCACCGCCCAGTAGCTTTGCCCTCTGATCCTCTTGAAGATGTCCTGCCGCCTCTTCCCTCTCACCCCTCCTACGTGAACCTATCTTTTGTCTCAGCGCAAAAGAGTTGCAGACCTAAGACCTTTAAACCCCTACACTCACCAAAGAAAACACATACAATGATAACACACTACAAAAAAATTCTAGAGTTCTGATACCTGCAGCCTGATAGAGTAGGGAGTCTTGCAAAGGGTCAAGGCCCATTTTTCTGTTGGATCAGAAGAGAGGTTTCTGAAGAGCAGGGGTCAGCAAACTTTATAAAGGGACAGAGAGTAAACATCTTAGGCTTTGCAGGCCACATACGGTCTCAGTGGCATTTTTCTTTTTTTCTCTTTTTAAAAAACAACCCTTTAAAAATGTAAAACAGCCCACAGTCTGGCTTTGGCTTGAATGCCATAGTTTGCCGATCTGTGCTGTAGTGTCAGGCCTTGGTCTCTATCTGGCTGGTATTCTTTTGCAGGATTGAGGGTAGGGGCCTTTTTTCCTAAGGAGAGGTATTCCTTTTGTGTGAGGTGTGTGAGGACAGGGATTCATGGGCAGGGTCAGGTCACTTCTAGTGTACCTCTGGTGGGTCATTCCAAATGTTCCTGGACAGAATGAGGACAGGGATTCCTATGGTTTCTATATTGTACCTTTACTGAATCAAGCAGGGGTTTCTAGAGAGCTCCAGACTATGGGTTCCTGTTCCTGTGCAAGTTAAGGATTAAGGTTTTGTTTTTTTGTTTTTTTGTTTTTGTTTTTTGATACAGGGGACAGGGTCTCACTCTGTTGCCTAGGCTGGAGTGCAGTGGTGTGAACACGGCTCACTGCTGCTTCAACCTCTTGGGCTCAAGCTGTCTTCCTACCTCAGCCTCCCAAGTAGCTGGGACTACAAGTGCATGCCACCATGCCTGCCTAATTTTTTTTTCTTTATAGAGATGGGGTCTCGCCATGTTGCCCAAGCTGGTCTCAAACTCCTGGACTCAAGCAATCTGCCTGCTTCAGCTTCCCAAAGTGCTGGGATTACAGGTGTGAGCCACCATTCGTGGCCAGGATGGGGCTTCTTAGACCTATGTTATGACAGCTTCCTACAAAGAGATCAGGTGGGCCAGTACTGGGTCACAGGTGTTTCTGTATAGGTTCAGAGCTTGTGTTCATATAGACAGTGAGATCAGGTGTCTAGATTTCGGTCAAGAGATTATTATTGGCCAGGCAGAATGGCTCACACTTGTAATCCCAGCACTTTGGGAGGCAGAGGAGGGCAGATTGCTTGAGCTCAGGAGTTTGAGACCAGCTGGGCAACATTACAAAACCCCATCTCAATAAAAAACACAAAAATTAGCTGGGTGTGGTGGTGTGCATCTGTAGTCCCAGCTACTCGGGAGGCTGAGGTGTGAGGATCGCTTGAGCCTGGGAGGGGAGGCAGAGGTTGCAGTGAGCCGAGATTGTGCCACTGTACTCCATCCTGGGTAATAGAGTGAGATCCTGTCTCAAAAAAAAAAAAAAAAAATTACTGGCCAGGCGTGGTGGCTCACGCCTGTAATCTCAGCACTTTGGGAGGCCTAGGTGGGCAGATAATTTGAGGTCAGGAATTTGAGACCAGCTTGGCCAACATGGTGAAATCCCATCTTTACCAAAACTACAAAAATTAGCCGGGCTAATACACCTGTAATCCCAGCTACTCAGGAGGCTGAGGCAGGAGAATCTGGGAGGCGGAGGTTGCAGTGAACCAAGATTGCACCACTGCACTCCAGCCTGGGCGACTCCATCTCAAAAAAAAAAAAAAAAAAAAAAAAGGAGAGAGAGAGAGGGGGAGAGATTATTATTAATTAGGCTAAATTATCCTAGCTGCTGTAACCCAGAATTTCAGGGGCTTAACGAATAAATGTTTATTTCTTGCTCATTCAAAAGCCAATCTGAATATTTACTACTGTTCATTCATGGACCCAGGCAAACTCTATTTTGTGACTCTGTCCTCCTCTAGGTCCTTGGAGTTAGTTGGTTTTCAGTTGGTAGACAGGGAAAGAGAGGAAATGGAGGATTGCATGAGAGATTTTTATGGGTCAGGCCTGGAACTGGTATATGTCACTTTTGCCCATACTCCATTGGTCAGAACTCTGTCATGTGCCCACATCTATCTGCAGAGGAGGCTGGAATAGGTAGAGTGAGCTCAGGAAGAACAGGAACAGGTCTCAATGAGCTTATAGCAGTGTCTGCTATAGGGTTCCGTAGACTCCACAGACCTATGCTGTCCTATATGGTAGCTACCAGCCACGTGTGGCTACTGCTCTTGAAATGTGGCCAGTCTAACTTGAGATGATGTGCTATAAATGTGAAATGTACACCAGATCACAAAACTCAGTATAAAAAGTTTAAAATAGCTCAGTAATTTTTATATTGATTACATGTTAAAATAATATTTGAATATATTGGGTAAAGTTAAGTATATTGATGTTATTGAAAATAATTTTATCTTTTTTTTCTCTTTTTAATGTGGCTACATTGAAAATATAAAATTACCCGTGTGACTCACATATTTCTATTGGACAGCACTGCTATAGAAATTTCTCTTTAAAGCATTGAGACAGGGACTCTTACTGTGTAGGGGTAGGAGCATCTCTGGGTCAGGTTAGTGTTTCCTGTCTGGGGTCAGGAGAATGATTCTGTTACCTGGTAAGGCAGGTTTGCAGGGAAATACAAAGGTTGGAGACATTGTAAAGTGAGAGGGAAAACTGTGAAGGCATTTTTTCCCATACAGATTAAGGTTAGGTGTTCCTTTTGAGGCCAGGAGAGTGGTTTTCTGTAGACGGCCAGGCCAGAGGATCACAGCGTACTCAGGCCAGGTATTTCTGTCCAGGATCAGAGCTGTGTTACTAGAGACAGACAGATCAGGTGATTCCATTGGGGGTTAGGTCAGGGGTTCCTGTACAGTCTCCAGGCAGGTATTCATGGTGATTCTGATTATGGGTTGTTTAACAAGTACAGAACAGAGGTTCTTGTACAGTGTAGAGGTTTTTTATACTGGTTCATTCTTTGGATTACTCTAAAGAGGCAAATCAAAGGTTCCTGTTGAGTGTAAGGGCAGGATTTTCTGTGCTAGCTCAGGGCACAGGTTCCTGCTGGGGGTAATAGAGGTTCCTGTGCGGGTTCAGGACAAAGATCCTCTGTGTAGTTAGGACACTGCCCCTTCAGAGATTCAGGTCGGTGTTTCTTTGTTGGGTCAGGGCAGTGGTTCCTGTACAGGGTGCAGGTGGGGCTTCTGGGACAAGGCCAGGGAAAAGGCTGTTATAGAGAATCACATTAAGCTTCCTGTTCAGGGTAAGCAGTGTATTTCCAGAGAGTAAAGCTAGGAGTTCCTATAAAGATCAGAGATTCCTGTAAATTACAGAGATTCCTGTAAATAAATTACTGTAAAAGTAAAGGATTTCTGTTGAGGTTCAGGACAAAGGCTTTCTGCAGAGACCAGTCAGAAGTCCTGGAACAGTTTTAGGGTCAGGCTTCCTGTAGAGCAGCGGTCCCCAACCTTTTTGGCACCAGGGACCGGTTTCGTGGAAGACAGTCTTTCCACGGATGGTGGGGGATGGTTTGGGGATGAAACTGTTCCACCTCAGCTCATCAGGCAGTAGTTAGATTCTCATAAGGAGCACGCAACCTAGATTCCTTGCATGCACAGTTCACAATAAGGTTCGTGCTCCTATGAGAATCTAATGCCACTGCTGATCTGACAGGAGGCGGAGCTTAGGTGGTAATGCTTGCTTGCCTGCTGCCCACCTCCTGCTGTGTGGACCAATTCCTAATAGGCCATGGACCAGTACCAGTCCGTGTCCTGGGGGTTGGGAACCCCTGCTGTAGAGGGTCAGGGTAGTGGAGCTAATACAAGGTAAGGCCCAGGAGCCTCGTGCAGCATCAATAAATGCGACCTATATAGTGAGAAGGGGGGGTCCTGTATCAGGTGAGGCCATAGGTGCCTGTATAGGCTGAGGTCAGGGCTTAAAGTAAATGGTCAAGACAGGCATTCCTGCCATAAGGTCAGGAAGTGGTTTTCTATACAAGTTAAAGACTGAGGTTCATGTTGAGAGTTGGATCATGGGTTCCTGTGGACTCTATGGGATAGGGTGTGAGGTCATGGATTGTTGTGCAGGGCAACATCAGGGATCATTGTCAACAATGAAGGCAAGAGGTTCCACACACAGTCAGGGTCCTTGAAGAGGTTGAGGACAGGGATTTCTGTAAAGACAGAGCTGGGTCCATGGTTTACTACTCAGATTATTGTGAGTGAGGTGTTTTTAAAATGCTACCTGGAGGACAGGACTGCAGCAGTGTGAGTACAAAGGTGTTCCTGTCTGAGGTCAAGACAGGATTCGTATAGGGAGACTGAGGCTTGTGTGGATGGTCAGGACAAGGGTTCCTGTCCAGGGTGTGCAGGGGCTTCCTTACAGCTTAGTCCAGATGTCCCTAGCTGGGGTTAGGCAGAGGTTCCTCCTATTCAGGGTAAGCGCTGGCATTCCTGTACAGGATCAGGATGGGTTTCCTGTCGATAATTAGATGAAGGGCTCCCCTAGAGCTTCAGAGCTAGTCTTCTGTACCAGGCTGGGGGAGCTATACTTATGGGGGTGAGGCCCGGGGCTCCTGAACAAGGTGGGGCCAGACATGTGTCCAGCACAGGTTCTGAAGGGGGTTTTTAGAGGATGGGGCCTCCTGCAGGGTGTGAGGGCTGGGCTTCTGAGGGGAGGCCAGACACGTGTCTTTTATGGGATCAGGGCTGTTGTGGACAATGCCCACAGTGAGCATAATAGACTCCTGTGATTCTGCAGCAGGCTACTTAGTGGAGCTGGAATGCCCGCTAGCTGATGGGCTGGTGTTCTGTGGAGGACAGCTGCTTACCTATAATATGGTCAGGACCTGTGGGTCCCTGCAACCCCCATATCCGGGGCTCTAGGGAAGAAGCCATAAAGAGCGGTTAAGTGTGAGCAGCACTTATTTGCTGGGCTGGGTGTGTCACCCCATCCAAAATCCACTCCTTAAACTTGGTGGTCAGGGTAAGTTACTCATCAGTTCTGGGCCTCACTCTTCCATTAGTGAAATGAGTATGGGTATATTTTCCTCAGAATATTTATTTCAGGCACTAATGAACTAAAGCAACTGGAGCCTCCCAGCCTGCCGCCTGACCCACAGTGAGCCCTTAGGAAAGGGTGCTGCTGGCTGTGGGGTGTGGCTGAGCACATGGACACCAGGCCAGACTGCCCCGCTGGGCCCCTTGCCACTGGCTGTGTGGCCTCCATTGAGCCACTTAAGCAGTCTGCCTTAGGATGCTTAAGGCATGACTCAGATTATGCTCCTGTGTGTTTGTGAAATTGAGGAACAGACTCCGCTGTGGGGGGAGCAGTTCACCCAGGTGAGTGGGAATGTTGGGGAAGGGGTTGGCACTGTGTGGAGCGCCCCACCTACTGAGGTTGAAACCACCTCCAGGGGCTGCTTTGTCCCCCTAATCTCCCCCTCTCATTCTCTACCATTTCCCACAGGGCTGCAGGCTGAGCTGGGCTGAGCAAGATAAGACCAGTCCGACAGGAAGACCCACGGACAACCCTGCGCCCCAGCACTGGCCTCTGACCTTGCCAGCTACCATTCCAGCTCCACCCTTCTCCGTGTTCCTTTCCTGAATGTGTCTTTTGTCCCTTGGAAGAGAGTCCCTAACTTATACCCTCTGAAACTCTGCTGTTGAGACCTCCACAAACAAATGTACACAGAGCTGCTCATGTTGTCAGCCACTCAGAGACACTGTGACATGGCACATGCCACACGTAATGCACACACACGCACACCCATGCCCATGCACAGGGACTTGCACTGAAATATTGCCATCGCCAGACCCACAAACACATCCTGACACACACTTCTTGTTCAACATTCCAAGAATCTTTACCAGATTCTGTGCCCACCACGTATGCTGTCATGCTGTCTAAAAGGTCCCCCAGCGTCATGCCGTCTCAAAGGTCCCCCAGCGTCATGCCCAGCCACAAGACCACAGCCCCGCACACCTCCTTATCACCTGCTCCAGCACACACACTTCCAGTGTGCTTATAGTCACCCGGCACCACCCCCACCGTCAGCAAGCCCTGCGTGGCCTCTTACCATGACATATGGAACCACCTGGACACTTCACAAGAAGTTTCACATAGATTGTTCCAATCACACAACATAACCCTTGGTCACAAAGTGTCACATGTGCCGCCTCAGCCAGCCTCACATGGTCACACATTGCAGCCATGCACTGTCATCAGAGAGCCACAGGCATTGTTACACACTCCACTCAGCTCTGCTGTTCAGCCACACATAGACACACCCACAATTTCAGGACTTTGGTGGTTTTATTTTACAAAAGCTTTGAAGGTTCAAGCCAGGGGGTGCCTGGGGCCCAGAGACTTGGGTTGTCCAGAATTCTGGCTACAAGAGGAGAAGGACACCACCCCTCCTCTGGAGGCCATGCTCTGTGCCCTCATGAGCTGAGCGGAGCCACCACAGTAGTGCTGGTGGTGGGGGGCATGGGGCCTGTGGGGAAGGAGCCCGTGGGTGAGCCCAGTAGGGGTCCAGGGAAAGGCATGAGGTGGCTAACAGGCCCTGACAGCACCACAGGGCCCAGGCCTTGGTAGAGATGGGCAGTACCTGGGGGGCCCAGTGTCAGGCCTGAAGCCACCTCCCCACAATTCCCGCTACCGCTGCCCCCAGCCACCACCATAAAGCCACCAGCTGGTCCTTCGGCTGCTCCTGTGCCTCCCAGACTGGAGCCCCGTTTCTTTTTCCCTTTTCCAGATGCCTTGCGGTTTCGAGTCTGAATACCATCCTTCCGCATGGTCAGTGGCCGGTTCACCTGCCAAAAAGGAGGCTGCGGGTGTCCCCAACTCCAGACCTTTGCCTCTCTGTGTCAACCAGGGACACCCTCTCTACCCCACTTCTTTCAGGGTAAGATAATTTTTGGGTGCTGAGATTGTCCAAGGAATCCTGAGGCTGTGAGGCCCTGAGCTTAGGAAAGCCTCCAAGGCTGATAGGAGCTGCCCAAGGTCTAGGGCAGGGGGTTGGACATTAGCTGATGCCTGGAGGTGGGGGAGAGGAGAGGAAGGAGGAGGGCGGAGGAGGAGGGAATGGAGAAGGAAGGAGGGAGGGTAATAACAGAGAAGGGGGAAAGTAGAAGAGATGGAGGAAGGGGGAAAGTAGAAGAGATGGGGGAAGGGGGAGGAAGGAGGGAAAGGGGAAAGAGGAAAGAGGGTTGTGGGGGAAGAGAGAGGTAGAACAGGAACAGAGTGGGGGGCAGTGTGGCATGAAGACAGGGAAAGCAGAGGGGTGGCTCCAAGGGGCAGGGCGTCACCTGGTGTAGCTTGTAGTAGAGGCCGCAGGCATTGCACACGGGATCCCCACTGGCATTTCTCCGCCACAGTGTCGTGGTGGTCGTCTGGCAGTTGGTGCACTGAGTACCTGCCCGTTTACTGACAATCTAGGGGACGACAGGATGTGAGATCAGTGCCCTGGGGATGTGGAAGTGGGGGTAAGGGGCTCACAGGGGATGTCAGGAGGACCCAAGAAGTGAGGGTCAGGTTGAAGGCAGGGCTTTGTTTACAGGGTGATGCCTGAGGATTCTGTATGGGGCCAGTACAGGGGTTCCTATCTGGTATAAGTTTCTTTTGTTCTGTATTCTATGGGGGACTACATTGGTGGTTCTCAGCTTTGGCTGCGTATCGGAATCACTTGGGGAGCTAAAATATCCTGATGCCCAAGCAGCATCCCAGTCCAATTCCATCAGCACATCTGGGAGAAGGGACCTGGGGTGATTCCAGTGTGAAGCCAAGGACGAAAACACTGGTGTGCAGGGTGAGGACAAAGGTTTCTGTTTGAAGCTTATAAGGGTAGGTTGAGGATAGGAGCTTCTATAGATCTGGGTTCCTGTACAAGGAAAGGGCAGGAGTTCTCATGCAGGGTGAGGGCAAGGATTTCCATATGGGATGAGGAGATTTTCCTGTGTAGGATGAAGGCAAGGGTTTCCATGTGATATTGGGACAGGGGTTCCCATACAGGGTGGCCTGCAGTAGCTTCCTGTAATCATGAGAACAGCGTTCCTATATAATGGGAAGATGTGGCTTCTTGTACAGGGTGAGGACAGGGGTTCCTGTGTATAAGGTGAAGCAGGTCTGTGGTCTTACCAGGCGCTTCTTGGGCCGGATGAGGGGCCTGTTCTGCCCATTCATCTTGTGATAGAGGCCGCAGGCGTTGCATAGGTAGTGGCCTGTCCTGTCCCTCCGCCACAGTGGAGTGGCTGTTGCTCCGCAGTTCACACACTCCCTGGCCTCTGGTGGGGTGGAGAGGAGAAGAGGGAGCTAGGCTCAGCTCAGCTTTACTTTGGGCCACCCCTCCCACCTCAACTTCCCTGTCCTTTTTTGAATTTCTCACCACAGGGAGGCAGGGGGAGAGTTCCACGAAGCTTGGGAGAGGAATAGGCTGCTGAATTGAGGGGGCTCCCGGTGGGAGAAAAGAAGGTACTGGAAAAGTCAGGGCCCCCATAAGCACTATTGGGGACAGGGAGTGATGAAGGCAGTGCAGGTCCCAGGGTCAGGAGGTCTGGGCTCAGCCGCTCTGTCTTCAAAGTCTCCAGGAAGCTGGTGCTGCCTTTTCCATCCAGATCTTCCACGGCCTGGGGAGGAGAGTCCTCGCGGGTGGGACACACAGTTGAGGCAGGGTAGAGCCCCGTCTTGCCGTAGGCCCAGCCGGCATATGGTGAGCCCCCTGGGATCCCCTCCATACAGTTGAGCAATGGGTACACCTGAAAGACTGTTGGGGGCAGGTAGGGATGGAGGAAAGAAGAGGCAAAATCAGTCTAGGGTCAGCGCACGTCAGGGTGCAGTGGTTCCCAGCACCCCCAACATGGTGGCCAAGTTCCCAGCTTTTCCACAGGCTACCAGAACAGCTGCTGGCCATTGGATGCTTCCTGGATCCTGACCCCCACTGGTCAGTGTGGCCTCTGCAATAACCTCTGACCATTTCCAAGTGGGTTTTTGAGGATGACTGTTGGGATTTGGAGCTCCACGGATCACTCGACAACTAGGGCAACCACCACATACTTCCAGTATTGCCTCTCAGTGTGGCCGCCCCAATATGGCAGGTTGAGGAGCATTGGAATTCCCAGGTCTGCACTTAACTAGGGAAAGTGGTCGGCACATCCATTTGAGAAGCTTCCAGCCATTTCTGAGATATCCTCACAGTGGTATTCTGACCTAGCCAAGGATCTCCATGGCAACCCCAACAGCACTCAGCCAATGCCAAGACAGCCACTCAATGGAGTTACCTGGGGAGTGTCTGTAGGCCTCAGCGTCCCTGTAGTAGGCCAGTGCCGCAGCTGCAGCGGTGGCTGTGCTCGGGGCAGTGGAGGAAGCTGCTGCATCCAAGCCCTCAGGCCCAGAGGGGAAGAAAACCCCTGATTCTGGTGTGGAGGACACCAGAGCAGGATCCACAAACTGGGGGAGGGGCTCTGAGGTCCCCAGGGACCCCAGGCCAGGGAACTCCATGGAGCCTCTGGGGATTAACCTGCGAGGACAGAAGGGGTCCTCAGACACAGAAATCCTTCCCCCCCACCTCCTTTCACCTGCTCCTCTTCCCTCCTTTCCCCCTCCTCCCACTCCATCACCTCAGTCTCCATATTTCTCCTTCCCACCTCCCCATTCCCCCCTCCTCCTCACCTTAGTCTCCCCTCTCCTTCCCCTCCTTCTCTTCCTCCCTCTCCTCTCTTTTCCCTCCTGCATCTCCCCGTTCCACTCCTGTGTGCCCCTCCTTTCATCTTCCTCCTCGTTCTCCCCCTCTTGCCGTTTGTCTTTCCTCTCCTCCCTCCTCTCGCTCTTCCTCCACTCTCATCTGCTTCTACCTCTCCCTTCTTCCTTCCATTCTCTCTCTTCTTCCCCCCTTCCCTTTTCCTCCTGTCTTTCTCCCGTCTCTCTTCTTCCCATCTCTTCTTTGCCCCCCTCTTCCCCATTTCCTTCTCTTTCCACTCTTTTCTCATTCTCTCCTGCTTCCTTTTTCTCCTCCACCTTCTTCTTTTCCTCCTTGACCTCCTCCTTCTCCTTTCCTGTTTCCCCTCTTCCTTGTCCTCCTTCTCTTTTTGTCTTCATTCTCCTTTTCTACCTTTCTCACACACCTTATCTCCCTCTCCCCCATCCACACACACTTTTTTTTGAGGCAGGGTCTCCTCTGTTGCCAGGCTGGAGTGCAGTGGCACGATCTCGGCTCACTGCAACCACTGCCTCCCGGCAGTGATCCTCCTGCCTCAGCCTCCTGAGTAGCTGGGACTACAGGTGTGTGCCACCAGGCCTGGCTAGTTTTTGTTTTTTTTTTGTAGAAATGGGGTATGACTCTGTTGCCCAGGCTGGTCTTGAACTCCTGGCCTCAAGTGATCCTCCCACCTCAGCCTCCCAAAGTACTGGGATTACAGGTGTGAGCCACCACTTCCGGCCTCTCTTCCCCTGTCTACATCTACTCTCCACTCCTTTCTCCTACTACTCATTTTCTCCTCCCCTCCAATTTCTTCATCCTTCTCCTCCCTTTTCTGTTCATCCTTTTCTCCCTTTCCCCATCTCCTCTCCTCCCCTCCTCCACTTCCTCTTATTCTCCCCGTCCCCCCGTCCTTTCTTCCCTCCCCCTCTAGAAGAGTCTGGGTGAGGGTGGGATGGCATGCAGGACCAGAGTCCCTTGCCTCTTGGTCACTTCACCCAGGACTTTGGGGTTCACCATCCTCTGCTCCCCAACTTCATCCCTATCTGTTGTATCTTGCCCTCTAACTTTCTCAGAAACCCCATGGTTTCCGGGCTTGACTCCCTCCTCCCTCCACCTCTGTTGCGTCTACAGACAGAAGGCCCCCTTAGTTCCTCCCTACTTCTTGGTTGGGGGGGGGTCAGTACCCCCCACTGCTTATCTCTGCCTTCCCCGCCCAACTTTTGAAATCACCCCAAGGCCACTGACTTCCTCTGAAGAGGGTGGCAGGTGGGAGGTACCTCTACCGGTACCCTCTCCCCTGGAGAGGCCCACCAGAGTTCTGCTTTCAGGCTCTTTCAGTTCCCAGGCCTCAGTTTCCCCATCTGCTGTATTGGGGGTGGTGATGGGCTGGGGCTGAGCTGAGACCTGTGGGATGGCCCTTTGCCTGTTTTGCCTTGTGTGTGTCTGTCATCTAGCTCTCCACTTCTCTATCCCCTGGGGCTCTTTCCCCTGACTCTCTGTTCCCTCTCAAGTCTGACTCTGTAGCTTCCCCAGCTTTCTGTGTTTCTATGATATAGCTTGTCTTCTCCTTCTGTGCTTTTTCTTTTTCTTTTTTTTTTTTTTTTGAGACGGAGTCTCACTCTGTCACCCAGGCTGGTGTGCAGTGGTGCGATCTCAGCTCACTGCAACCCCAGCCTCCCAGGTTCAAGTGATTCTCGTGCCTCAGCCTCCCTAGTAGCTGGGATTACAGGCACATGCCACCACACCCAGCTAATTTTTGTATTTTTAGTAAAGACGAGGTTTTGCCATGTTGGCCAGGCTGGTCTTGAACTCCTGACCTCAAGTGATCGGCCCACCTCGGCCTCCCACAGTGCTGAGGTTATAGGCGTGAGCCACTGCGCCCGACCTCTTTCTGTGCTTTTGTAATGTTTGATGATTTTCTGTCTTCTTTTCTGTCTTCCCATGTTTCTCTCTCTGGCTCTCTCTTTCTGTTACTCTTGCTTTCTCCCTCTCCTCTCCTATCTCTCTGAACATCTCTGCATCTCTCCCACTCTTCCTGCTTGTTTGTCTGTTCCCTCTGTTTCCCTCTCTTTGGGCCCTCTGACCTTATGTCCACGTGCCTCTTACTAGTCCCATACCCCTGACCGTACCCAGCCACATGCAGCTCAGGATAAGGAGCCTGGAATGCTGGCCCTGGCCCTATTGTGCTGGCCTGCTCTGTTTCTGTGTCTGTAGGGTGGAGTGACAGGGCTAGACTAGAAGGCTGTCTTCAAACTGCCCCTCACTCCTGCTTACATGACCCATGGTATAGACAGGCTAAGGGGCAGGCCCAGGCTTGGGAGTTATGCTAGGAAAGAGATGGGCCACAAGTGTGCCCACCGCCAACACCTTCTCAGCCCCAGGGTGCCTGCTGTTGCTCTCTGAAGAGAGTGTTTTGCTTCCCCATCTTGGTCTCCATCTCTTTCCTCTCTGTCTCTAATTCTGTGTTAGTCTCTGCCTCTTCACAGTGCTACCTGCGTGTATCTCTGCATTTCTATCTCCTTTTCTGCTCCCGGGTCTTTCCTTCTTTTTCTCCGGCCATCTGTCTGTCTCTGTCTCTTACTCGTTGAGTTTCTCTCTCTCTGTTTTTCCTTTCTCTTCATGTCTCTTTTGTCTCTTGCTCTTTGTCTCTGTGTCTCTGTCTCTCTCTTCCCATCTCTCCCTGTTTCTCCCTCTCTTCCCTGTCTCATTGTGTGTCTTCTGCTCACTCTTTCACCACTATTCCCTCATCCCCTCAACTCCACCTTACCCACCATGATCTCCCTCCAGCCCCACTGCCCCCAACCCCTGCACCTCACACGTTGGTGAGTCCAGGGCTGCCCACCCCTCCCATGGCAGGGGCCCAGCCTCCTCACCCCCAGTTATCACTCTCCGGACAGAGATAAAGTTTATCTCGAGGCTGGGGGATATGAAAGCTCCTTATCAGCTGCCCCACTAGAGTAAGTGTTGCCCCAACGGCGGCAGCAGGCAGCAGCTGGCACCCTCCACTCTCCCTCGGCCCCAGCCCCTCACCCCAGGTAACGTTCCAATCCCAGCCCTCAAGGGAGGGTCTCACCGGGCTGAAGGGAGCAGATATAAGGTCTAGGGGGCAGATATGGGGCTTAGGGGGAGATAGAGGTGGAATTTGAAGGTCAGATATGGGGTTAAGTCAGAGAGGTTTGGGGTGTAGCCATGGAGTTTGTGGGGAGGCAGATATGGGCGGGGTTGTGGAGCAGAGACGAGCTTGGAAGTTCAGAGACACATTTTGGGCTCAGGAATAGGTTGTGAAAACAGACGAGGTTGGGGGATCGGGGCGAAGTTTGAGAGTCAGAAATAAAGTTGAGAAGTAGTGTGGGAGTCAGATTCTGAGGGTCATAGAAAAGTCTGGGGAGTTCAAGGGTTTTTCTGGAGGAGAGATGGAGTTTAGGAGTCAAAGATCTGTTTGGGCAGACAGAATGTGGCTAGTAAAGGGGAGTTTGAGAAGCCAAGATAGAATTGGAGTAGAGAAAGGCTTGGAGCTGGAGAGATTCAGGGAGACAATGAGATGTGTTTTAGGGCTGAGATACGGTTTGGGGAAGGCAGACATGAGGGTTCATGCGGCAGAACAGATTTTGGGGAGTTGACTTGGTGTTTGAAGTGACAAAGATATTTTACTGAGCAGGCAGGGAGTTGGGAGAGATAAATGGTTTGCGGAGATCAGAGAGAAGTCATTGGGAACAAAGAGTGGGTTTGAAAGGCAGAGATGGTGGTAAGAGGATGGAGCTAGGGTTTGGCAGATCAGAGACAGGTTTGGGGGCTCAGAGAGAGTGGGGCAAAGACAAGGCGTTGTAGAGCAGATAAGGGGTTTGGGAGCAGAAAAGTGAGGTTTGGAGGAGAAGTCAGGGAGACAGAGACAAGTTTGGGTGAGTGGAAATCAGATATGGGACAGGGAAAGGATTTGGGGAGATAAAGTCATGTTTTGGGAGACAGAGTTAGTGTTTAGGGGAGACAGACCTAGGGGTATAGCGAGCAAAGTGAAGGGATCCAGAGGATATAGATATCTTGGACGGAGTGGATGAGAGGGCAGAAAGAGGTGGGGTTTAGGGGGTAGATTTGGGGTAGAAATGGGAGTTGGAAAGACAGGTGGGTTGGAGGAGCTGTAAAGGGATTCAGGGCTGGCTGACACTTTGGGGACCAGCTGTGGGTTGGGGAGCCTGGAGCAAGCATAAGGGTAGGGGCAGCAGGCCCAGGGTTGCCTTGGTGGGGGCTCTCTGGGGGCTGAGACTGACCTGGGCTGGTGGTTGCGGAGGGTTCGGCCGCCTTGGGGATGTGGCAAGCTCAGTGTGATCCCAGGGGGTGTCCTGGCTGGCCTTGGCCTTTGAGGCTCCCTTCCTCCCTCCCTCCCTCCCTCCCTTCTCCCTCCTCCCTCCTCCCCAGGGAGTGGCTGGTGCCCCAGTGGGTGGGGCAGTCCAGGGGAGGGGGCGGGTCCCATGCTTGTGGGGCACCTCTTGGGCACTGGAGGCCCTCTTCCACCCTCCCTGCCCACCCTGGGGATTCTTGGACCTCGCTCGACCTAGGCTCCCGTGGACTGTAGTGTCCAGACAAGCAAAATAGGCTGAAACCAAGATAAATGAAAATAGCAGATATGGTTTCATGACTTCACTGGGCTTTTCAGAGAGTAAAGCCCTTAATTTGTGCGGGGCCGGTGTGGGCTAGACTCCTGTGTATGTGCGTCTTCCTGGCTGCAGGGAGAGAAGGGATGTGGCTGTACCCATTTTGCAGGTGAGAAGAGTGAGGCTCAGAGAGGTTCTGCTGGATTTGAACTAGAGCCTGTGGGATACCTTGATGACCCAGGCTAAGCCTGCAGGCCAGGCCAGTGCTGGCGGGAGGCAGGGGCACACTCACTTAGCGCCCCACTGGGGCTTACGCCAGCTCCGGCCTGCCCTGGGGCAGCAGATAAGTCTTATCAGATGTAGGCGACCGTGGCTGTTGGCGCCGCAGTAACAGGCTGTCTTGGGGTGAGGGTGTGGGGGTAGGAACACCCAGGGACAGTGGCCTCAACTTCTTGCCCGCCATGCTGCCTTGGAGGCGGGAAAC